>NC_000002.12:241199684-241527632 GCF_000001405.40 Homo sapiens
CCGCCAGGCCACCTGCTGAGGGCCCTGCCTATGAACATGGGGTGGAGAAGGCTGCCTCCAGGTGACCTCAGGAAGATGGGCCTGGACGTGGGTCCGCCTCCCACCGCACTGGCTGGCCTGACCCTCACTGCGTGCGGGTGGGAGACACGCTACTTACCAGTTCCCACCCCTTTTCCACTTGAGGGTCTCTGGGCTACAAATTGACAAGCTGAGCAGCCTCAGAGCCTGAGGCCCTGAGAGGGGAAGGGGCTCACCTGGGCCCTCACAGGGTCTACCACGCTCCTTCCCTCTGCTGGAGCCCCTTCGCCCATTGCCCAATTTGCAAACTTGCACAACCTCCACTCCCACCTGGGGCATTTGCCCTCCTCCCGGGAGTGGGAGGAGCCACTGACGTTTCCTTCCAGGAGTTACCCAACCAGGCCTCCAACTGGTCGGCCGGCCTGCTGGCATGGCTGGGCATCCCCAACGTCCTGCTGGAGGTTGTGCCAGACGTACCCCCCGAGTACTACTCCTGCCGGTTCAGAGTGAACAAGCTGCCACGGTAAGGCAGGGGCCCTGCCAGTCGGAGGAAAGAACAGGAGTGAGTGGGAGTCGGTGAATGAGTGAGCGGAACTTGGTGCTTCCCCAGGACTCTCCTCACCTGGAGTTTTCGGCAGGGAATCTGAGGCCAGGTGCGCACGCTTATCGCGTGTCTGCATTTCCAAATGCCGCTGCGTCAGCCGGGCTGGGGCGGTTGTGCTGCAGGACAGATAACCCCCCCAAGGCCCAGTGGCTGGACACGCGAGGTCTAGTTCCTGCTCAGGCACACGTGTGGTGGGGCGGCGCGGTACCTGCTCACCACGGTCTCTCAGGGCCCGGGCGATGGAGGCTCTGTCTCGTCACAGCGTCCCCAACTGTGGAGGTAGAATACAGGGACACGTTTGGCCCATGCTGGCTCCCTCCTGGAAACGACACGTGTGTCGTCCACACACATTACTACTGGACAAAGCCAGTTGCACTATGGCACCAGGCCTACAGACTAGGGGAGTCCAGAAGTGGCAGGGACCACTGTCGGGGAACCAGTGCTGAAGGCGGCCTTTCTGCCACACGGGATGCCTCCTTTTGGGGCTGGTGGGAAATTCAGCCTCACTCCGTGTTGCCCCACCTATGGCTTCCCAAGATTCTGGTTTCCCAGGGAGGGCCCCTACCCAGTCACTGTCCGCACTGCCCACGAGCACCCTCGGCCCCATGACGGAGCTTCAGGGCGGCACACGGGATGGGGCTCCCTGGCCAGCCTGGCCCTCTCTACACCGCCCTGCCCTGTGCCCAACCACAGTTTGCTTCCCCCCACCCTGTGTGTGGTGAGGGGTTCTGGGTATCTGGGGGCCTGCTGTGGCCTCCTGTTCCTGGGGATGTGAAAAGGCATAATCGGGAGCTGCTGACCTGCCGGGGAGCCAGCTGCTTCTCCTGGGGCGAGGGCTGTGTCCGCAGGCCTGTGCTTCTGCGTGCGCGCCAGCACCCGGGCCCCAAACCTTCTGCACCGTTCACATGCCCGCAGCTTCCTCCAAACCTTCTGCACCGTTCACATGCCCACAGCTTCCTCCAAACCTTCTGCACTGTTCACATGCCCACAGCTTCCTCGGGAGTGACAACCAGGACACCTTCTTCACAAGCACCAAGAGGCACCAAATTGTGAGTGGGGGTTCCCTGCCGCGGGCCCCAAACCCTGACCTGGCTCTGAGGATCCTGCCAGCCCCCAGCCTCCATGGATGCAGAAAGGCCTGCTTGAGACCAGAGGGCCGAGGCCTGGAGCCCGGAGGCTTTGGAAACTTTAGAGGCTGACCTCACCTCGCTACACAGGGCAGGCCATGACCTGGGATTGGGAAGGGGTGGGGAAGGGCCCAGTTCCCCTCCGGGACCCCAGGGCTCAAAATAGATATTGGATCTATGGACATGTGGGACAGCCGAGACTAGCCCCAGGCAGGGTGGGTCCTGCCGGCTGGGAGCAGACCTGCCCTGCAGCGTCGGAGGAAGGGTGGCCCCAGGCGGGGCAGGCCCAAGGCACCCGGCAGGAGGCCTGTTCCTGAGGCCTACCCAAGAGAGGCCCTGCTGACCACCACAGGGCACACAGTCACGTGGCTGCCCAGGTAGGGGGCAGGGCACACCCTGGACACAGCTGCCAGGCTGCAGTGTTCACCGTCACCCAGGGTGCAGGTCCAGAGTGGGCTGCGCACGGCCAGGCAGGGGCCCAGCTTCAGGTGCAGACTCGACTCCCACATGCCGTGTGGCTCTGGTCAAGGACTCTGAGCCTGCACAGTGGGAGAATGAGCACTACCCTGGCACAGGGGCGTCCTGCATGTGCATGTGCGGTGGTGACACAAAGTCCCAAGCCTTTCCATCAGATCGCTATTGTCACCAGAAGGCTGAGGGAGGCCGTCCATGGCCTTGGCCTAAAGACAGGCTAGCTAGGACTTCCCTGTTCTGCTATCACGTGACAAGTGACCTGCGCCATCCTCCACATCCCCTGCAGCTGTTTGAGATCCTGGCCAAGACCCCGTATGGCCACGAGAAGAAAAACCTGCTTGGGATCCACCAGCTGCTGGCAGAGGGTGTCCTCAGTGCCGCCTTCCCCCTGCATGACGTGAGCTCGGGGGCTGGGGGCTCCAGCCTGGGTATGGGAGATGAGTCCCCTTGGGTCCTGTTGGCCCCCAGGGAGGCGGGTGTGGGGCAGGCATGGTCAGCCGGCGTGGCCACCCAGGAGTCAGAACACTAAATGCACACACATGCGGCGATGTGATCAGGCCATCCCGTGGCCTGTCCGGGGCCTCAGGTCCGGCTCTGCGGGGACTGCAGCCCACACTGCGGTGCCCAACACGGGAACAGGCCGGTCCCTGGGCTCTAGATGCTATGGCTCTGTCTCTCTGGGTAGCGTCTCTTGCTGGGAAAGACAGTGAGGTCTCCTATCCCCCTCCAGAAGCTGGGTAAACTGAGGCAATGCCAAAGCGGGCACTGACCAGGGCAGCTGCCGCTGCACCTGTTCCTATCAGCGTTACCATCATCCCTGAGAAAACAGCCACTGTGGGGAGCAGAAGGCCATTTATTCCCCCACCCGCCCAAGCCTTCCCCCTTGGCCGAGCAGGGGAGGGGCCTTGCAGGCAGCCAGGGCATCTGGGGCCTGGTCAGGCCTGAGCCCACTGCTGCATGGCCAGGGGTCCAGTCCTGCCCCAACGCCGTCATGAGGGTTAAATGAAAAAGTGGGTGTGGAAATGCCAGGTGTCCCACCTTGCTGGGGTGGCTCCTCCCGCCAGCCAGGGCCCAGAATGCACAGCACAGGACACGAGCCTGGGGACTCTCCAACCCAGAGAAGGTGCTGGACCCTGGACCACCGCCACTGGCTTCTCTCAGGGTGGCCTCTCCAGGCCCTTCCCCGCCCTGAACCCTCGAAGTCCAGGAGTCAGAGGGGCCTCACCACATATGTCCCCTCCTCAGAGAGGTCCTCCCGGACCACCCTGTACCCACCCCTCCACATTACTCTATTTTTTCTTCATGGAGCAATCCCAGACTCCCAGGCCTGTCTGCCCATGTCCCACACTGAAGCCCCTGCACCTACAACAGTGCCCAGTGGGGTCAGCTGGGGGAGCCTCCCACCCACAGGCCGCTCGCCCCCAGGGCCCCTTCAAGACGCCCCCAGAGGGCCCGCAGGCTCCACGCCTCAACCAGCGCCAAGTCCTTTTCCAGCACTGGGCGCGCTGGGGCAAGTGGAACAAGTACCAGCCCCTGGACCACGTGCGCAGGTACTTCGGGGAGAAGGTGGCCCTCTACTTCGCCTGGCTCGGTGAGTCCCCCCCGCTGCCCCCCAGACCACCTGGGCCCCCCCAGCTTGGTGTCAGGTTGTAACAATTTGCCAGTCCGTACCCCTGGAGGGCAGCGTGCGTGGGGGCCTGGACGGTGGGCGCAGCTCTTGGCTCGACCGGGCTGCCCTCCTGGCTCCCCTCAAGCCCACTCACTCTAACTGGGCGCCATGACGATGCCGGGCCCTGGCCTCCTAATGCTCCAGTAACAGTGCTGAGAGCCGCTTCTGCTGGTGGGGGTCTCTCCTGACTCCCTCCCCGAATGTCACTGGCCCATGAGGCCCTGGGGCAACCCCAGGAACTTCCATCCTAGGGAGGTCGCCCCTGCCTGGGTCCAGGCCAAGCCTCTCATCTCCTCCAAGCAGGCCATCTGCCCCAGGCAACCCCAGAGCTGTTCCTCCTGGGTCCTGGCTGCCCTCACCCCACTCAGCTCTTGGCACCCTCCCTTCCCCATCCTGGGTCAGACCCAACCCCTTCATTCTGTGCCCCAGAACTTCCAAAGCCCTTTCTCATCCGCACACACAGCCCCACCGTGGACCCAGACAATAGAGCCAGCCAGGGCAGCGGGCGGGGCCGGCAGGCATGGAAGGGCAGCCGGGGCACAGCATCGGGGCAGAGGGACAGCTCCTGTGTGCCAGGACTCACCCGGCCATCTCAGGACCTGGAGCAGCAACCCTGGGACAGCACGGCCAGGCTGGGGGCTTCTGGGGGCAAGCAGGGCCAGGGCTGGATCTGGGCTCCAGGCAGACTTGCGTTTCACAGCAGTCACTTTGGCCAGCAGAGAGTCAGGCAGGAGACAGGACACCAGGCCTGGGACTGGACTAGCCCTATGGGAGGCAGTGGGGGTACATGCTGAGGGCCTGGGGTAACTGAGGGATTGCGGCTGTGGTCAGATGAGGCAGGGGCCAGGGTGGGGGTTGGGTGGTGGGGAGGGAGGTACCCGGAATGACTCGTGGTTTCCCTGGGGCTGGAACACGGGTGGGCCCACAGCTCTGTGGTGGGCAGGATGTAGAGGGACTTCTCTGTCCGTCCCGGGCAGGTTGGTTGGAGTGAGCTGGCTGAGGAGAAGGCATCCAGAGGTGGAGAGCCTGGTGGGCTGGAGCCCCAGCAGCACTGGTGTTGGGGTCAATGTGGTAGGGGTGTCCAGAGTCTAGGGCAGAGGCCCAGGAGGGTGGGCCGTGCCAGAGCTGCCAGGGAGAGCTGTGTACCTCTTGGCCTCCTCACATAGGGCCCCAGCCCCCAAGCTGGGCTGAGGGTGGTCCCTAGGGGACAAGCATGGCTGTGCAGACCCCTACCTGGGGCCCCCAAGCCTGGGTTCCTGATGGTGGACCCCTGCCATCCTCTCTACAGGGTTTTACACAGGCTGGCTCCTGCCAGCGGCAGTGGTGGGCACACTGGTGTTCCTGGTGGGCTGCTTCCTGGTGTTCTCAGACATACCCACGTGAGTGTTCCCTCTCCGCAGCTCTGGGGCCTGGTGCTGGGCCTCCAGATGGGTGTGGGGCGGGGGGACCCCTAGGTGCTAGGTCCTGTGCAGACAGCTGGTGCTTGAGGTGATTGAGGTGTGAGGTGAGCACATGCCTGTCTTCAGGAGTGTCACAGAGGGCCTTGTGGACATGGCTGAAAGGCTGGCAGGTGGACAGGAGTGCTCCCAGGCTGACAGGTGGACAGGAGTGCTCCCAGGCTGACAGGTGGACAGGAGTGCTCCCAAACTGACAGGTGGTCAGGAGCACTCCCAGACTGACAGGCAGACGGGGCGCTCCCAGGCTGACAGGTAGTCAGGAGTGCTCCCAGGCTGGCACCGGTGGATAGGAGTGCTCCCAGGCTGACAGGTGGTCAGGAGTGCTCCCAGGCTGATAGGTGGACAGGAGTGCTCCCAGGCTGACAGGTAGCTAGGACTGCTCTCAGGCTGAAACAGGTAGACAGGTGTGCTCTCAGGCTGACACAGGTGGATAAGAGTGCTCCAAGGCTGACACAGGTGGACAGGAGTGCTCCCAGTCTGACAGGTGGACAGGAGTGCTCCAAGGCTGACACAGGTGGACAGGAGTGCTCCCAGTCTGACAGGTGGACAGGAGTGCTCCCAGGCTGACACAGGTGGACAGGAGTGCTCCCAGCCTGACACAGGTGGGCAGGAGTGCTCCCAGCCTGACACAGGTGGACAGGAGTGCTCCAAGGCTGACACAGGTGGACAGGAGTGTTCCCAGTCTGACAAGTGGACAGGAGTGCTCCCAGGCTGACAGGTGGACAGGAGTGCTCCCAGTCTGACAGGTGGACAGGAGTGCTCCCAGTCTGACAGGTGGACAGGAGTGCTCCCAGGCTGACAGGTGGGCAGGAGTGCTCCCAGCCTGACACAGGTGGGCAGGAGTGCTACCAGGCTGACACAGGTGGACAGGAGTGCTCCCAGGCTGACATAGGTGGACAGGAGTGCTCCCAGCCTGACAGGTGGACAGGAGTGCTCCCAGGCTGACACAGGTGGACAGGAGTGCTCCCAGCCTGACACAGGTGGGCAGGAGTGCTCCCAGCCTGACACAGGTGGACAGGAGTGCTCCAAGGCTGACAGGTGGACAGGAGTGCTCCCAGGTTGACACAAGTGGACAGGAGTGCTCCCAGTCTGACAGGTGGACAGGAGTGCTCCCAGGCTGACAGCTGGGCAGGAATGCTCCCAGCCTGACACAGGTGGGCAGGAGTGCTCCCAGGCTGACACAGGTGGACAGGAGTGCTCCCAGGCTGACAGGTGGACAGGAGTGCTCCCAGGCTGACACAGGTAGACAGGAGTGCTCCCAGTCTGACAGGTGGACAGGAGTGCTCCCAGGCTGACAGGTGGACAGGAGTGCTCCCAGGCTGACACAGGTGGTCAGGAGTGCTCCCAGTCTGACAGGTGGACAGGAGTGCTCCCAGGCTGACACAGGTGGACAGGAGTGCTCCCAGCCTGACACAGGTGGGCAGGAGTGCTCCCAGCCTGACACAGGTGGACAGGAGTGCTCCAAGGCTGACACAGGTGGACAGGAGTGTTCCCAGTCTGACAAGTGGACAGGAGTGCTCCCAGGCTGACAGGTGGACAGGAGTGCTCCCAGTCTGACAGGTGGACAGGAGTGCTCCCAGGCTGACAGGTGGACAGGAGTGCTCCCAGGCTGACAGGTGGGCAGGAGTGCTCCCAGCCAGACACAGGTGGGCAGGAGTGCTACCAGGCTGACACAGGTGGACAGGAGTGCTCCCAGGCTGACATAGGTGGACAGGAGTGCTCCCAGCCTGACAGGTGGACAGGAGTGCTCCCAGGCTGACACAGGTGGACAGGAGTGCTCCCAGCCTGACACAGGTGGGCAGGAGTGCTCCCAGCCTGACACAGGTGGACAGGAGTGCTCCAAGGCTGACAGGTGGACAGGAGTGCTCCCAGGTTGACACAAGTGGACAGGAGTGCTCCCAGTCTGACAGGTGGACAGGAGTGCTCCCAGGCTGACAGGTGGGCAGGAATGCTCCCAGCCTGACACAGGTGGGCAGGAGTGCTCCCAGGCTGACACAGGTGGACAGGAGTGCTCCCAGGCTGACAGGTGGACAGGAGTGCTCCCAGGCTGACACAGGTAGACAGGAGTGCTCCCAGTCTGACAGGTGGACAGGAGTGCTCCCAGGCTGACAGGTGGACAGGAGTGCTCCCAGGCTGACACAGGTGGTCAGGAGTGCTCCCAGTCTGACAGGTGGACAGGAGTGCTCCCAGGCTGACACAGGTGGACAGGAGTGTTCCAAGGCTGACAGATGGGCAGGAGTGCTCCCATGCTAATTTTATTGGCACTCTTGTTTATTATAATAATGTAAGCTTTCTTATAATATTAATAAATGGGCTTGTGTTTTAGTTTATCATGGAACTGAAATTCAGAAACTTAACTCAGACATTGTCATGGCATATATTTTAAAACAACTATTTTTTTTAAGAAATGCTGGGCCTGGCAAAGGCAGTGGTGGACAGAGAGGACAAGGGAGAGAGAGGACAAGGGAGGCGCCTGGCTGGGAGGAGCAAGCAGCCCCCCTCCCCCATTAGCTCCCACCCCTCCGCTCCATGCCTTGCAGGCAGGAACTGTGTGGCAGCAAGGACAGCTTCGAGATGTGCCCACTTTGCCTCGACTGCCCTTTCTGGCTGCTCTCCAGCGCCTGTGCCCTGGCCCAGGTACGAGAAGAGGTGGGTGGGGTAAGGGATTTGAGAGTCGGGGATGAGGAGGGCAGCTCCCCTTGTCCTGGTCCTGACTCTGCCTGCACCAGCCCCTGTCCTGCTTGTCACCAGCTAAAGGCAGAACGCTCCATGAGCTCCTTAACCTTTGTTCTCTTGCCTGGAACTGGGGTTACACCCGGCACACACCTCCCAGCACTTGGCAGAGTGGCCCATGTTAGTGCTTCCCACTTGAGGACACCCCACACCAGGACTCTAGCTCTGGCACTCTGGGGGCACCTGGCCCTTGGCTCCAAGGCGGACAAACCCTGGAGACCCCAGGGCACAGGCAAAACCAAAGGTTTTGAGCAGAATTCCCAACTTACAAGACCTGGGCGGGAGGCTCCTGCAGTCTCTGAGCCCCACTGTCCCCCCTCCCGCCTGGCATGCTTCCTGGGTCTGTCCACCTTCCCAGGGGCCTCAGGGCCTCGCTTGTACCCCACATGCACTGGACCCAGAGCCCTTGGCACTACTGGTGGGCCAGACGCCGTTTGACCTCACTTCTGGGAATCCACTTGGATGTTTCCTAGGACCACAAATGGGGACTTAAAACAGCAGAAGCTTATTCTCACAGGCCCGGGGCCAGAGTCCAGAATCAAGCTGTTGGCAGGCTTGGCCACTTCTGGGGACTCAGCCCCAGGCCTCTCTCCTGGTTTCTGGTGCTGCTGGCAGTCCTTGGTCCTCCCTGGCTTGTGGCCGCCTCATTCCAATCTCTGCTTCCATCTCCACCTGGCCTTCCCTTCTGTGTCTGCGTGCTGGTTCCTCTTCTCCCCTCTTGTAAGGGTTTGTCCAGAGTACTCTCATCTGGAGATCCTTACCTTACATCTACAAAGGCCCTTATTCAAATAAGATTACATTCTGAGGTTCCCAACGAACATATCTTTTGGGGGCCAGAATTCAACTCACTACAGGTCATCCTCTGGTTCCAAAACTTCATGTCCATCCCACGTGCAAAATACACTCACCTCATCCCAGCATCCTCCAAAGTCTCAACCTCTTACAGCATTAACTCTAGGTCCAAAACCTCATGAAAATATCAGCTCAGAAAGTCCCAAATCGCATCCTCAAAGTCAGGTGTGGGTGAGACCTGGGTGTGAGCCGTCCTGAGGCAAAATTCCTCTCCCTCTGTGGGTCTGTGCTTCCAAAACACAGTCAGGGGGCTGGGCACGGTGGCTCACGCCTGTAATCCCAGCACTTTGGGAGGCCAAGGCGGGTGGATCACAAGGTCAGAAGATCGAGACCATCCTGGCTAACACGGTGAAACCTCGTCTCTACTAAAAATACAAAAATTTAGCCGGGCGTGGTGGCGGGCGCCTGTAGTCCCAGCTACTTGGGAGGCTGAGGCAGGAGAATGGCGTGAACCCGGGAGGCGAAGCGTGCAGTGAGCCGAGATCGCGCCACTGCACTCCAGCCTGGGTGACAGAGCCAGACTCCGTCTCAAGCAAACAAACAAAAAATACACAGTCGGGGGATGTGTGTGGGATGCACACTCCCATTCCAGGAGGAAGGAACACTGGAAGGAACAAGGGGCCTCCAGTCCCAAGCAAGTCTGGACGCCCCCGCTCCCTGCCACAGGCCGGCCGGCTGTTCGACCACGGCGGCACCGTGTTCTTCAGCTTGTTCATGGCACTGTGGGCCGTGCTGCTGCTGGAGTACTGGAAGCGGAAGAGCGCCACGCTGGCCTACCGCTGGGACTGCTCTGACTACGAGGACACTGAGGTGAGCCACCCCCGCTGGACCACGGTCACACCCGGCGAGGGCCGCCACTGAGCACCGGCTCCCTTCCAGGAGAGGCCTCGGCCCCAGTTTGCCGCCTCAGCCCCCATGACAGCCCCGAACCCCATCACGGGTGAGGACGAGCCCTACTTCCCTGAGAGGAGCCGCGCGCGCCGCATGCTGGCCGGCTCTGTGGTGATCGTGGTGATGGTATGCGGTCCCCCTGCCCTCCGCTCACGCCTCCATCCTCCTGCACCATGTGGGGTGGTTTTGTCCCCCATCTCACCTTGGTGCCGTGGCCAGATGCCTCCTCTGGGCACAGAACCCTCACTCCCCGCAGAGAGGCCCCCATGTGCCCGGGCTCGGCCGTGGGGTCCCGGCTGAGAGCAGGTGTGAGTCATACGGAGGGCCTGGGAGGGTCTCCCCGTGGGTGCGGGCATGGGGCATTTTTCAAGCAAGGGGGTTGGTTTCAAGGAAAAGAGAGGCGGGCACCCCAGCAGGGCCATTCACTGCACCCTGTCTTGCCTTCCAGCCAAAGGGGCTTCCTAATAGGACCTCTCACTCCCCTGCCAAGATGTCAGGAATCCCCAATTCCTGGGATGGGATGGCTCTCCAACACTCACAGTGGCTGCCTTGACACCCAGATGTGGCCCAGCCTCTAACTCTAACCCCACCCCACCTCTGCCTGAGCAACTCATCAGGAAGGACATAGCCTGGGAGCACAGCCGGGGCTGGAGGCAGGGGCCTTCCTAGAGGTGGCAGTGCTGGGGCCAGCAGTGGACTAGAAGAGCTGTCGGGGGCCATGGCCTGAGGGTGCTGGGGTGCCCAAGACACCGTGAAGGGTCTCACGGGCCTCCCTGCCCCCGCAGGTGGCCGTGGTGGTCATGTGCCTCGTGTCTATCATCCTGTACCGTGCCATCATGGCCATCGTGGTGTCCAGGTCGGGCAACACCCTTCTCGCAGCCTGGGTGAGCCTCTGCTGCCTGCCTCGGGGGGCCCTGAGCGGCCCCTCATCCGGCTCTGACGGCCTGTCTCCCGTTAGGCCTCTCGCATCGCCAGCCTCACGGGGTCTGTAGTGAACCTCGTCTTCATCCTCATCCTCTCCAAGATCTATGTATCCCTGGCCCACGTCCTGACACGATGGGGTGAGTGGGCTGAGGCCGGCCAGGCACTGACCAGGGGCCCACCCTGCCGGCCGCCAGCCAGAACGTGACTTTCTCACTCACTGACACACATGGCCCTCATTTCTATTTCTTTCTTCTTTTTTCTTTTGAGACAGGATCTCACTCTGTTGCCCAAGCTGGAGTGCACTGGCACGATCATGGCTCACTGTAGCCTTGACCTCCCAGGCTCAAGGGATCCTCCTGCCTCAGCCTCCTCAGTACCTGGACCACTGTGCCCAGCTGAAATTTTTTTTTTTTTTGATAGAGACAGGGGTCTCACTGTGTGGCTCAGGCTGGTCTCGAGCTCCTGGCCTCAAGGGATCCTCCTGCCTAGGCCTCTCAAAGTGCTGGGATTACAGGCATGAGCCACAGCACCTGGTTTTCTTTCTCTTATTTTTTGTTTTTGGCACCCCAGGTGGGACACAAACAATCCCTGGGTTAGGAAGCCAGTGCTCCCTATTTCTAAATGTGGTACAGATTGGAGTTGTCTGAGCCTCCCCAGAGGCCCCCTTAAAAGAGCAGTGAGCAGGGCCTTCCTGGAGATAAAAGACCCTGGGGGCACTCCAGCACCCAAAGAGTTCTCACCCCTCCACAGGGCCCCCCTCCAGGCTGCAAGGTCCCCCAGGTGGGAGATGTCCCTCTAGGATAGGGCCGCTGAGCCTCTGTTGGGTGGTGTGGGGTATCGGCTGCTGGGCTGGGCAGCCACCTCTCAGTTCTTCCCTCCCCCTTCCTCTCCCATCGGTCTTTTTCTCTGTCTCATTTCCTGAGGACAAACACTTACGACCAACCTATTCATTCCATAAGCTGCTGCCTCTCACTAGCCCTGCTCTAGCCCTGGGGGTGAATAGTCTTGAACAAAAGCTGGCAGCCCCACCCTGGAGCCCAGGTTCTAGGAGAGGGGACAGAACTGGCTGCCTGCACAGCTACAGAGAATGGGAGAGGGCTTAAGTGCTGAGGAGGAAGTGCCTCCTGGTGGGTGGCCAGGGGAAGGTGGGTGTCAGGGAAAGACCTTTGCAGGTGGCAGGTGTCTCAGGGAGAGGTTCCTGGTTCTGGATGGCCAAGGGTAGGGCTCTGAGGGGAGCCACCCATTTGTTTCTGCAACTGTGGGGTTGCTGTGGGGTGTTGAGCCTCCCTCTTTCCCTCCTGTAACCTTCAGCCTTTGATGCTCCTGCCTCCGGCACCTGCACCGGAGCCCAGTCCGCTGCGCAGCCTTGGCACCGAGCCTCTATTCTGTTTCTCTGACCCATCCCCTGACCACTCACCCGTGTGCACCACATTCATTATTAGTGTTGGGATATAGGGTATTATCAATTTTCCCAACTCCTGTTAATCAACATGTTTTTGGGTGACTTCGGAAATGTCACACTTTGTCTCCTTCTTTTAAATATCTGGATGATATGGCCTTTTCCTCACCCGTGTGTGGCAAGGTGGTCCTAGGAGAGGGGGCCCCTAGTTGGATGCTGGTGACTCCCCCAGGGACTGAGCCCAGGCTCTCCATGCCACAGAAATGCACCGCACCCAGACCAAGTTCGAGGACGCCTTCACCCTCAAGGTGTTCATCTTCCAGTTCGTCAACTTCTACTCCTCACCCGTCTACATTGCCTTCTTCAAGGGCAGGTTGGTGGGCACCTCTCCCTCTGGCCACAGCTTGTCCCGGCTTAGTTCTGCTCATGTTTCCCGCTGCCTGGGTACCAGGCGTCATCCAGCCGTGCTCAGGCAGGTGGAGGACGGAACCGGAGACCCAGGCAGGGGACAGGGGCCCATGCCTCCTGGCACCTCTGAGCAAACAGGGGCTGCCCACCTCTTGGTCCCTACCCAGCTCGGGGGTCCACAGGAGGCCCAGCTCACAACCGGGACTCTACGCCACAGTTCGTGCTTCCTCCAGGGCAGGTGCAGCAGCTCTGCTGAGGCCTCCAGAGCCCAGGGAAGTGGGAGGAGACAGGAAGGATCCCATCAAGGCTCATGATCTTGACTTTCTCCTAGGTTTGTGGGATACCCAGGCAACTACCACACCTTGTTTGGAGTCCGCAATGAGGAGGTGAGTGTGCCTGAGGCCCGGGACTGGGGGATGAGCTGTGTGCTTCCTCTCACTTCCATTCTTCCATTCGAGCTTTGATTTGCAGCAATTCCTCCCACCACCGGCTATTTCCATCGCCCAGCCAGGGCCAGCTGTGCAGCTGACCACTCAGGGCTCCCAGCCTCTCTTCACCACTTATTCTGACCCCCGATATGCCCCATTCAGAACCACACCAAAACACTCCAGGCCGGGCACAGTGGCTCACGCCTGTAATCTCAGCACTTAGGGAGGCTGAGGGAGGAGGATCGCTTAAGCCCAAGAGTACGAGACCAGCTTGGACAACATAGTGAGTCCTCATCGCCACAAAAATTAATAAAAAAGCAAACCAAAAACCCTACCCCACCCCAGCTGTCCCAGCCCGTATTACTCTTTCCCCATTTTAACCCAATTCACACCTGAGAAAAGTGTGAGCCATTACGGTGGGCGCAGAGCCTCTGGCACACAGGCCCGCAGAGGCTGGCCTCCTCATGGCACACGGCCCGCAGGGGCTGGCCTCCTCATGGCACACAGGCCCGCAGGGGCTGGCCTCCTCATGGCACACGGCCCGCAGGGGCTGGCCTCCTCATGGCACACAGGGGTCGCAGGGGCTGGCCTCCTCACAGGCTTGGCGTGCTGCCGCCATGGCTGTCAGGGATCTCCCTGTGGCCAGCTGTCCTCTCCCCATCAGCACAGTGGGCTCTGCCTGTGACTGTATCTCTAAGAGCCTTAGCTACTCCGTATCTCTGAGAGCCAGGCGTGAACCTGGTTTTTCAGAAAGCAAATGGAAGTTCACCTGGTGGAGGATGAAGCGTTGTTGTCACGGGGGTCCCTGCAAAGCAGACCCCAAGACAGAGATTCTGGTGCAAGTAACTGACGTGTGCATCACCCCAGAAGTAGTCTCCACTGTGCCACAGCCCCTCCAAGACACCGTAGAGAAGCCCTCAAAACTGTTCCCGACGCACAGCCCCTCCTGGGTGAGGGCCAGGCATGTCCCAGCAGCTGGGGTCGCAGGCAGCAGGGTGGGTGCATCTGGAGCCATCCACAGGTGGCCTCTGGGCTGGGCTGGGACCTAAGTGGACCCCTGCTGAGTGACCCCTGGCCTGAAAGACCTCTTCTCCTTTTGGAAGAGGAGGAGGAGGAGAGAAACTTCGCATGGGGTCTGGGCCATGAGCCAGCCCAACTGCAAAGTGGCTGCCCCCAAAGGGGTGGTGTCCATTTCATGTGAGAGGGGAAAGGGAAGGCTGGGGATGGAGTGGGGAGTGTGGCTGCGGGTGCCACAACGGACCAGCCAGAGGGCTCTCAATTGTTAAGTGGGAAAAGTTCCCAACTCAAACTGGCTTAAACGAAAAAGGGAGTTTTCGGCCAGGCGTGGTGGCTCATGCCTGTAATCCCAGCACTTTGGGAGGCCAAGGCAGGTGGATCATGAGGTCAGGAGTTCGAGAATAGCCTGGCCAATATGGTGAAATCCCGTCTCTACTAAAAATGCAAAAATTGGCCAGGCGTGATGGCACGCACCTGTAGTCTCAGCTACTCGGGAGGCTGAGGCAGAAGAATTGCTTGAACCCAGGAGGTGGAGGCTGCAGGGAGTTTTCTTGGCTCCTGTACTGAAAACGCTCAGGGCTACGCGGGCTTAGGTATGAATGATCCAGGTGTTAAAAATGCTGCACTGCTATTCCCAGCATTGCCTGTGTTCTCAGAAAGATTATCCCCATCTGGAGGGAAGGTGCCCTGCAGTGCGGCCGACACTCTCGGACTTAGCACCCCTTGCAAGGCACGTGTTCCCAGGAACTCCACCTCCCACTGGCTCGAACTGGGTCACCGATTGGTGGGGCCTGCCTCGTGGGTCTGTCTTGAAGCCAGAGGCTACAGTCAGCCCCATGTAACCCCTTGTGGGTCTCCAAAGGAAAACTGGGGTGCCATTAGGTACATATAGCAGTGCCCCCTGCAGCTTTCCAATGCAGTCTTCCAGCTGGACCTGGGGGCTCCTGTGAGGTCGGGAGGGAGTGTTATGGTGGGAGCATCTCTGCAACCCTCCAGGTGCCCAAGGCATGTCAGGAGGGAGGTGGGGGCCGGGATGAGGGCCAGCTTTGAGACAAGAAGGGATGCGTGGGTGAGTGGCTGGTCCCCCTCTCCCAGCTAACCTGAGCCCTGCTGCCGTAGTGCGCGGCTGGAGGCTGCCTGATCGAGCTGGCACAGGAGCTCCTGGTCATCATGGTGGGCAAGCAGGTCATCAACAACATGCAGGAGGTCCTCATCCCGTGAGTCCCCCACTCCTCCCTGGGTGGCATCCAAGGACCGAGGGACCCCAGAGCACCTGGCAGTAGCAGCCTCCAGCCCGGCCCTAGCTGGGAGAAGAGGTGAAGGGAAGGCACCTTGCCTGGGGAGGGGGAGGGGGAGTGTGCCCGGCCGTCTGCCCCGGGCTCTGGGCTGCCCGCCCTGCAGCTGCCCTGTGGCTGGCTGAGGTCTTCTGGGTTGTAGTTGTGGGAGACGCTACCCCTGGGACCAGCTTTGGCTGGGGAGGGGGTCTGGGCTCCTGGACCCAAGGCTGGGGTGATGGCTCTGTCCGTTCAGAGATGCTGCGGCTGGGCCAGAGTATTCCTTGGCATCCCCAGGCCCCAACGCAGCACAAGAGGGAGGAGGAAAAGGAGGTCCCAGGGTTGATCCTCAGACACACGTCTGCCTCAGATGCCCCTGCCAGGGACACCCTGACCACAAGGCTCCCATAGCCAGAGTCCTTCAAAGAGGCTGCCCAGGGCCTCGCCTCCCGCTCAAGGCCAGACTGACCTGAACGCCCTCCCAGCGCCCCCTGAACACCTGATCTGCCCCCAGAAGGCAGCTCCCAAATCAGCACTGACATTTCTGGGCCACCAGGAATAGCAGTTGGGAGATGGTGGCCATGCCACATCCCGAGAGATGGCCCTGCCTCTTGGAACTATTGGTGCTGTGAAACCACAAGACCATAAGGTGCAGGGTGGAGCTCTGTGCCTGGCAGGAGCAGGGCACGGATGAGTGACAGTGTGATAAGGCAACATGCACACATGCCCCTGTGTAGGACGAACCCAACACGTGGGCCTCCACATCTGCTTTCCCTGGGACACCACAGTCGTCCTCGTCCACTCCCTCCCAACCTTGGCAGAGCTCTTGGCACTGCTTTGCAATTCCGGGAGGAGCCCATTACCCCTAAAGCCTTAAGGAACAATGCGGGGGGCTGGGCGGGTGGACTGCCCTCCCACATCTGACCAACAGACACAGACGCTTTCACTGAGTCCGATCTGCAAAGCTGTTGGCTCTCACTGCGTCCACCCCTCAGCCCCAGACCCCATCCCTCCCTGCTGCCCTTCAATTGCAAAGCAACAGGCTTGTCCCGGCCACATCTCCCCCAAGGACTATAGCAGCCACTGAGACCCATGTTGGATCAAAGGCCATTTTCCTGTATTCCCGTCCCCAGGAAGCTAAAGGGCTGGTGGCAGAAGTTCCGGCTTCGCTCCAAGAAGAGGAAGGCGGGAGCTTCTGCAGGGGCTAGCCAGGGGCCCTGGGAGGACGACTATGAGCTTGTGCCCTGTGAGGGTCTGTTTGACGAGTACCTGGAAATGGGTAGGAGCCCGTTAGCAGCTGCGGCAATGGCTGGCGCCGTGGGCAGGGATGGGTGGCCACTCTGCTCAAGGGCCTCCCAGCCTGACATTCCTGTGTCTGCATCTGCCCTGAAATGTGCTGTGGGGGTGGGGTGGGAACAGAGGGTCGGGCCTGTGGAGAATCCAGAAAGGAATTCTTTTCCCCTGAGAGTGCCCAAGAGGGTTGGCTGAGGACAGAGGGGCACCGGCACGGGGAGGAGGCCCCCGCGGCCGTTGCAGAGCTCCCCTGGGGTCCCTGGACCTAGAAAGCATGGGCCAGAGCAAGGGAAGAATTAGGAGAGCAGGCCCTGGGGGCTGACAGAAGTCCTCCAAGGGTGAAGCCACAGTGGGAGGCAGCGGCCTGGAGAGCCAATGTTCCCAGAAATCTCAATGCCCACGCTATTTGCAGACCTACCACTGTCACCTTACCAGGTGGTGGCCAGTGCCAGGGGCTCACTGCCTGCACGGGTGGTGCACTCTGGAGGGTGGGTCTGTATCACCTGTGCCGTCCCTGCAGTGCAGGGTCTGACTCTGAGCTGACAAAAGGGAGAAGGAATCATCAGGCAGTTTGTTTGTTTGTTTTTGTTTTGTTTTTTGAGACGGAGTCTCCCTCTGTCGCCCAGGCTGGAGTGCAGTGGCGCCATCTCGGCTCACTCCAACCTCCACCTCCCAGGTTCAAGCAATTCTCCTGCCTCAGCCTCCCGAGTAGCTGGGATTACAGGCGCCCACCACCACGCCCGGCTAATTTTGTATTTTTAGTAGAGGCGGAGTTTCACCGTGTTGGCCAGGCTGGTCTCGAACTCCTGACCTCAGGTGATCCACCTGCCTCAGCCTCCCAAAGTGCTGGGGATTACAGGCGTGAGAAACTGTGCCCGGCAGGCAGCTCTTAACCTAGCAAGCGGGCATGTGAGCCGGCAGGCCCCGGAGCTCCCCAGCGTAGCCGCGGCATCTGTGGAAAGGGAGCAGGCCAGTTCCCAGGGCGAGGAGTGGACGCCCTGACCCTCCTCCACTGAACCCTGGACCCCAATGATCTCACTAGTAATTCTCGGCGAAGACCCAGAAGCCCCTTCCAAAGAGCCCTCTCCTAACAGCTCCCCTGTGGGGTGACTGGAGAAGCTGGTTGTAAAATCAGGAGCAGGTTTCTGCCCCAACGCCTGCCCTGAGTTAGTTCCTGAGCTCACCGAGCCGGAGAAGGCCCGTGACCAGCCAGAAGCACGGAGCGCAGGGCAGGACAGCCGGCCTGAGGCCGGTCAGGAGAGGCGGCCCTGGCGCTGCGCGGTCCAGGACGAGGGAGACCAGGAGGTGGGGGCGGAATGAGCCGCGATGGGGTGGCGGCACCACGTGGACTGGCCGGTCCTCCGCGGGGGGCGCGTTCCGAGGGCTGAGGGCGGACGGTGGCGGAGAGCCCGGCCGTGACCCCCTCCCCGCAGTGCTGCAGTTCGGCTTCGTCACCATCTTCGTGGCCGCCTGTCCGCTCGCGCCGCTCTTCGCCCTGCTCAACAACTGGGTGGAGATCCGCTTGGACGCGCGCAAGTTCGTCTGCGAGTACCGGCGCCCGGTGGCCGAGCGCGCCCAGGACATCGGCATCTGGTTCCACATCCTGGCGGGCCTCACGCACCTGGCGGTCATCAGCAACGTGAGGCCCGGGCGGGAGCGCGGGGCGGGGCGGGGGCGCGCAGGGGCGGGGGCGGGGGGGGCAGCGGGGGCGCGCAGGGGCGGGCCGGGGGCAGCGGGGGCGCGCAGGGGCGGGGCTGGGGGCATCGGGGGCTCGTAGGGGCGGGGCGGGGGGGCGGCGGGGGCGGGCAGGGGCGGGGGGCAGCGGGGGCGCGCAGGGGCGGGGCGGGGGGGGCAGCGGGGGCGCGCAGGGGCGGAGCGGGGGCGCGCAGGGGCGGGGCGGGGGGGCAGCGGGGGCGCGCAGGGGCGGAGCGGGGGCGCGCAGGGGCGGAGCGGGGGCCGCCTCGCGCTGACCCCTCCGGCGCCCAGGCCTTCCTCCTGGCCTTCTCGTCCGACTTCCTGCCGCGCGCCTACTACCGGTGGACCCGCGCCCACGACCTGCGCGGCTTCCTCAACTTCACGCTGGCGCGAGCCCCGTCCTCCTTCGCCGCCGCGCACAACCGCACGTGCAGGTGAGCCCCGCGCCAGGTGGAGGGGGCCGCGGGCGCACGAGGACGAGGCGGAGCGGGGCTCGGGTGGGGTGGGGGTGCGGCGGTGGGGAGCCGGGAGGGGCGGGCGCCGCCGGGCAAGGCCGGGGGAGGGGGGGAGCTGGGGGCGCCGTGGGCAGGGGCTGGGGGGAGGTTCCCCGCGGTAAGGGACGGAGCTTTGCGGGGCTGGAGGGCAAATCGTGGATTCTAGGTGAATTGCTAGTTGGTCATAGTGTAGCAGGACGAGTCGCAGACAGAACTCCTCAGACACCGGATTAAAGAAGGAAGAGGTTTTTTTATTCGGCCGGGGGCGTCGGCAGACTCGTGTCTTCAGAGCGGAGCTCGCCGAAAAAGAAATTCTTAGCCCTTTGAAGGGCTTACAACTCTAAGGGTCTACGTGAAAGAGTCATAATAGATCAAGTAAGCGTGAGGAACGTGACTGTGGGCTACATACATCAGCTAACGGTACAAAAAGTTTTACGGTGCTTTCTCATACAGCGTCTGGAATTCACACATAACACCAGTAGTTTTGGTCAGGGGTTAATATTATTGTTATTTTAACCGCCAGGGCCAGGTGGTGGCGCCAAGGTCATCTAGCTATTTATCTTCTGTTTCTTTCCAGCTTTTTGCTTTCTTCCTTTTCTCCTGTCTTATAAACTAGGGAAAAGGGGAGGTTGGGGAGAAACTGGGAAGGACAACAGGAGAAGTGGTGGCCTCATACCATAATAGAACCTGCAGAGCAGGTAGATGTACTTCACCCGCAGTTGTGGAGACTTCCTTTGTGATCTGGTTACAATGAAGTTTTGCATGTGTTTCAATAAACTTGAAAAGCATCATAGTCTCCTAATGTTGGAGCAAATCTCAGCAGTAAAATTACGAAACCATAGGGTTATCAGTCTTTTCATATCGGTCTCTCTCAGGTTTTGCTTTTGCTCTATGTATTTTGAGCTTTTTAGTTGTGTACGAATTCATACTTGTGATCTCTTCATAATGGATACTTACTTTTTCCTTTTATTCTTTATCTTTTTTATTCCTCCTCTCCTGACTTCTGGTGGATGGGTAAAAGTGTTCTGGTTGTTTTTTTTATTATTATTCTTTTGCTTATTTGGAACCGATGGCATATATTTCTATTATTTTAGGGGTTACTCATATGTTTAGCATACATTCTTTTCTTTTTTCTTTTTTTTTAGAGACTGGGTCTTGCTCTGTATCCCATTCTAGAATGCACTGCCACAATTATAGCTCACTGCACCCTAGACTTCCTGGGCTCAAGCAATCCTCCCACCTCAGCTTCCCGAGAAGCCAGAACTACAGGCGTGTGCCACCAGGCCTGGCTTTTTTTTTTTTTTTTTTTCTTTAAAGAGATGGGGTCTTACTATGTTATGTTACTCAGGCTAGTCTCAAACTCCTGGCCTCAAGCAATGCCCTGGCCTCCCAAAGCACTGGGATTACAGGCACAAGCCACCACACCCGGCTAGCACACGTTCTAAACTATATATTATCCTAACAAAGCCTGAATGAACTCAGTTTTGTTTCCTCTCTCTGTGTATGACTAGGATCTTCACATGCCTTACCACCTAGTAAGCAGCAATCTCTCCATCTTATTATTGTTACATGGAGTTTTAGTTTTACTGTTAAAAACACACATGAAAAAACATTTTCAGTCATCTGTTCATCAAATTTATTTGTGTATTTTGTTAACTTCTGTGGTTACAGTAATTTCTTATGTATTGCCTTCTCCGAGTCTTTTTTTTCTTGCTGAAGTATATCCTTTAGTAATTCTTTCAGTAAAGGTATGTGGTTAGTGGGGTCTTCACATGCAGAAATGCATACACATATGTATGCATAGAAATATGTATCACGCATATGTATGATAATATTGCCATGCATTTTTGTCCTTCAAATAGCGGATATAAAAGTATAGGTCGAGTTATTTTCTCTCAGTTCTTTGGAAATATTATTCTTTTGTGACTTGGCTTTTCTGATTGGAAGCATTCATAGCATTTAAGAATTTTTCTGGCTGGGCATGGTACCTCATGCTTATAATCCCAGCACTTTGGGAGGCCGAGGCAGGTGGATCATTTGAGGTCAGGAGTTCGAGACCAGCCTGACCAACATGGTGAAACTCCATCCCTGTTAAAAATACAAAAAAAGGCTGCACACAGTGGCTCATGCCTATGTTCCCAGCACTTTGGGAGGCCAAGACCATCCTGGTTAACACCGTGAAACCCCATCTCTACTAAAAATACAAAAATTAGCTGGGCGTGGTGCTGGACGCCTGTAGTCCCAGCTACTCGGGAGGCTGAGGCGGGAGAATGGCGTGAATCCAGGAGGCAGAGCTTTCAGTGAGCCGAGATTGTGCCACTGCACTCCAGCCTGGGCAACAGAGCAAGGCTCCGTCTCAGAAAAACAAGAACAACAAACAAAACCTGGCTGTGGCAGTTCACGCCTGTAATCTCAGCTGCTCTGGAGGCTGGGGCAGGAGGATCATTTCAACTCGGGAGGCGGAGGTTGCAGTGAGCCGAGATGGCGCCACTGCACTCCAGCCTGGGCAACAGAATGAGACGCTGTCTCAGGAAAAAAAAAAGAAAAAAAGAAAAAAGCACTACCTTTACAGATGCCTGCTGGTGAAACAAATCAAAGAAAATGATATTTTTATTTTTTTATTTATTTTATTTTATTATTATTTTTTTGAGACGGAGTCTTGCTCTGTTGCCCAGGCTGGAGTGCAATGGCGCGATCTTGGCTCACTGCACGCAACCTCCGCCTCCCGGGTTCAAGCGATTCTCCTGCCTCAGCCTCACAAGTAGCTGGGATTACAGGCGCCCACCACCATGCCCAGCTAATTTTTGTATATTTAGTAGAGATGAGGTTTCACCATGTGGGCAAAGCTGGTCTTGAACTCCTGACCTCAGGTGATCCGCCTGCCTCGGCCTCCCAAAGTGCTGGGATTACAGGCCTGAGCCACCTTTCACGCCCGTCCTATTCTCTTTTTTCTTTGGGACAGAGTCTTGCTCTGTCACCCAGGCTGGAGTACAGTGGTGTGATCTGGGCTCACTGCAACCCCCGCCTCCTGGGTTCTTGTGCATCAGCCTGCCAAGTAGCTGGGATTACAGGCGTGCGCTACCACACCCAGATGATTTTTTTTTTTTTGTATTTTTAGTAGAGACAAAGGTTTCACCATGTTGGCCAGGCTGGTCTCAAACTCCGAACCTCAGGTATCTGCCCACTTCAGCCTCCCAAAGTGTTGAGCCACTGCACTTGGCCTAGGGAAGGGATTATTTCTTTTTTTTCTTTTGAGATGGAGTTTTCCTCTTGTCGCCAAGGCTGGAGTGCAGTGGCATGATTTTGGCTCACTGCAACCTCCACCTCCCAGGTTCAAGCGATTCTCCTGCCTCAGCCTCCTGAGTAGCTGGGATTACAGGTGCCTGCCACCATGCCCAGCTACTCTTTTATATTTTTAGTAGAGACGGAGGTTTCACCATGTTGGCCAGGCTAGTTTCGAACTCCTGACCTCAAGTGATCCACCTGTCTCAGCCTTCTAAAGCACTGGGATGGCCGGGCGCGGGGGCTCATGCCTGTATTCCCAGCACTGTGGGAGGCCGAGGCCGGTGGATCACAAAGTCAGAAGATTGAGACCATCCTGGCTAACACGGTGAAACCCCGTCTTGACTAAAAATACAAAAAATTAGCTGGGCATTGTGGCACGGGCCTGTAGTCCCAGCTACTCAGGAGGCTGAGGCAGGAGAATCGCTTGAACCCAGGAGGCGGAGGTTGCAGTAAGCGAAGATCACGCCACTGCACTCCAGCCTGGGCAACAGAGCGAGACTCTGTCTCATAAATAAATAAATAAATAAATAAATAAATAAATAAATAAAGTGCTGGGATTACAGGCATGAGCCACCGCGCCCGGCTGAAAGAGTTACGTCTTTGTTTAGTTCTGGAAATGTCTCCATCTTACTCCTTCCAGCAGTGCTTCTCTGCTTGTCCATTGTCGTCTGGAACTCCCACTGGGCTGTGGCCTGCTTCCCCCCAAGTGTGCTCTCTGTGTTGCCGCAGGGTGGTCTCGTCGTCACTGTCTCCCAGTCCCCAGTCTCTCTTCTGCTGTGTCTGGCCACTTAAAAGTTTATTCCATTCATTTGAGGGATTTTTTTTCCAATGGCTATATTTTTAACTTGCAATATTTGGTTTTTTGTTTTTTTTATTTTCCTACAAAGTTGACCCTGGTAATAGTTTTCATGGAGTGCAACATGTAACTTTATATTAGAAAATGGAATGTCACATCTTTACCATGGGACAGAGACACAGGAAGATGTCAAAGTCTGAAATAGCAAGTGAAGCTGAATGTAGCTTATGATAGGGAGGGAGGGCTCTGCTGGACAGGGACAGTCTCTGAGCAGGTGAACTGCTGATCTCACAGAGGTCAGCAATCGGCGGATTTTCACCGTGTAAGTAGACTGAAGTCATCCGTAGAAGCACAGACGTACTGGACTGTCACATCTACTAGAAAATAAAGCATCTGCCACCTGGGGGGTGGGGAGGGTCCAGTTTAGCCCAATGGGGGACAACCCAGCACATCCACCTTTGGAACCCACCAGTTAAAGGTATTGTCAGAGTATCCTGTTTGGGAAGAATTCCCATTTCAGGCACCCTCGATGAAGAGCCAGGCCAGGAACATGGGATGAGAGAGCGAAATGGTGGAAAAAGGGGAGATAGGCTAATTCCAGAGGCACCTGCCCAGCCAACACTCAGCCCTGGCTGCGCGCACTGAGTCCTGTGTCTGCTGCAGGTATCGGGCTTTCCGGGATGACGATGGACATTATTCCCAGACCTACTGGAATCTTCTTGCCATCCGCCTGGCCTTCGTCATTGTGTTTGAGGTAGCCGAGGCACCTGCTGGTTCTCCCATCCATGGCATGAGGCCCCGACCCTGTGCTTTGCCTAATTCGAGCACGTGGTGAGGGGTCGGTGCCGTCACTTCCTGCTGTGTCATCTTGGTCAAATCAGAGCTCTTCTCTGCACCTGCGTTTTCCCTGCCTGGCCTCATCCCTGGGTTGTGGTGTGGACATTGTGGGTGTCTCCACAGGAGCCCCAGGGCCACGAAAGCTGGGGTGGCCTCTGCCCCTTCTGGGGTTCCTTTTCCTGCACAGCTGCTTTCTGACTCCACCCACAGCTGGGAGCAGGTGCCGGAGCCCCGGCCTGCCTGGCCCTGTGAAGGCCACTCTGGGCGTTTGGGTGGGCGTGAGTGCCTTCCTCTGCTCCCAGCATGTGGTTTTCTCCGTTGGCCGCCTCCTGGACCTCCTGGTGCCTGACATCCCAGAGTCTGTGGAGATCAAAGTGAAGCGGGAGTACTACCTGGCTAAGCAGGCACTGGCTGAGAATGAGGTGAACTGTACAGCCCAGTCTCGGCCCTCCCCCCAGCCCTCTCCCTATCCTTGTCAGTGGCTGCTCTACCTCCGGACACTGAGTCACATCCCTCTTCCTCTTGCTGCCCTTTTTTGGGGACAGGTTCTTTTTGGAACGAACGGAACAAAGGATGAGCAGCCCGAGGGCTCAGAGGCAAGTCTGGGAGCAGCCAGGCCCCTGCCCCGTGCACTCCCTGAGGTCACAGGGCCCTGCCCAGCCGCCCACTGTGCCTCGTGGCCATGGCCTGCTCCTGGCCCTAGTCTGACTTGTCCCTGCCCCCAACCCTCTCCCCAGCTCAGCTCCCACTGGACACCCTTCACGGTTCCCAAGGCCAGCCAGCTGCAGCAGTGACGCCTGGAAGGACATCTGGTGGTCCTTAGGGGAGTGGCCCCTCCTGAGCCCTGCGAGCAGCGTCCTTTTCCTCTTCCCTCAGGCAGCGGCTGTGTGAACCGCTGGCTGCTGTTGTGCCTCATCTCTGGGCACATTGCCTGCTTCCCCCCAGCGCCGGCTTCTCTCCTCAGAGCGCCTGTCACTCCATCCCCGGCAGGGAGGGACCGTCAGCTCACAAGGCCCTCTTTGTTTCCTGCTCCCAGACATAAGCCCAAGGGGCCCCTGCACCCAAGGGACCCTGTCCCTCGGTGGCCTCCCCAGGCCCCTGGACACGACAGTTCTCCTCAGGCAGGTGGGCTTTGTGGTCCTCGCCGCCCCTGGCCACATCGCCCTCTCCTCTTACACCTGGTGACCTTCGAATGTTTCAGAGCGCAGGGCCGTTCTCCCTCGTGTCCTCTGGACCCACCCGCCCCTTCCTGCCCTGTTTGCGCAGGGACATCACCCACATGCCCCAGCTCTCGGACCCTGCAGCTCTGTGTCCCAGGCCACAGCAAAGGTCTGTTGAACCCCTCCCTCCATTCCCAGTTATCTGGGTCCTCTGGATTCTTCTGTTTCTTGAATCAGGCTCTGCTTTCCCCCTAGCCACTACAGGCAGCCTCTGACAGTGCCGCTTTACTTGCATTCTGCAGCAATTACATGTGTCCTTTTGATCCTTGCCCAACTTCCCTCCCTCTCCCAGCTCCTGGCCCCTGGCCCAGGGCCCCTCTTGCTGTTTTTACCTCTGTTCCTTGGGGCCTAGTACCCAGCAAGCACCCAAATGGGGGAGGTTTTGGGATGAGAGGAGGAAACGTGTATACCTGTAACATCTGGTGGCTCTTCCCCCAGAAGTTTGTGTTCATACATAATTGTTTTCCACGCTGGATCATAATGTGACGTGCAGTTCTGCCCTGTGCTGGGGAGCCACATGAAGCTTCCCCTGGCTAACTTGCTACCCCGCAGCAATCCCAGTGTGGCCGTCTGCTTGCTAAAAAATGGATCTGTGCTCATCTGTATTGATGTCCTTGGAGTTCTACAAGTGGAACTTAAGTGTCAAAAAGAATATGTGGTTTTTAGCTGAGCGTGGTGGCTCACACCTGTAATCCCAGGACTTTGGGAGGCTGAGGCAGGAGGATTACAAGGTCAGGAGTTCGGGACTAGCCTGTCCAACATGGTGAAACCCTGTCTTTACTAAAAATGCAAAAATTATTCTGGGTGTGGTGGCGGGCATCTGTAATCCCAGCTATTTGGGAGGCTGAGGCAGGAGAATCGTTTGAACCCGGGAGGCGGAGGTTGTAGTGAGCTGAGATCTCAACACTGCACTACAGCCTGGGCGACAGAGCAAGACTCCGTCTCGGGAACACACACACACAAAAAGAATATGTGGTTTTAATGTGCTTTGATGAGTACTGCCAAACTTACTCCACAGAAAAGGCCTCTTTCTGAACATCCTCGCCTGCGTTCTATTTCACCCACCGTGATGCCTGGCCTGAGGGCGGCGTGCTTGCTTGTAGCATTTCTTGAGGATTTGCTACTTGTTCACCTGCCTCTTAGGAGCACTGTGCCCTGCCTCCATGGAAGGGCTCTTCCGGCAGGGATGCAGGCTCACAGCGCCCTGGGGCTGGACACCACCGGCCGGAGCATGGCGGACAGCACACACGGCCCGGGGCGGGAACCTTGGAAACTTTACACAGATGGGGAGCTCAGCCATTCCACGTGTGCTTTCGCTCAGCACAATGCTTACTACAAACCCACGTGTACTTCCTTCCAGCTGGTTGCTTTTTATTGTTGCTGTCTTAAACTCCAAAGTTTTAAGGTGAATTTATTGAAACGTACGAAAATGCTCAGTTCATACAGGCTTCCAGGTGAACAAACTGTTGTAACCAGCACGTGGGTAAAAGGCAAGTTCCACATCACCCGACGTGGAAGCTCCCCGATGCCCACGTGCGCCCTACCCTGTGACCCTCTCCCATCCAGGGCCCTGATGCCCACATGCGCCCTACCCTGCCTGTGACCCTTTCCCATCCAGAGTAGCCACCACCTTAGCCACCAAGCAGAGATGGAACTGGGGACTTTGCATTTGGCGTCTGCCGTGGGACATTGCGCGAGCTCCATCCGTGCCGAGCATCCATCTCAGCCCCTCCTGGCTGCTGGGCTGCTTCGTGTTTGGCTTAGGGTCATTTTGCAGTTGTGTGCTTTGCTGTGGGTTGCATATTTAGGGCCCAACAGAACTGCTGGGTCAGGGATAAACATGTTCGGCATTTTTTTTTTTTTGAGATGGAGTCTCGCTCTGTCACCCAGGCTGGAGTGCAGTGGTACGATCTCGGCTCACTGCAAGCTCTGCCTCCCGGGTTCACGCCATTCTCCTGCCTCAGCCTCCCGAGTAGCTGGGACTACAGGCGCCCGCCACCACACCCAGCTAATTTTTTGCATTTTTAATAGAGACGGGGTTTCACCGTGTTAGCCAGGATGGTCTTGATCTCCTGACCTCGTGATCCGCCCACCTCGGCTTCCCAAAGTGCTGGGATTACAGGCGTGAGCCACCGTACCCGGCCAACATGTTTGGCTTTAAGAGGAACTGCCATACCCGTCTTCCCAGGTGGGGACCAGCCCAGTCAGCAGCAGGAACACCTATTCCCTCTTGACTCTTCCCGTTATCTCCTGCCACTCAGGTGACTGGGGTGGCTCCTCCCACTCAACGCCCCTCCCTCCTCCTCCTCCAGCCGAGGCCTCCGCCCGCACCCCCCACCACCCAACTCAGCTCGTCATAACTCACAGGCCGGGTCCAGGGTGCCAGGAATGCCACTGAGGCTGGCAGAGTCCTAAAAGGGAGTGGCAGGTGCTGCTCCACAAGGACGGTTGTCCACCCTCAATGAGGGCTGCAGGGCAACTGCTGACTGTCTGGCAGCCAGAGGACAGGGACAGGCAGCCACCCTCTTGCCATGACCACACCTGGGTCTCCCTCAGTGTGGCTCCCGAGGGGCCGTTGAACACAGTGTTGAGAACTGCTGAGAAAATCACACCAAAGACGAACTACCCACAGATGCCAGTCACCACTCCAGGGTGACGAGAAAGAGAACACACAGGCGGCAGCGTGACAAAATGAGTCCCAGCATGCTACATCTGGTTTCGGGTTTTATTTTAGAATTTATAAAATTCCAGTGTCATCCATATTCATGAGCCTTTACACATGTTTGCATATAATCTCCAAATTCCAAAGTTAAGGCCAAGGGATGGATTGTAGCTATGGAAACAGATGATATGGAAGACATCCAACAAGGAGGAAAAGCACACGCACGCCTCACCCCTGCCTCATCTCTGCCCAGGGCTGTCCTGACAGCACAGACGCTTCAGGGAGACAGGCCTGGGGACAGTCATGTCATCACCCTTGCAACAACCACCCAAAGGAAAAGAGAGCGCTGAACAGTTTAGGAAAGGGCTCGCGTCTAAGACATCAAGCGACATACAGAGATGTGCAAAACTTGGTGAGAATTAAAATTGACCTTTGGGAGAGGGTAGGGGCAGGATGTTTTATGACACTGTAGAAAAGACAGGAGGAACCCGCTGCGATGGAGATTGGGGGGAGCTGGAAGCAAGCAGCCAACAGGACAGAGTTCCAGAACTCATGCAGATGGGGAAGAGGTGACAGCCCTTCCCCACTGGCCTCCCCCGTGGAGGTGGAGTAGACAGATCCCGGGAAAGGCAGGAAAAGGGCCTTGCTTTCTTTCCCTGTTTCCTAAGCCGTGGTCACCCTAGCCTATGAAGCTGGAAGCTATATTCCTTCCAATCCCAATTTACCATTCCTGTAAACAGGCCCATTCAGGGCTGCCTGAGCAAATGGGGACTTGCCGAGGCAGCTGCAACTAGACTTGGGCTAAGCCGTCTGGGTCTACTCAAGAATTCGAGTCTGAAGATGACCAAGCTTGAGTTATTCAACTGAGAGTGAGGTGTCAAGGCGGAAGCGACTGTCCCCAGGGAAGGGCTGTGAGATGGATGGGCGTGAGTCAGCTTTTCCAAAACTCAAGTACCTGGGACAGGACAACTCGCTAGCAGCTCAGTCACCTCCGTGGCGGACACAGATAAGGATGTTAAGACCAGAAAACCAGAGACTAGGGCCCCGTCCTCAGCCCTCACAGCATGACACAGATGCCTCCCTCGGAGAGCAGGGTCTCTCGGCATCCAGCGGCGTGGTCTGCATTCTGCTCTACCTCATGCTCTAGGCCCCATGCCATCGTCTCGGCCCTAGACCGTGAAAACTGCCAGTCACCCGGGACCTGCTCCTAGGGGCTGGCCTGCACAGCCGGATGGCCTGTGGGCGGGGTGGAAGTGCCCACTCCCACTCCAGATGGGCCTGCTGGCCACTGACCCACCTGTGCTGAGGGAGAGCGCCAGCCTCCAGCTTAGGTACACGGCGCCCACCCCCAGCTCCACGGGAAACCCATAACCACCAGAAACATCTCAATCAAGAGACGGGTGTGTGGGGTGGCACTAACTGCACAGAGACCACTCCACGCCGGCTGAGGTAGAAAGAAGGCAACTGAACACACAGCAGCTAGGGCAGGGGCAGGGAGGGGCTGCAGGTGGTGTGAAGAAGAGCCCAGCTGTCATCTAAGGCAAACTGCCCCCACTGAGGACAAGCGTAAGGCCCTACCTCCCCCAACCTGTGCGCATCTCAATCACAGCAGACACTGTGACGGCCACAGGGGACCCAGATGGTGCCTACCACCTTGCCTCCAGGCTCCACTCACCAGACCTCAGGCTGAGGGTCTGGCAGTGGAGGTAGGGGCAGGGACCCTTGGTGCTTTCAGACCCCACGGCAGGTAAAATCAGGACTGCCTGAGAACCCGTCACCCTCTGCCTCTCAGGTCACCCCCCAGCTCCAGGAACCTGCCTCCTGCTGTCCATTGCCAGGTCTTCCTTGCACCCTGACACCTGTGCTGAGGCGCTCTGGCAGCTGGAGGAGGCTGATTGCACTCCACAAACAGGACTGTCTGGACCAAGGGAAACTGGCAGGAGGGAGGTGGGAAAGGAAGAGGGCAAACGTTTGGCTTTTATAAAGTCAAGGACGTTTATTTCCTGAGGTCATGACACAGGAAGTGGAATCCTAGCCACGGCTGCGGAGCTCTCGTGATGAAGGCCAGAGTGCTGACTGACATGCCGGGTGGACCAGGAGCTGGAGTCTGTTATCTTAGCACGAATGCTCATGACCTTGGTTTAGTGTTAAACAGTGGAGCAGGTCCTGAGCGGGCACGGCCAGGCCTGGAGGAGCGGCCGCACACACAGCCAGGCGCTAGGCTCCCTGCGGGACCTCGGGAAGGGGGAAGAGCGTCAACAATTTACGGAGGGTCCAGCCGCTGGGTCAGATTGAGACAAACCATTGTGTGGTTGGGTTTGGGTCAGCAGGCTGGAGAGGGTTCTGTTCTTTTTGATCATTATCGTTTGGGGCCCCAAGGGAGGGTCTTGGGAGCCACCTGAGCCCCAAAGCTGGGAAATTCCTCAGAGCTGCTCATGTCAGGAGCCTGTGCAGAGAGAGGACACGGCTTCAGGAGGGGATGCTCCCCAACTCGCAAGCAGCTTCCGACGCAGTTGCCACCCTCAGGACACCAAGCCCGCCTGCCCGCCCACCCTCCCTGGGACCCAGGAGGGCAGAAGCCCGCATCTGACCTTCTCACTGCTGCTGGCGGTCCAGGGTGCGTCCCGCACCACAAAGCCTCTGGAAGGTGCCTTGGCCTCTTCGTGTGCTGGGGGTTTCATGTATACCTGCAGCGCCTCACTGTCCACCACGTCAGCTAGCTGCAGGCAGAAGACAGGAAGACAGGGTCAGTCTGCCCAGCACCCCCAGCATCCCGCCCGCCTGCTCACCCCTGCACCTCGCCTGCCTCTGGAAACACAAGTGCCACCTTGTCCCCTGAAGCTCCTGGCTGGGCCTCAGGCCGGTGGACGTGCCAGGGCGCCTCAGGGCTCCAAGGCCCACAGAGACTCACGTATTCCTCCTCCAGATTGAGGATGTGGTCGATGGCTTCCTCCACATTCTCTGGGAGCCCCGTCACAGTGACGCAGTTGGGGTCTGGGGCTCCGCTCTGTGGGAAGCGAATGTCCACCTGGAAGGGGTGTACAACGTCAGATGAGGGGACTCCAAGCGAGGAAAAGGGTTAAAATTATGTGTCAATTTCTAGTGAAGCATTTTCTGAGTTAGCAAACGTTTTAAAATCTGGTTTCAGAGTTGTTCTGAAGTCAGTCAGCCTCATCACCACACCAAGTTAGGTGTATCTCAGGAGCACCTTGTTCCCAGCAGACAGAGGGCCGCAGCACGTACTGTGCGCTCTTGCATGAAATTCCCACCCACAGAGGACGAGCTCGCCAGGCAGCTGTCAAGGAGATGCCCTCCTAATGGCCACCGTGGCAGTGCAGCCTCACACAGGCCGTCGCCTGCACTGACCCGTGGTGTCCATGAGGACAGTTCCACTGCCAGCCCTGGGGTTGTGGCCTCATCATCTTGAGGGGAAGGCCATGCCCTGCTCTTTCTTCTGGCCAGCCAGGTGCCCCCGGTGAGAGAGGATTCTCACCCACTGTGCTTCCAGCCGGCTCACCTTGAATTCGTCCATGATTTTGCGAATGGCTTTGCCGCGGGCACCAATGATGCGGGCGTGAACGCGGTGGTCCAGCGGGACGTCCTCAGAAACCATCTGCTCAAGTTCACCCACAATTCTCAGTATAGCATCCCTGGCAGCTTCTGTGTTCTTTTCGTACCCTGTGATGGTAATTTGGTCCTGGGGCTAAAAAAGGAGAATGTAGTCAGAAAAGGGGATGCCTTACTGGGATTCCCGTCAGGGGCAAGAGCCGGCCCCCACTGCTGAGGAAAACAGCTCAGGAGAGAAGATGGAAAGCAACGTCACGGCTGATTTAAAACAAGAGGTTAACAATGTCCACTCAGGGCCGGGCACGGTGGCTCACGCCTGTAATCCCAGCACTTTGGGAGGCCGAGGCAGGCGGATCACCTGAGGTCCGGAATTCGTGACCAGCCTGACCAACATGGAGAAACCCCGCCTCTACTAAAAATACAATATTAGCCGGGCGTGGTGGTGCACGCCTGTAATCCCAGCTACTCCCGGGGCTGAGGCACGAGAATTGCTTGAACCCGGGAGGCGGAGGTTGCTGTGAGCCGAGATTGCGCCACTGCACTCCAGCCTGGGCAACAGAGCAAAACTCCATCTCAAAAAAAAAAAAACAAAAAAAAAACACCCCACAAAAAACCTATGTCCACTCAGCTTCCATCTCTTCCCAAACTCTACCCAAAAGACAGTGAATTACAGAACGAAAAAGGACATTTGTCCTCAAAGACAAAGGAGAGACACTAACAGGCAAGAATTCTGGACTCAAGGACAGCGGGGCAAAGACAAAGCCCCAAGCCCCTCAGCTTCCTGCTTCTTTGCCCACGTGGGCCACAGTCTGGAGGCATCTTTGTGCTGGAGGCTGGAGGCTGGCTGGCATTCCTCAGCGAGCCCCTCCCTCACTCAGAGATCCCACCTGCTCAGGCCTTCCTTGGGCCACACAAATGGACAGGAGACACCATACCAGACTTGGGATAGCAGACAAGCAGACCAAGCAGACAGTTCAGGGCATAGAGAAGGAAACGTGGTAACAAAACACCTGTAGCCCACAATCGGCGAAAACAACATGTCCACAACACAAAAACCACCATGCAACAGGACTAGAGGACGGGGACAAATCACAACCATCACGCAACAGGACTAGAGGACAGGGACAAATCACAACACGGAACCATCATCACGCAACAGGACTAGAGGACAGGGACAAATGCCTGGAAAGGAAATGAGCAGAAAGACCTAACCTAGAGACAACAGAGCAGCAGCCCAAGAAGCTTCTGTCCAGATTGAAGCAAAATGCCAGAGTGGGAGGCAGCAGCCCCACCCACCGTGGCCCAGCAGAGCTGACAGCCTCAGGCACCACCCGCGTGCTGCCAGGTACAGAACCTCAAGATCGGAAGCACAGCTCACAGGAAAAAGCTGCCTGTGAAGAAATGACTGCTCCACCCCACTTGGCTCATGGTGTATTAGATGGAATAGTCTAATTGCTAAACAATGACTTTTTTTTTTTTTTTTTAAAGACAGAGTCTCACTCTGTCGCCCAGGCTGGAGTGCAATGGCATGATCTCAGCTCACTGCAGCCTCCGCCTCCTGCGTTCAAGCGATTCTCACGTCTCAGTCTCCCGAGTAGCTGGGATTACAGGTGCACGCGACCACGCCTGGCTAATTTTCATATTTTTAGTAGAGACAGGCTTTCGCCATGTTGGTCAGGTTGGCCTTGAACTCCTGACCTCAGGGGATCCACCCGCCTCGGCCTCCAAAAGTGTTGGGATTACAGGCGTGAGCCACTGTGACTCACCTATAATGACTTTTAAGATTGATAATTATATAGAATAGTAGAGGGAAATAAAAGGCAATAAGGGTGAGGGGCTTAAAAGAGCTAAACTCTTGGGCTGGGAGCGGTGGCTCACAGCTGTAGTCCCAGCTACTTGGGAGGTTGAGGCACGAGAATCACTTCAACCCGGGAGGCAGAGGTTACAGTGAGCCGAGATCGCGCCACTGCACTCCACCTGGGGCAACAAGACAAAGACTATCTCTCTCAAAAAAAAGAACTAAACTCTCAAGATCAAGACTAAAAATTAAAAAATGTATGTGGGGAGGGAAGAGGACGTGGGAGCTGGAGGAGGCAGGGTGCAGGAGGGCCCTCCTGGCCTGGCTGGTGTGTGTGTGACTCAAAGATCCAAAAGGGAACAAGAAGCTGGGGAGGAAGAAGGGGAAGGGGAAGGGGAAGCAGCGGAAAACCCTGGGCGGCACATCCACAGTGGGAGCGAGGGGCGTGGAGGGGCTCTGCTGCCAGGGGGTTTGCTGTTTCTGGAAACCAGCACAACTGTGGCCACCAAGGCTTGCTAGTCTCCCACTGTGGGCAAAGCTGTGCTGGACACGCCTAGGAAGCAGACACCCCAGCAGGATGCCAGAGCCAGGAAAGACCAAGCCTGGGAAGTGTGTGCAAGAGGGGGTGTTGGGTGAGGCTGCCCTGCATGCCAGGTGGCAGGGCCCAGAGAGGGGATGGGGCTGCCTTTCATTTTGTTCTGAGTGAAGCAGGAGGCCATGAGGGCCAGTGGCAGGGGGGTGGCACTGCAATTTGGAGGAAGTAACAACAAGAGTTTACTAAGGACCATCTGGCAAGCACAACGGTGTTTGCAGCTGGGGCTGCAGAGAAATGTCCACCTGACCCCAAGAGGCCCAGGTGACAGGTGAATGAGAGCCCTTGGGAGCCTCAGAGAGGCCCGGGTGACAGGTGAATGAGCTACACCTGGAGGCGCCACTGATCAAGGACCCAGCTGGAGCTCCTGCTCATTTTCTGGAAGGAGACGCAGGAGAAAATGCTCCAGGCCCCAGATGATACATAGTGCCAGAGACCTCACCCATCTGGCAAGTACCGAGACACAGCCCAAACCTCAAGCCAGAATTAGGTCCTGAGAGACTTGCCACTCTCAACTTGGCCCTCGAACCCCCATCTAGGCACATCTGGTTACTGCTCCCAAGTCACAGGAAAGGTCAACAAGCACCTCTGCCCCCGACACGCTCCAACCGAGGCTCTCACCTGGTTCCCATCGTCCTTATCAGGAAACTGGATGTTCACGTCATGCTCCAACCGGATTTGGGTAATTACTGCCCCCTTTCTCCCGATAATCTTGGGATGGTATTTGGGGTCTACAGTGACACTCAGCTTAAAACTCCTTAAAGCCTACAAATGAAAGGAGCAAGAATGAGGCAAAGATTGAGCTGATCCACCCTGTGACTCCATTCCCCTTCCACCCTGGTCATAGGACACTGGAGATGCTGCAGTGTTCTGTAACCCGTGGTCCGGAATGGTCCGCCATCTCTCTGGTCCGACCTCTGCCACCTTCCATTATCTGCTAATAATGAGAACCAGGGAACTTGGCTGCTCCACAAGGAGGTCTATAAATCCTTCAAAAGAGGGCTTGGGACCACTTGCGAGGATCGTGCTCAGGAACTGACAGAGCTAGGCAGTGAGTCACGAGCTTGGGGCCCCGCTCTCCTCATTTGTCAAACAGGGATCTGATGGATACGCACAGAAATGCTCTGGATCTTTTTAGGACTGGGGCAGATGCAGACCAAGAAGAGGGGGCAGCCACAGCCCCTGAACACCCATGGCCAAAGGCTACAGGTATGACCTGGCTGCAGGAGACAACCCAGAGTCCACGCAGGGGTACACTGACACCATGTGAGGTTCACGAGCTCCACCCCATTCACCAGACTCGACGTGCTCACGGGAGGAGTGGAAAGCCAACCCCCTTAGCAAACCAGCACCCCAGCACAGTCTGCTCCAAGTTCCAGAACCCCTGCTCCTGTCTGCAGCACTCTGCTCACACAATCCTCCAAATGTCAGCCCTGCCAGAGGCTGGGCGTCTGCAGCGCTCCGCTCATACAATCCTTCAAACGTCAGCCTTGCCAGAGGTTGGGGGGGTTTCATCCCTGCTTACCAGGAAGTCATTCGCCCTTTGACCACCCTGTGCTAGAGGTTAGTGGGGGTCCCCGATGCTCGTCCTCACTGCATAGCACATGCTTGGGGGCCTCTCGCAACCTTGACCTTTCTTGTAGGTCTGAGGTACCACTCTGATTTGGTTTTGAGAGAAACTGCAAATTTACACGGAAGTCCAACTTTGTCACTTTTTTATGAAAAAGAGAAAGGTGCCATGCTCTTGGCTAGTTCCACAGCAAGACCCCTGGATGCTGACTGCGTCCTGGCACTGCCTGCATCTCACCTCCAGCCAGATGTCGCTGGGATGCTGGGATCCTGAAGAACTTCCCTAGATTCTGACATGTGCCCAAAGCTGAGCACCATGGCTCTGGGCAGTGCCCCGGCCACCTCCTGCTCACCCGGTCCTCCTGCTCGGCCTGTAGCTCCTTCACACGCTCCAGCAGTCCAGCCTTGGCCCGGTCCAAATTTGCAGCGAGGCCCGTGATGGCGATGATGTCAGACTGCAGCTCAGGTGCCGGGACATGTATGTTCACCTACGTGAAGAGGGGGCTGACTTGACGTTCAGGACCCCAGAGAACAGGAAAGAGTCCATTGGCCCTGGGACCCAGAAGTGGTGAGAGGGAAGGCCACCCGCCGTGAAGGGAAGTCAGTGCCCAGTCCGAGCAGGAGGAGGCAGAGTCAACAGGAAGTTGAGAAAGGACACTGGCACTCGGGAGAGGATGCGACAGGCCACTCCTGTGACATGGCCTCCCGGGAAAGGGGTCTACCTCAAACTCATCCATCATCTTGCGGATCCCACTTCCTTTCTGCCCAATAACGTAACGGTGAAGGTCAAAGGGCACCTCTACTTCAATGGTGACAGGAACCAATGCCTGCAGGGAGGATGGTCATGGTTAGGCCGTGGGAGCTGAGAGCAGAGTGACGTTGTAAGCTCAGCAATGGGGCTCCACGAAACACAAGGCAAACAGCCCTATGACAACAGCAATGTGCCCCACCCGACAATGCCACCAGGACCTTTAACTCAATAGAAAAGAATAGGAAAAGATTTGCATTAGGCTAATGCTGGCAGACAGAAATTCCAGACCCTTCATCCCAAGCCTACCCTCCTGAATTACAGCAGCCCCTTCAGGCCCACGTAGGAGGAGAGGCCCTGACTCCTGGCACATCCTCGGGGTCATGACGGCTTTGACCGATGCCCATGAGGTGCCACAAGGGACTCTCGGACCACTACTCACCTTCCCTGCCCTGTCCCTTGGGATCAGGACGGCTTTGGCTAATGCCCACGAGGTGCCACAAGGGACTCTCAGACCGCTGCTCACCTTCCCTGCCCTGTCTCCCCCACCGCCCTTCACCTCCAGAACCTGCTTTCTTGCCACAGCATTTACCATCACTTGCCACAGGATATATCTGCGTTGACTGCTTGTCTCTCCACGGCAACGTGAGAACTATTTTTGTGTGCTGTGGCACCGCAGCACTGAGAGCAGCATCCAGTACGCAGGTGGCACTCGACACTGACTGCACACAAGGTGAGCTAGGCCTGATAACCCCACTCACGCGGGGGGAGACGTTGCAACTGGAGGTCACATTCATCCCCCTGCAGCTGAGACCCTTCCACAGCCCCCGCACCCACCGTGGGCCTGAGAGGCCGGATCCCATGCAGCTGTCCCAGAAAGGGGCTATAGAACCCCGAGCCTTGGTGAAGGGAAGTGGCCTCCCCAAACTCTGTGTCCAGCCGAGAAGCACAGCCCGTGCGCACACGGTAGGAGCAAGAGGGCTACCTCCACTGCCACTGCCGCTTGGGCAACCGTCCATCCCATCCAGGCCACGCGTCTCCCCAGGTGCCTGCTGACTGGGCCTTGGCGGGGGGTGGAGGGGGGCACATGGACACATACCTCCAGAGCTTCCTTGGCAGCCTCACACTTTTCTTTCCGGCCAGAGATGATGATGATGTCACACCTCCTTGGAGAGCCGGGGTCACAATCTTTAGCCTCTCTCCCCTCCCCAGCTTCGTCCCCATTCTCCTGGACAACTGGCTCTGTACTGTGAACTAGAGAGAAAGGGGAAAAGGGACAGCTGACAGCTGCTGGAAGAGACCCCACACCTTGTTCAGAATGCATATGTCTGTGAGGCACCTGCTGGGTGCTGGGTGGTAAAAGGGAGGGAAAACCACTCCTGTCCTTCAGGAGGTCTTGGTCTGGTCAGGGAGAGCAGATAGGACGTCCCCACAGCAGCCTCAAAGAGGGCTCCCAGACCTTGGGGGGGGGGGGGGGGGCGGCAATGAAGGCTTTGCCGGGAGGCCGTGAGCTCTGTGTCTCCCTTCTTCACCTTGAAGATGAAGCTAACAGCAACTAACTACAGCAGAGGCTTCAGTGAGATCAGATGAGTTAGTTCATGGGAGGAACACAGGGCAGACCCACTGCACAAGTGAGGCTTGACTGTGAGGCAGGGCTCATCAGGGAAGGCGGCCAGCACGCAGCCCCACCCAGGAGAGGCAGTGGGAAGGGGGGTGAGAGGTCTAGGGGAGACAGAAAGGGCAAGGCCAAGGTAAACCTGTGCCAGCTCCTTATGCCAGAAAGCGAGAGCCCCAGAAGTGAAGAGGCGTGTGAACAGGACACAGAAGACAGCTGGAGGGGCTCCTACAGGCCACACTGGGACACCGCGTGTGTACCAAAATAGACACCACAACAATAAGTGTCACAAAACAGACACAACAATAATTATCACTAAGACAGAACCCAGGAGGTGTGTGATGTAAATAAATGAGCAGGAGACCAGACAGACGCCTGCCTGAAATCAAGGGTGATCCTAGGATGGGGAAGTAGGTGTTTCTGAAGGAGAAAAACTGGCAAATTTGAATACCGACAACATATTAGATACTACTGTTATATAATGTTAAATCCGATTCCGATAAATGTGCTAGAATTATGTAAGAGAATGTCCTTGTTCTAAGAAAATACCCACCATGAATAAAGGGACATGTCTAAAAATGACATTCAGAAAAAAAACGTGTGTAAAAGGGGAGAAGTTGAGAAAAGAAACTGGTGCCACAGGATGTGTCTTTATACTATTCTGTGAAATTCTATCAAAATCAAAGTTTTAAATAACCACTGAAGTGTAAAACATAGACAGAGTGCAGTATGAGTTTATTAGTTTCCTACTCAAAACACCCTGTATTCTCAGGAAAACAAAGGGGCTTGAATGGCTGTGTGTGACATGCTTCCTGGATGCCCAGAGAGATGACACTATGTGCACTCAGCAGGCTGCAGGGCCACCTGCCGCCCAAACAGCTCAACCAAGACTGATAACACAGAGTGGAGGGCGGGCATCTGATAACACAGAGTGGAGGGCATACCTTTTGTTTCACAAATGCAGAGCAAGTGAGAGAGAGGCAACCGACCCGCATCCCACAGGTCGCCTCCCCACCACCAGGTGCATGAGCAGAGCTGGGGGCAAGCATGGTACGGGGAACTGAATGCTCTCCTAGAACTGCCGGCCACTTGGATGGTGCCCTCTGGCCAGCCAGAGGCTGCAGCTGCCTGCCTCACAGGGGACACCCCACAGTGATGGGAGATGTGGAGGAGGAAGCTCTACGACGGGGCTCATGCGATCCAAACGATGTCATGAGAATCACTGGGACTGAACTCGGGACACCCGAGGATGAGGCTGCACGCTCCTCATCGCCTTGGGACTGGCTACCTTGTGTGTCTCTAGGACCTATGAAGGTCACCTGGTCACTCTGTCAGTAACTGACGTGGTCCATCTTTTAAAGGCCAGGGAGTGACCCTGAACCTCTGGAAGCCCCCAGAATACATAGATGGTTTTCCAGCAGAGACAGGAAAGAGCCTCACCAGTATGTGCGACAGCCCCGCCTCTCACATGGGAGGCGCCACTATTAACAAGCAGAGCAGGGCTAATGGGGGACCCACCTGCGTTCTCCTCTCTGTCTGGGAATTTAATTTGAACACTGAAATCCCGAGTAATCTGCTGGATTCTGGAACCTTTGGGGCCCATGACAGATCGATGGAATTTCTGGGGTATAGCACATTCTAATGTCACCTGAGCTTCCTGGAGGGAGGTACACAAAGAAAAAAGAAAAGAGCAAAGATTAAATTCCTTAGGGCAAGTTTTACAGCACTCTTCACACCACCTTCCTCCCTGTCCTCTACAGCCACTTGGCACAGATGCTCCCCTTCTCCCGAGTCCAGGGCTCCAGGCGCAGGGAGGAGGGAGGTAGCAGGACAGGTCTAAGGGGGTGGGCCTCCTCTGAAATGTGTCCCAGAAGGCCAGGTGCCATCCCTGGAGGGTGGCCAATTCAGCCAAAGGAGTGGGACCTCCTGGGGTAGCCTCTGACTCCATGAGGAGGCATCAGACTTGATTATTAGGGAAAGGGAATCCAAGGCCCTGGCAGGGGAGTGGCCTGGAGGGGACACTCTCTAAAGACTGCTTCTAAAGACCACGTCTTCTCATGACTTCCCATGGATTCACGTGGATGCCCTCAAATCGATTTTCTTTCCTTCACAGAGGGGAGAAGAGAGCTGACCCCTTAGACTGCATTTTCATTTTTCCTGATCCCTTATACAGAATGCATTTTCTTTCTTTCTCTTGCTTTCTTTCCTCTCTCTCTCTCCCCTCTCCTCTTCTCCTTCTCTCTCTCTTTTTTTTTTTAAGTGCTTCTCGCAGGCAGAATTCTCACCAACTATCAGGAAGGAGGCCAGACAGGCTGAGGAAAGAAGAGCGAGCACCAGAAAGCCCCTTCTGAAGCCTTCCAGGGCTGTATGAGGGAGTCACCTCCCTACAGGGTGGAGCGAACACTCATACACGGCTTCGGTGAGTGGCCACTGGGGGGTGAGAACCCCTCCCCGAGCACCCAAGTGCCTACCAGGTCCTCAATGATCTCCTGAATGCGTTTCTTGGCTGCCTCCACACAGTCCTTGGCGCCCTTGAGGGTGACTTTGTCGCTCTGTGTGCCAGAGCGTGGGAAGCTGACCATCACCCCGCCATACTCTTCAGCAATCTCCCGCAAGACCTGGCCTCTGCGGATGACGAAGTGGCGGTGGTGCTTGGGGTCCACCAGCATGGAGTCTTCCACCACATTATCCTGCAGTGTTAAGAAGAGATGGAAGATAAGCCACCCCATCACGGCCCCAGCAGAGTCGGCCGCCGAGGCCCGCTCCCTACCAGGTTTTGGATCAAGGCCTCCAGCTCCTTCTGTGCCTCTCGGACGGCGTCCTCCTTTCCAATGATGGTGATCAGGTCCTGGTCCTTGTCCTCAGCCGCAGGGAAGATGACACGTGCTCCAGTGCTGTCGCGCACCTTGCGAATTTTGCCGCCCCCCTTGCCGATGAGGAATTTGTGGTATTCTGGCTTGGCGCGGATGTCAACAGTGAAACTCTTGGTTTGCTGCAGAAACCAATCCCACTGTGTTAGCCTGACACCACGTGCCTGGACCACAGTGAGGAAGACAAGAGGGTCTGTAGGACAGCAAGCTCGGGCTCCCCTTACATTGTCACCAGTGTCCTGATGTTGCACCAATACCCCCAAAATGGGGCTAGCACACCTCACTGAATAAACAGATGAATACCCAGACTGCACACCTACTTCTCTTCCACAACAACCAGATGCTGGTGGGATGAACACACAGGCTTAGAACCCTGGTCCTGCCACTTACAAGCACTGACCAAACTTCTCCAAGCCATTTTTGATCTGCACAGGGGGAGGTGGGAGCAACGCGCCGGACGATATGTTGGCGGAGTGCACGTCCTGGGGAGCGTGGGGTGTGCCCAGCAGAGCAGGAAGCAAGCTGCCCAAGAGGTGTGCACCATGCTCCCACTCTTCTACCTGCTTCCAGACCAAGCACACACAAATCTGGGCCAGGCTCCCTTTCTTCCCACGAGTGCTACAGATCAGCCTCCACAAAACCAGCCACTCCCCAGGCTCAAGCTCAAGCTCAGAGGGACACAAGCCAACCAAGGCTACAGTTAGAGACCGGTCCTCAGAGGCCTCGTGTAGTGCGACGCCCTTGTGTGGCAGTAAGAAAACGAGGGTCCTGGAAAGGCCCCGGACACTGCTTGTGGACACCAGTGCTTCTGGCAGACCCACGCAGGGGCCCCGAGAAGGGCGCTGCTCCACGGGACTCAGGTCCACACGGGGAGCTCTTGCCTTTCTCCGGACCCAAGATCTGGCCCGCAAGCAAAAATACCAAAGAAAAACATGCTAGCACAAAAATATTAAATAACAACTTTGCTACCTTTTAAGTGCAGGTTTCACCAAATACCACCTAGAGACTCTGCTACTTTTCAAAGACATCCACAAATAGCAGCATTAGTCAAACATTAGGCAATCAATTAGGCAAATGCAATCTAGCAATATGGCCAAAGACAACCTACCAAACCAAGCAGGGATTACCCCAGAAACGCAAGGCTGGTTAAACACAAAGACAAAAACATCAATCTAATAACAACAACAAAAAAGACAAGAAATACAAGGCTCCAGATTAGAGAGAAATGTAACTGTCCACAGACCACGTGATTGTGACATATAAAATAAGGATCCACAAAACAGTGGGCCGGGCGCAGTGGCTCACGCCTGTAATCCCAGCACTTTGGGAGGCCGAGGCGGGCGGATCACGAGGTCAGGAGATCGAGACCATCCTAGCTAACACTGTGAAACCCCATCTCTACTAAAAATACAAAAAATTAGCTGGGTGAGGTGTCGGGCGCCTGTGGTCCCAGCTACTCGGGAGGCTGAGGCAGGAGAATGGCGTGAACCCAGGAGGCGGAGCTTGCAGTGAGGCGAGATTGCGCCACTACACTCCAGCCTGGGCGACAGAGCAAGACTCCGTCTCAAAAAAAAAAAAAAAAAAAAAAAAAAAAAAAAAAAAATCCACAAAACAGTGACTGGCGCTAATATACATGAGCTTTATTTAGCAGCCTCGTGAAGGTCAACATACAAAAACCACAGGCACTTCCATGTGCTAACAACTGGAAATGGAAAAAAAGTGCCATTTACAATAGCACTAAAAGAGTAACAGTAGTTAGATCTGTTAAGTCGAACATAAAAATGTGCTAAAAATTATAAAACACCAATAAAGAATCACAGACCTAAAAAAAATGGAGAAATGCCTGCAAAAGTCAAAACTGCTGAGCTGTCAATCCTCGCCAGTCTCATCTTCAAATTTCACACAATCCCAATCAAAACGTGAAAGTGCTTTTTTCCTACAAATTGACAGGCTGATCAGCAAGGGGTGTAGAACAGCCAAAGTTAAGAGGGCTCACACTACTGATTTCCAGACTTCCCATAAACCTGGTGTCACCAGAAGAGCCCGGAAACATACCCACAGATGGGTTTTGACACAAGGACAACAGCAATTCCATGGGCAATCTTTAGGGGTGATGGAAAATGAATTTTGATGATTGTGGTCACATGACTGCATGTTACTTAAAACTCAACTATACCTGAAGAATGGCCAATTTTACTGTAAATCATATTTAAAAAACAAAAGCACCCCAAAACTAATAAGCCAAAGACCAACTTTTATATATTGCATATGTGAGCGTTTGGACCTGGAAAGGCCCTCCAGTAACAGCAAAAACAAAGACGCATAAACAGTACATTATAGAGCTGTTTTCTGACCCGCCACAAAGGAAGGGCATTCAGGGGTTTCCACAGTGAGAAGCGAGAACACTGTACTGAGGACCAGGCTTCCTGCCAAGAGTCACGCTCCCTCCCCATGCTCACCTTCTCCTCCGCCAGATGCAGGAGCTGCTTCTTGGCCTTCTCCACATCCGAGGAAGGGCCCCTGATAACAACGGTGTCGCTTCCTGAACCTTCCACGGGAAAGTGAATGTGGACCCCGCCGCACTCCTCCATGATGGAGCGGATCAGACGGCCCTTGGTGCCAATGAGGGAGTTGTGCAGCTTGGCAGGGATGGAGACCTCTACCTCGGCTATGTTGGCCTGAAACCAAACACAGGGCAGGAGGAGGAAGTCACATTTTTGTGGCAAAAAGGGCAGAGGAAAAGATAAACTATCATCTTTGGTGGTGATGAACACGCAGGCCTAGAGCCCTGGAGATGCCACTTACAAGCACTGACCAAACTTCTCCAAGCCATTTTTGACCTGCACGGGGGAGGAGAGTGCACGTCCTGGGGAGAGTGGGGTGCGCCCAGCAGAGCAGGCGCGCTGGGAGGTGTTTAACTCAACAGGACCCAGAGTCCTCGTGAATCTATGCTGGATTGGGAGGTGGGAGCGTGGTAATTTCAGACCACACATAATGCTCTATTTCTTCAGTCAACGCTCCGGCTCTGCCAGAGGTGGCTCCATATGCCTATGGATACATAAACTTTTCCTATTAAAACCAAAGATTCTGCTTTCAGCCAAGATGCAGTACCAGGGACTGGACTGAACTTACCGCCTAATGGTGACTTTCAAGACCCTGGAGACAGGAAACAAGGTGAGCCCTACAGCTGCCCCAAGTTGCTGCCACAGTACGGGAAGGTGAGGAAACAGAACCATCCGGAGATCAGAGCCCAAAGAGACTGGCATCGAGAACCTCTGAGATCCGGAGACCAGCCACTCATATACTGATACGCGTGAAGAAATCACCCTGGGCCTGGGAAAGAATCCCCAGAAGGATCACAGGAAACAGTGCCTGCAGCTCAGCTGGGCCTCATACAGTGCCTTTAGGTCAGTCAGGGCCGGGTATAGTGGCCTACAGCTCAGACACCAGGAAACAGTGCTTTTAGCTCAGTTGGAGCCTGGTACAGTACCTGCAGCTCAGACACCAGGAAACAGTGCCTGCAGCTCAGTCGGGGCCTGGTACAGTACCTGCAGCTCAGTCACCAGGAAACAGTGCCTGCAGCTCAGTCGGGGCCTGGTATAGTACCTACAGCTCAGACACCAGGAAACAGTGCCTGCAGCTCAGTCGGAGCCTGGTCCAGAACCGTCCTCAGCAGTTTCAACTTTCTGGGACGTGGAGTACTCAGAAGGATCTTATCTCAGCAGTGGAAATATTTGGGCCTGAACTAAATACTGCTCTGATCCTCCCTAATAAACGTTAAAAGCAAGTCCTAAAAGGAGCAAAATGTTTCAGAGTGACTTCACAAACACAAAATAATATTCAGAGGAATACAAAAACACCCTCATTAAGAAACACCAGAAATGCAAAGAATAGGGGGAAAACCCATAACGAGGAAAAGAAAATAGAAAACCACCCAGAAATGACAGTGTTAGAATCAGCCAGCCAAGGACAGAAAAACAGGTATTTAACTGTATTGTCTATGGCCAAAAGCAGAAAGACTGAACATGTTAAGAACTGAAAATACAGAAGATACTAATTCAGAGTGAACTTCTAGGGAAGAAAACAACATCTAAAATGAAAATGATATTAGATGAAATGAGGCAGATTAGAACACTGCAAAGAATTAATGAATTTAAAGAAACTCATGGAGAAAACCAATATCGCTCCTCCCCTCAACTCAAATAAACAGAGCACAAGTAGAAGACAACTAAATACCCTGGTCACCAGAGTCCCTGACGGGGAGACAGCAAGGGGCTAACACAACAAAATGCTCATAGTGACCAAAAATTGTCCACATTTGATGAAATTCTGAACACATATATTCAAGAAGCTCAATAAACACCAAGCTAAGAGACATGAAGAAAACTACACAGAGACACATCCTAACTTGCTCAGAGACGGTGGTAAAACCCTAACAGCAGCCAGAGGGAGAAGGTTTGTCATGGACAGAGGAACAAAGCCAGGGGCACCATCAGCTTTCTCATCAGAAACAACAGGAGACGGCAATGAAGCCAAGTCTGGAAAGGAAAAAAACTGCCAACCTAGAAACCTTTATGCAGCAGAAACAGCTTTTCGAAAGTGAAGGAAAAAAATACTTGCAGACATACAGAATGTGAAAGAAGTCATTACCGGATACACACTACGAGAGATGTTGAGTGGTTTCCTTCAGACAGAAGGAAAATGAAGACAAGGATCACGCCAAGAAATGAAGAGCTCTAGAAATGGCAACTGTGTGGATAAATACATACATTTTTTCATATTATTTAAATCTCTTTAAAAAATAATGGAATTTTTTTTAAAGGTTAATAATGTAAATGGTGGACTGAAAGCCAATCATATAAAATCATGACATCATGGTGGCTGAGCACGTGGGGATGGTGGTAGTTGCTGTTTAATGGGTGTAGTTTCTGTGTAAGATGATGGAAATGCTCTGAAAATGGACAGGGTGATGGTTGCACAACCTTGTGAATGTACTCAGTTGAATTAACCATTAAAAAACGATTAAAATGATACATTCTGCTATGTATATTTTACCACAATTGAGGAAAAAAATTACAGTAAGTTATTTAACCGTGTTTGTTAAACATATGTAATAAATATAAATATGTGATATATAACATATATAATCACAACTGTAATTAAATGCAAACATCATAATCTTTTTTCTTTTTTTTTTTTTTGAGACAAGGTCTGGCTCTATGGCCCAGGCTGGAGTGCAGCAGCGCAATCTCAGCTCACTGCAACCTCCACCTCCCAGGCTCAAGCCATCCTCTCACCTCAACCTCCTGAGTGGCTGAGACTACAAGCATGCAGCACCATTACTGGCTAATTCTTTTTGTAGTTTTAGTAGTGACGGGGTTTTGCCCAGGCTGGTCTTGAACTTGTGAGCTCAAGTGATCCGCCCACCTGAGCCTCCCAAAGTGCTGGGATTAGTAGATAGATTTAATTTAAAAAGCAAGCTGCCAAAAAGAAACTCACTTTAGTATCATATAAAGGAGGCTGGGTGCAGTGGCTCACACCTGTAATCCCAGCAGTTTGGAAGGCCAAGGCGAGAGGATCACTTGAGGAGTTTGAGACCAGCCTGGACAACATAACAAGACCTCATCTCTACTAACTAAAAGAAGAAAAAAATTAGCCTGGTGCGGTAGCATGCACCTGTGGTCCCAGCTACTTGGAAGGCTAAGGTGGGAGGACTGCTTGAGTCTGGAAAGCCAAGGCTGTAGTGAGCCATGACTGCACCACTGCACTCCAGCCTGGACGACAGCAAGACCTCATCTCCAAAAAAATTTTAAATATAAGGGGGAAAAAAATAACATAGACTTTGGAGCCAAGCATACTACCAGGGAAAAGGCATCATTTTATAATGGCACAGATTACATATACTGTGAAAGAGAGGTGACGTCAGTATTGACAGCAAAAGGATAATGCAGGACTATTCTAAAAAACTTCATGTTAATACATTTGACACCTTGGAGAAAATAGAAAACCCCTTGAAAGACACTAATTACCAAGTACACACAAAGAAACAGATGATCTATCCCTACAGTGCAATATTATCCTGAAATAAAAAAGAACAAACCAACAATACAGGTGACAACACACACAAATGTCAAAATATCCTGCAAAGTGAAAGCAGATGGGCCCAATAAAGAGTAGATGTTATGATTCCATTCACACAAAAGCGTAGACAATCCAAAAGCATCTACTGTGGCCGAAAGCAGACTGGGGGTTGCCTGGGGATAGAAGTGGGGGTGGGGGGAGTGTGGTTTTCAGGAGCTGCCAAGTGGGATGGAGGGAGACTGTAATACAAAATGGCATGGGACATTTTTGGGGTGATGGTGGGAATGATTCCATGGATGTATACACACGTCAAAACTATTACATTGTACACTGTAAATATGTACAATTTACTGCATGTCAATTTTTTTTAAAGGAAAGAAAATACCGTAAATACCTTCAGATAAGATTTTCAGGTAACAAGAAGAAAATGTCTAATAAGACAAGTGCCCACGTCAAATGTTACTGCTGCAGGGTCCAGGTAAGTAAGTATCGTGAGAGACAAAGGCAGAAAACTGCTGACCAACTCATCAGTAGCCTGGATTGAAAGGTGCAATCTTCCACATCAGCCTGCGCTGGCCCAATGACCCTGCGTGACTCAACCCCAGGCTCAATCTTAGAGGCTGTTAGAGATTTTACTGGAGGATCTCCATTAGAAAACATCTCCCATTACCAGGTCTTTCTGAATAGACAGAATCCTGCTCCGGGCAGCTTCGCAGTTGGCTCGCTTGCCTGTGATGATAATGGTCTCTGAATTGCTATTCTCTGCTGGAAGGTCGATTTTGGTGTTGCTTTCTTCACGAATCTACAGGGAGAGAGATCACCATGAGAAGCTGACTAGAGCTCTCCCAGAGTTGAGACACAGTTGAGCACAGGGCTAGAAGTAAGGAAGAGTCCCTCCTAGTCTAAAACCAAAATGGTGCAGGGCTACAGAGGACAAGGCAAGAAGAAGCAAGATGCAGCGGACAAGTTATCACCTTTTTAATGTTTGCGCCTCCTTTCCCAATGATATTCTTGTGAAACTGTTTGAAGATCGGAACAGAAATTGAATAGCTATTTTCCACCTTAAAGACAAAAAACACAGCCCGATTCACCACCTGTGCTAGAGAGTAAAATACAGTATCCCTTCTACCCCTAAGGGTAGCATGAACACGACAGAGCACTGGTATTTGCAAACAAACCTTCAGAGGTTTGTCATGAGGGTAAGTGAGATAGATCATTTGTCCAACAACTAACTTACGTTGCAAATTACAGTCAATCGATGCAAGTCTACTTTTTGGCTAAGAGAGAGTTCATGTCCCATGCCAGGATCAGAGCTGGTTAAGGAAGGGGCTCAGAACACACATGGAGACAGCACGGACCCCTACGCTCTGGGCAATTCTGCACTCACGGCAGTGATGTGACAGCAGCTCACAGTGCTGGAGTCCTTCACCATCGCCTCTCCCAGGGCAGCCATCAGCTAAGGTGAAGCCCACGGAAATACATGGCTGCCTGTGGCCTTCTCATCCACTACTCACTACACTTTCTAAACCTGTTCCCACGTCAGTTTTTGAGAAAAATAATAAATCAGTATATGACTCCTCATGTCACCTGTTATACCTCTTATCTTACTGGATGGGACAATTTCTCTAAGTATCTGAAGACTCCTCAAGGAAACAAGGTAACTGGGCATGAGAAAAGGCAAATCTCCCCACCTGAATTCCACAAACACTGCAGTCTTAACAATGACTGCCAATCTAAACATCCAGGTATTAAGTGAGAAGCCGTCACCACTTTGTCCCAAGTCCCTGAGATGGAAGGCCAGCCCAGGGCCTATGTGCTTTCCCCAGAGCAGGGGTCCTGTGGGGGTCAGGACTTCTGACAGGACGCATGCCCCACCCACCCCAGGTGCTGTCATACAAGAAAGGATGTGAAACACCCCTACCAGATCTGCCACCATCTTCTGCATGTATTTTGTGCATTTTTCCACCTCATTCTTAGGTCCTCTGAGCTGGACAATGTCACTTTTTTGTGCTGGGTCTGGAAAGTTAATGATGACCTAGAACAAATCATGGGGAGACTAAGTTCAAGTATGAGGAAGGACATATATCCCAAATATCAAATATTCCTGAAGTGTGACTTGGATCACTCCTATAGAGTTACAGAATGTCTCTGGGAAACTTTACCTCTGGGAATTTGTCACGAATTTCACGGATCCGTTCACCCTTCTGCCCAATGATTGTGCGATGAAATCTTTGCTCAATGATTAGATCCTTGGTACGCTCATTTTCCTAAAAATACAATTAAAGTAGATGTCATTTATCACAAGCACGGCGAGCAACTCCCCACTGACACAAGGGGACACCAGGGAGCCCTGGGCACAGTCCTTCATGGAGCAGGTGAGGTGGTCTCCAGGTGGCACCTCGTAGCACCCCGGGAGCAACCAGCTGTTAAGAGTGTGCACAGCGCATAATGAGTGCTCTCACCAAGCATCGCTACACTCCGCAACATGGGCTGCACGTCACTTCCCTGAACAAAGTCCAATTAAGGAACTCGCTGTAGGACCCTTCAACCAAAAGTGCTATCATGATAGCAGTAATCACCAAAGCAATTCAGTGAGCACTTCTGTTTTAACAGGTACTACAGGGGAGGCCCAGCTCTTCTACTTGGAGGCCTGGCATTCTGCATAGCAGTGAGTGATCCCTTCTGAACAGAGGGTGGCTCGGACCACTTTCCCCGCATGGCTAAGAACGTTCAACACAGGGCACTGAACCCACATGGCTCTCAACTCCTCCACAGGCCCCATTAAAATGTCAGAAGAAATACAGAATAAGCAGAGCTGGAATTCAGGGAAGAACACCAACAGCCAACCAAACATTTCCAAGAATTCTGAGAGATTCTGGATCAAACGGCTATTGGCTGACAGAGAAGTAAGGGCTCAGCAATCAGGAAGGGCATAAAGCAGCCAGGACAAGGGACCTGGGCTGGAGGCCAGGCTAAGAGGAGAACCTGGAATATGAGACTGGGGAATGAGCTCCGGGAAGGCCACAAGCAGTGGGAGGCTGCATCACGCCCTGGAATGCAGCTCAGGGCTATAAAAGAGGTCTGCCAATTTGAGATTCCTCGTGTGGGTACTGGGGTGAGGTGAACAAAGAATCCCCTAAGCGAATGACAGGGAACCCTGGGGCTTGTTCCTCACACAGTCAGGCCAAAGTGCTGCTGCAGGCACTCACGCAGTATTTGACTTCTCTGGATACTTAAAGGCACCCAGAGACTTTCAAGTGTGGGTATCTGACTCACAGAAGCAAGGGTGCTCACAGCTTGGCATAAGCATGTATGAAACGTCGGGGAGCCCAGAGCAGTGCAGTGCTTCTGCCAGGTGGTAGAGAGCAACAGCCCCCACTTCAGGTTTGCAGTGATCCTCGAGTCTGGCCTTACATGAGAACCACCTGGGATGCCTTTGAGAATCCAGAAATGTCTGTCACAATCTCTGGAGATGGTACCCAGGCATCTGGGCACCCAGGGTGTGGCCAAGGCCAAGACGCTGCCACACAGTCTCTGTGCCCTTCTAGCACAGCACACAGCCATGGAGAACAAGACGTGCAGGTGACCTGGGGAGGATAAAGGAAATGTGGCCCCAGGGAGTCCAATCCGGTTCCAGTGCAACGTGGGATTTGTCGACTTCCATTCTCTAAGGCCGCACACCACAACACGCTACTCCTTAGAGGGGGCCAAGAGACGCAAGGCCAGTGCCTTTCTAGAGGGCCCAGCCATGGCACTTACCATGCGAGATGCAAGCTCCAGCAGCTCTCGCTTGGCCTGCTGCACGCCCTGTGGGTCCCCCTCGATGCGGATCAAATTGCTCTTCTCACTGTCAGGAGGGATGCGCACGGACACCTTGTACTGGTCTTTGATTCTGTTTACTTAGGAACACAAAAGGAAACACATTTAGGACACAGACCAACAACATTCTGCCAATGACATAACTGGGCAGGACAGCGCTAAAGCGCTAAATAACCTTATCTGTGATTCCCATCACCAAAAACGATGCTTAGCTTCCCAAACAAAAATCTCCATTGTCTAGAATGGGGGCCAGTTATGATCTTCACCTGGATCACAAGGGTTCTGGAGGACAGGCTCTCAGCCTGGACCAGAAGCTGGAAATGCCCCGAGACCTTCAAATAACTGACGGTTGGGGCCACTCAGTCTGGGATTTAGCTCGTCTGGGGTATTGGCCAGGGCTTCAGAATAGTTGAAGGATTCCAGGTGTTTCTAATGTGCAGTAAGTTTGGGAACTACTATTCTCAAGTTAAAAAAACCACACACATTAACTCCACACAAAAGCACTCACTGACGCCTAAGAGCCTTGTGGGGCCCATGCTGCTGCCCAGAGACCCCATCTACTGTTGGCTCAGATTCACACTGAGCACTTCACTGTGTCTGCAAGACAAGTGCTGTTGCAAACCCTCCTGCTGTCAACCTCTCTGGATAGAACCCAGTACCCCCAAGTTAAGAGTTCCAGGCCCCCCAAACTCTGGAGAAGCCGTATCATCAGGAAACAAGGCAGGAATCTTGCCCACTGTGCAGTAAAGGGAAGCCCAGCTTGCTGGAAGGACCACGAGGAGGGCTTTTTGTGCGTCCATCCCAAACACATGCACACGCAGAGGCAGCAACGAGGCGATGCACTGAGGGGGGAACATGGACATGCAGCTGTGCCAGGTGAAGCAACACAAGACAAGAGAAGCAGAGGACATGGGAGCTGGGCAGCAGGTTTTTTTAGATTACGAAAGAAGACAAGAGTTAGGAACTGCATGAGAAGAAAACAGAACAGACATGACTGACTAAGCTACATTCTGCAATTTCTCGGGGGCAGAAACCAGAAATTAATGTTAGATTTACACTACTGTACTTCCATATATATGTGTTTTGAGACAGGGTCTTGCTCTGTCACCCAGGCTAAAATGCAGTGGCACGATACAATCACAGCTCACTGCAGCCTTGACTTCCTGGGCTCAAGTGATATTCCTGCCTCAGCCTCCAGAGCAGCGGGGACCACAGGCCTGGCTAAATTTTTCTTTTTTGTAGAGACAGGGGTCTCACTATGTTGCCCAGGCTCATCTCGAACTCCTGGGCTCAAGTGATCCTCCTGCCTTGGTCTCCCAAAATGCTGGGATTACAGGCAAGAGCCACCGTGTCAGGCCTAAACAAACGCTACAGTTAACCAAAACCAAAACAAAACCGTAAAAGCAAGTTTATGGTGTATGTGTGGTTCAAGTAGTGCGCAAAAAGGTCACTTTGTGCCTACAGACTCTCGTCGCTGTCACGTAAAATGCCCACAAAACATAAGACTGACACCAGAGAGCTCACCATTGCACAGGCCACAGCACAGCTGCCAAGGCTATGTTTACTCATAACAAAAACGGATACACGGACGTCAGTCATGTTATGCAGGTCGGTGTCCCACTACCTGGGAAAGGCTCCTTCATCCACTGAACTATCCAGGAATGGAGGACGTGCTTGCCTTCTCACCTTCCACCCAAAGGTAACACACGCGACGTGTGCACTTGTTTTCAGAACACGCGAGTGTGTGAGTATAGCCATACAGTTAAACAAAGAGGTGTAAAAAAACATTCTTGGTTGGGCACAGTGGCTCATGCCTGTAATCCCAGCACTTTGGGAGGCCGAGGTGGGCAGATCAACTAAGGTCAGCAGTTTGACACCAGCCTAGACAACATGGTGAAATTCCATCTCTACTAAAAATACAAAAAAATTAGCTGGGTGTGGTGGTGCACGCCTGTAATCCCAGCTACTTGGGAGGCTGAGGCAGGAGAATCGCTTGAACCTGGGAGGTGGACGTTGCAGTGAACTGAGATCACGCCACTGCACTCCAGCCTGGTGACAGAGCGAGACTCCGTCCCAAAAAACAAACAAACAACACAAAACATCCTTGGACCTGCAGCAGAATGCCCACGACACACTTCTAACAGCATCCTGTAACTGTGCTACACCTGCAACCTGGCACAGGTGAGGCACACAGCGACCTTGGCCCACATGACATACTTCCAACAGTGTCCTGTAACTGTGCTACACCTACAACCTGGCACAGGTGAGGCATATAGCGACCTTGGCTGACATATCACTGCCTCTTCAACAGAATCCCCCTGCTGGGTGTGGTGGCTCACACTTTTAATCCCAGCACCTTGGGAGGCCAAGGTGGGCAGATCACCTGAGCCCAGGAATTTGAGACAAGCCTGGCCAACATGGTGAAACCCCGTCTCTTCTAAAAATACAAAAATTAATTGGCTGTGGTGGCATGCACCTGTAGTCCCAGCTACTCAGGAGGCTGAAGCTGGAGAATTGCTTGAGCCCGGTAGGCAGAGGTTGTAGTGAGCTGAGATCACGCCACTGCACTCCAGCCTGGGTGACAGAGTGAGACCCTGTCTCAAAAAAGTATCCCTCCCCATGTTGTTTTACTTGGGCACAAATCTAGAATGTTTTTACTCTTCAGTGAGTTCCAGATCAGCAGTTTCCACGTTCAGAAGGCATGAGTACTACCAACACTGATTGGCTAACCTAGCAGGTCTGACGGAAATATAGAGAATGCTGCCCTTGGGCATGCCTTCAACATGGCCTCTGTGGGTTATTTGGGGAGGGCTTAGATGGATTTCCAAAAGTGACAATTCACCCACTGGCCAAGCAGCTCTAATCCAACCACTGCACCAAAGGGAAAAGGAAAAGTGGCCTCTTCCAGCAGGCAGGAGGATGTAAAGTCTGTAACTCCCATTACAGGCAGCAATGGGCCTGGACTGTCTGCACGGACGTCACAGTTCTCACAGCTGACACCCCCCACAAGGGTCTCAGGGCACACTGGCCCCACCGCAACAGACAGCCTCACTCACTGTTGGCACCGCTCTTCCCAATGAGGTGCCTGTGGAACTTGTGGTCGATGTTGATCTCCACATAGTCCATCCGGTTAATCTGCAGGAGGAGCACAGAGGTCCATGGATGCGCCTGGTTACTTGGCCAATGAGCTGAACCAAAACCCAGCAGTCTCCACGGTTGCCTTTTCTGACCACTCAGCTGTCAGGAATTGTTGGAGACTGCCCCTGCATCTCCCCTGAAAGATGCCTTCTTCAAGATGAAGTTTCCTCCACCCACGATTATTCCAGGACTTCGACCAGCTTCTGGTTGTTTCAGAACCTATTACTCACCCAGCTAGGATGCCCTGGGTGTCTGTGCCCGGACATGTGGGATGTCATCGAGAGATGACCGCCCATGCCCAACTCAGAGCCTCCCTTGTCACCAGCACACACAACATTCCAAGGGGTACCTTACCAAATCTTTGACCATGCCTTCTATCTGTTCCTGGGCCACATTGACATCCTCTGTAGGGCCCTCCAGGGTGATCTTGTCTTCGCCCTCTGTGAACTCGATGTGAACCTACCACACCAAAACCAAAGAGATAGCTAAAACAGAATGGCACAGCTGCAGCCCCTGAGCTCCCAGTGGGAGCTCTCTTCGGAGCGGCTTCTGATCCCAAACTGCTTCACATAGATGTGAGGGAGGGAGGGACATATCCACAGCCATCAAACAAAGTTGAAAGGGAGGGTTAGGGAGCCATAGTCAGGAAACTAAATACTGTGGCCGAATAATCCTGCCTCTCACTAAGGACACCGTTTGCCCCACAGAAGCCACTAACATAAAGCATGCGACATGCGACATGCTCCTCCACCATCTGAACTTTTACAAGGCCTGGTCCTCTTGAGTTGCATAAAGAATGAGACAGAGCACGGATGGAATTTTAAAACTCGTATAGCTGTACCAAGGTGGTAAAGTAACTTGCTTGACATAGACAAGGCTGCCAGAGTTCCTGGTTTATTATCCTCCAGGTAAGGAGTTAAGGAAGGCAGACTGGTCCTTATATGAAGCTATACAAAGTAAAAGGGGCTGGGCACAGTGACTCACACCCATAACCTCAATATTTTGGGAGGCTGAGGTAGGAGGACTACTTGATCCCACGAGTTCGAGATCAACCTGGGCAACTAGTAAGACTCTGCCTCCACGAAAACTAGCCTGGGGCGCCTGTAGTGCCAGCTACTTGGGAAGCTGAGACGAGCGGATCACTTGACCCATGAGTTCAAGGCTGCAGTGAGCTATGACTGCGCTACTGCACCCCAGCCTGGGTGACAGAGTGAGGCTTTGTCACTAAAAAAAAGGAATAAAATAAAAAAAATTTAATTTTTAAAAAGGACTGTAACATTAATTGGAAACAAAGTTTAAATAAAACAGGAATTAAATATGATGGTTGGATTCTCTGGTATTTCTTTTTTGTTCATGTTTCCTGGGGGCTACAATCTCCTTTGGTAAACTGAGAACGCTTTAAATTCACACTTAATACAATTTGTATACAAGTTCTGCTCTTCAAAGTATTTTTTTTTTTTTTTTGAGACAGAGTCTCGCTCTGTCGCCAAGGCTGGAATGCAGTGGTGCCATCTCGGCTCACTGCAAGCTCCACCTCCCGGGTTCACGCCATTCTCCTGCCTCAGCCTCCCAAGCAGCTGGGACCACAGGTGCCCGCCACCAAGCCCGGCTAATTTTTTGTATTTTTAGTAGAGTCGGGGTTTCACCATGTTAGCCAGGATGGTCTCGATCTCCTGACCTCATGAGCCACCGCACCCGGCCCGCCAAAGTATCATGAAGTTATTTCACCATAATTACTAAATGACATGTTTCTTAAGATACTTATGAAACCTAAGAACATACAATCCTCTCTGGTTAAAGGCCAGAAGGATGGTACAGACATCTACAGACATTTATTCTGCTGTTCTTTAAGCTAACACGGAAGTTGACCATGTCAAACAGGCCAGTTAATTCAGAAAAATACACCAGTTTTCAAGGGCATCCACAGTACAAAGGTCAACAAAGCAATATCAGAAACAGAAAGACAGAAAACAAGACAAATTCAATACAACAGGTGAAAAACGTGTCCTTACCTTTGGCATCTGCTGAGTGATTTTGGCCAGGTTCTGCCCTTTCTTGCCAATGATGAAACGGTGAAGCCAGGAAGGGGCGGCGACAGAGGAGACGGTGAAGCTATTGGCCTAAGAAAATGGGAGAACAGCCATGGGTTTGCAGAGCTCAAGGTCGTGTCACAGTGAAAGCCAGGCTGCTCACCTGGGGCTCAGAGGCACGCTCTCCCCAAACCTGGGCACCTGCACTGTGTCCAGGCCCCAGGATTTACAAATCGAGAGCTCATCCATGAAGGCCCCGCGGACTCCACTCAAAGGAGACACACTTCATGCTCGGAGGCAGTTACCTTGGCATAGACTTCAGTCAACGCCTGACCTAACTTTTCAGGTTCGCCTCGAAGTATTACAGTCTCAGAGATGCTGTCTGAGGGTGGGATCTCAACGGAAACTCCAGTTCTCTCAAGGATCTCCTGCAATGAATTGCCCTTGGGCCCAATGACATACTTGTGTTGGGATTTCTTCACTTCCACTGCAATGGTTGTAGTCTTCTTTTTCTAAATAAGAGCACCATAAGGGGCAGTCAAAGGGAAAGGTGTGGGAAGCGGGCAGGTGGGCATGGCCACTGCTGCAGAAAGCAAGCCAAAGCGGCCCAGACTATAGATGCTGATCCCAAGAAGTGAACAACAAGTGATCAGGACTAGCCAATCCCCAGAAACTTCACTGTTCAAGGACTGGATTTTTCCCCTCAGTCTAGTCACCCGCCGGCTGATAACTTCGTCCTTGAACACTGCAAAACACCCAATCCTTTCCCTCAATTAAGGAACACGTTTCAGACCTCAAAGTTCACTAAGCTGAGCTAACAGCTTAATCTAAGACGTGAACAAGTCCGGGATGTGCATCTGACCCGGGGCAGCCCAGCTGGCAGCCTGTCAGCACAGTCAGAGGCCCAGGACGGCAAGGACAACTGCCAGGCAGATGCTCAACAGCAAGGGGGGGCGGGCACCGATCTCACCCGGGTCACTCAAGTGTAGAGACAATAAGCATCTTCATCAAGGACAAAAAGATAAGGGGCAGAACCAGGCCTTAACTGAATCTCCAGACCCAAATCCTCATTTCTATTCCTGCCCATGGGGATTTGCCTCCTCTAAATCGTGTACCTTCTCCTCATAAATCTTCTTGATGCGAGCCACAGCCTGAGCCAACTGTTCCTTCTCTCCAGTGAAGACAATCTCTGTCCGGTTCACGCTGGGTGGGGGGATGTTGATGCGCGTGCCTGTCTCCTGCATGATCTCGCCAACCAGTCTATTATACGGCCCAGCGATGAAGGGGTGGAATGCCTTTTCTACTTCTAGCCTCTCCACAGCACGTTTGTCCTGGAAAGGAAGGGATGATCTGATGAGAACAGGCCTTTGAAAACAAACTGGGGACAGACAGGGCTTTTTAGAGTTGGAGTCAAGCCCTCCACCCCCACCACATTATGCCTTGAAGTCCACACTGGACACGGCAACCCATGAGGGAGTGAGGTCTGCACAAGCAGGTAGGCAGGGGCACGAGGCACTCACACAGGCCTCACCTGCTCGGCAGAGATGAGTAAGACTTCATGGCGAGCTTTCTCGATGCCCTCTTTGGTGCCAGTGATCTTGATCTGATTGCTGGGGTCATCTGGGCGTGGGATCTGGATTTTGGTTGCAGTTTTTAGCTCCAAGTCTTGCAGTTTCTCTCCATTTTTGCCAATAACAAAGCGATGGTGTTCTTTGGGAATGGCAACAGTTGCTGAGGCCTATAGCAAGAAGAGAATAAAAGAAAACAAGAATATTTGTAGGTTCTGAAGGAGCATATTTTTCCAAGACATTCTGGCAGAAACACCATCTTTGCTTATTCCTGCCCAGCAGCACCAACTCATCCATTAAAACAGCATGAGCTTAAACATCACATGCTTGGGGAAGGTTGCCCTGACTCCCAGGTTAGGGTAAGTTCGAGTGTATCTGCACCACTACTTAACATCCACTGGAATATACACCCACAAAGGGAGACAAGAGTTAACATCCACAAAAGCTGGACAGGAAGAAGCATGACTGCATATCCAGAAACCCTGAAAAAACTACTGGGTGAAATTCTATTTATAGCAAAGAGAAAAGACTGAAATCAAGAAGTTAACAACATTAACTTCCACAAACAACAACTACTTAGAAGATGTAATGAAAGAGATGCGTTTCTTTTTTTTTGAGACGGAGTCTCGCTCTGACGTCAGGCTGGAGTGCAGTGGTGCCATCTTGGCTCACTGTAACCTCTGCCTCCTGGGTTCAAGGGATTCTCCTGCCTCAGCCTCTCGATTAGCTGGGACTACAGGCGTGCGCCACCATGCCCAGCTAATTTTTATATTTTTAGTAGAGGCAGGGTTTCACCATGTTGGCCCCGATGGTCTCGAATTCCTGACCTTGTGATCCGCCCACCTCAGCCTCCCAAAGTGCTGGGATTGCAGGTGTGAGCCACTGCGCCTGGCCAAAAGATGTGTTTCTAATAGAAAAAAGGAAAAAAGAAAAAAGGACAAGAAAATAGCAAGACACAAGCCCAACACAAGGTGGAGTATGTGCATTCGAAATTAGAAAACACTCCTTAAAATAGCTAACAGAAGGTTTAAGTAGATGGCGATCATCCCAATTAACTTTAAAATATTAATACAATTTCAAACAGTTGATTATAAAGGTTGTAACACAGAACCAACAAAAATGAACAAGAAAACCCTGAAAAAGAATAGTGCAGGGTGGAGGTGTTAACAGTGGTCCTAGACATTAAACATGAAACCATTATCATTAACACAGGAAATACCAGTATACGGAAAGACCTGCTGGTCTGAACTGAAAACCCAGAAACAGAGCTAAGTTAATATAAACATTTAGGACATGATAAAAGCAGCCACTCAAGTTCACTAGAGCAAAACGTCTTTTCAAGACAGTGATGGCACGCCTGTAATCCCAGCACTCCGGGAAGCCGAGATGAGAGGATTGTTTGAGCCCAGGAGTCCAAGATCAGCCTGGGCAACATGGTGAGACCTGACTTCTACAAAAATTTTAAAAATAAGCTGGCCAAGGCCAGGCGCAGTGGCTCACGCCTGTAATCCCAGCACTTTGGGAGGCCGAGGTGGGTGGATCACGAGGTCACCAAAAATACAAAAATTAGCATGGTGGCAGGCGCCTGTAATCCCAGCTACTCGGGAGGCTGAGGCAGGCGAATGGCGTGAACCCGGGAGGCGGAGCTTGCAGTGAGCCGAGATCGCGCCACTGCACTCCAGCCTGGGCGACAGAGCAAGACTCCGTCTCAAAAAAAAAAAAAAAAAAAAAAAAAAAATTAGCTGGCCATGGTGACGTGTGCCTGTGGTCCCAGCTACTGGGGTGGCTGAGGCAGGAGAACTGCCTGAGCCTAGGAGGTTGAGGCTCCGGTGAGCCGTGATCATGCCATGGCACTTCAGCTTATGTGGCAGGCTGAGACCCTGTGTTACAACAAACAAAAAAATAGTGCTGACAACTCGAAAGCCGTATGGAAAAAAGTGAAACTCAATCAGTGCCTCAACCCTATTTGCAATAAATTCCAAATAGATCAGAAACTGAAATGTAAGAACACATTTACAAGCAGCAGAAGAAAAGATAAACTTTCTTATGACCTGATAGTGAAAAAACTTTCCTAACAATGACTCAAGATAATAAAAAATGCAAGTGGCCCTTATATATTGAAAAGGTGCTCAATCTTGCTCATCAGAAAAATGCAAATTTAAAGTATATTTGGTTGCCTCTCACATCGGCTAAAACCCAAGAATGTGAAGAGCCTGGCTCTTGCATACTGCTGATGAGACGGCAAAACACTAATTCCTAAGGAAGGAAATTTAGCATCCGATGGCCCGATTCCACATGCAGCCACCCTCTGACCCAGCCATCTCACTTCTAGGAATCTATCCCAAGATACACTGGGTAAAACAGGAAATAGCATATGCACACGATTGCTACTGTAACATAATTTGTAACAGCTAAAGTCTGGAAACTACCCAAATGCCCATCAGTAGGAAAGCCTGGGTAAATTACAGTACGCCCACAGAATATTACACTGCTGAACAAAGAAATGAGAAAAATCACTACTTACTGATATGCAGACACCTCCAAAAAATAATAAAAGAAAAAAAGCAAGGCATAGAACAGGGTGTATGGCAAGCTGTATTTTGCTTCTGCTCTCAAACAACAAACAACAAAGGATAAACCAGGACCAGGAATGGCCGCCTGCAAAGGTGAGGAGGGAGCAGGGTGAAGGTAACAGGCAGGGGAGATTTCTCTGAAAGTACTTTATTATATAACGTTGACTTTGCAAGCATGTAAATGTTGAAATACTTTAAAAATTGACAGTAAATGGAAACAAATGTACCTAACTATATCAAGATGACAGAAAAACTCAGAAAAAAGGAATTACTTCAAGTGATTTTGAACTCATGATTTTCCTTTTCTGGGACTCTGTCACCCAGGCTGGGCTGTGGTGGTGCAAACACTGCTCACAGAAGCCTCCACATCCCAGGCTCAAACAATCCTTTCTCCTCAGACTTCTAAGTAGCTGGGATTACAGGTGAGCACGCCACCACTATTTTTTGTAGAGATGGGGTCTGACCATGTTGCCCAGGCTGGTCTCAAATTCCTGTGCTCATGCAATCTGCTCACCTCGGCCTCCCAAAGTGCTAGGATTACAGGCGTGAGAGTCACCGCCTGCTTTTCCTTTCTTAAAAGTACAATTATCCTAGCTCTGTCTTCTGAAAAAGCCTAGAAGCTCTGACAACCTAGTTGCGACGTGCACCTATGGAGACTGGAGTCTCCAACTGCAATTTCCTACTCAAAAGGTTCAGAGTTCAGAGAGAAACAGCTGACTCAAGGTCTGTGGAAGGAAATATGTAAGATTAGCCTGAGGCATCTTTCTGTGTTAGAAATTAAGAAGTTATTTATTTATTTATTTATTATTTTGAGACAGAGTTTTGCTCCTGTTGCACAGGCTGGAGTGCAATGGCATGATCTTGGCTCACTGCAACCTCTGCCTCCCGGGTTCAAGTGATTCTCCTGCCTCAGCCTCCCAAGTAGCTGAGATTGCAAGCACCCACCGCCACGCCTGGCTAATTTTTTTGTATTTTTAGTAGAGATGGGGTTTCGCCATACTGGCCAGGCTGGTCTCAAACTCCTGACCTGAGGTGATCTGCCCGCCTCAGCCTCCCAAAGTGCTAGGATTATAGGCGTGAGCCACTGCACCTGGCCAGAAGGTATTGATATTAATAGGTCATGACAGAAAGCTGCAGGGAACAAAACTGAAAGGAGGGGACCCACTGGCCAAAGATGAAGCAGCTCCAGCATGAAGAATGATGGACAATGCCTGAGTTCATAATGACACTAAAGAGAGTCACTGATCAACACTGAAGTCGCCGGAGCGCCAAAGAATCGATTATTTATCTGGTACTTCCCACCCAACTGCTGATGAAGAAAAATTCTTCTTTACAAGAATTATCAACTAATGTATGAGCAGGGAGAGAATTAGAAAAGCATAATTTGCAACCCTTAACGAATTTGGGCAATCACCAATTGATAGTAAAATGATTACACAAAGCACTGATAGGGAACTTTACAAGGGAAGACCCAGACCTGAGCCTAATGATCAATCTCAAAATCAGTTCAAAGCAGAACAACCAGCTATCACAGCACAGACTCAGCACCACCTACAGGGTCTTCTTGCCCAACAAGCTGACTGTGGAAGTAACCAAGCCCCTAGAGATCTAACACCAGTTCACCAAAAATAATCAGTCAATAGCAGAACCAAAAACCTACGGTCCCCACTAATCAATGGCATTAAAAAAGGGGAGGATTGGCTGGGCGTGGTGGCTCACACCTGTAATTCCAACACTTTGGTAGGCTGAAATGAGTGGATCATTTGAGCCTAGGGGTTTGAGACCAGAGTGGGCAACATGGTGAAAACCCGCATCTGCCAAAAAACAAACAAAAAAAAAGCCGGGCCTGATGGTGCATGCCTGCAGTCTCAACTACTTGAAGGGCTGAGTCAGGAGGATCACTTGAGCCCAGGAGGTCAAGGCTGCCATGAGCTGTGTCTGCACCACTGCACTCCAGCCTGGGCAACAAAGTGAGATCCTGTCTCAAAAAAAAAAAAAAAAAAGGGGGTAGGAGGGAGTAAGCACTGTTAAAGAATGAGAGACAGGACTCTATAATCAAATGCAACATTGTGACCTTGTTTGGACACTGACTTGAAAAGACCAACTGAAAGAAACATCTTGGAGATGATGAGGAAAGTCCAAACAGAGACTGGGTTAAAAAGGTATAATATTAAGAAACCACTATCAATATGATTACATGAGTTAGGAGCACAATGACTATATATATGTATACATGAAAACGGGAAGATCTGAACTAAGGCACAATAATGTATCTGGGATTTGTCTGAAGATAATTGAGGAGTAGGAGAGTGTCAGGGGTCAATGTCTTCATTCTGATCCATATATTCAGTGAAGTGGCCCTTTCCCCTACAGTGTTGATTACAAAACAGAAGCTCAAATATCCACTGACTAGCAGACACCTGGAAAACTTTCAGAGCCTATTATGCACTGGCCACCATGCTGGACAATTATAAGCAACACTTTCACCTTCCTAACACTTAATGGTTTAACTCCATGAAGCCAGCTGGGGTTGGGGACTGTCCCGATGCCCCCATGTGGTTAAGTGGCACAGCTGGACCTGCATTAGGTGGCACTCCTCTGCCTCGCCTCCTGGCTACACCCTGCACTCCTACCCCTCAGGCCCTCTCCCATCAAATCCCCATCGTCCAATCACCATGCTCCAGGGTGCTCCAGATCCAGCTCCCACAAGATCAAGGAGACTCAGTAGCAGATGGGAAGAACCCCCATTCCTAAATAAGCCTATCTAGTACAACAGCAGTCACGCAACACTTTAGTAAGATTCTTTACATTTTTCTTGGTCTTTAAGTGCTACCACTTAGGGAGAAATGCATCAGAGATTTGCTTATTACAAATGTTCTTAAATAAAGTCCAAGTACTGGCATCAGACTGCCAAAGACGAGGAAACTGGCTTAAAACAGAATTTGAACTTGTAATCTCCTCAATTTGGGGCCTGGAAATGTGTAGTTAGTGAACATACTAGCAAAGCAATGGGAACCACCCATCTTTACCATTCAGCAAGCCCAGCTTCTTTTAAGTGTCTCAAACTCTGGGACAAGCTTCTAATTTTCAGTTTGGCCAGATGTGGTGGTGTGCCTGTAATCCCAGCTAACTGGGAGGCTAGGTGGATTGCCTGAGCCCAGGAGTTTGAGGCCACAGTGTACTATAACCACACTTGTGAATAGCCACTGCACAAGAGCCTAGACAACAAGGTGAGACTCTGTCTCTTAAAAAAAAAATTATTATTACTTTCAAGTTCATTCACTCAAAGAGCAAAAATGGTAAGTGTCCCAGTTCTATTATTAGTTTAGTGAGTTTTTCCACTAAAAATGCCAGAGGACTCTGAATGTTGCTGTCCTACCTCCAAAAGACGGAACTGTCCCACTGGTAGGAAGGGTCCAGTGACGTTCTAGCCTGCATCAGGAGCCGGGTAATGGAACGGGTACACAGTCACTGGGGAGAAGTAGGCCTCAGGCTACCCACCTGAGTCTGCAGTCTAGCAACAATGTCCTTCCGAGCTTTCATGACAGCATCCAGCTTTCCTGACACCATGATGGAGAGGCCTTGGTCTTTGGCCAAAGACAGCTCCAAGTGAGCACCAGTTCTCTGCATGATCTCAAGGCAGATTTTTGCTTGTTCACCTTCTCCAAACTGGTTCATATCCTTGTATTTTCTCTCCTCCAGGGGTACATGGAACACCTGCTCAAAAAAGATCAAAAAAGGAAAGGTTAAGAGATTAAAAGAAGGCCAACAGATAGGGAGTAAAGAACATGTGTTCATCACCATCCACTCACAAAGCAGCCCCACCCTGCCCACAGGCACTGCTCGAAGCCCTGGGATAAAGCAGCCGAAAGACAAGGAGAAAGGGCCAAGGTCAAGAGGCTGACATCCTAAGGAGAGAACCACATCAGCTGCACAAATGAATGAGGCAGCTAGCAAGTGCTGTGATGAAATCAACAGGGGCAAGAGAGTTTGAGAGAAAGTGGGAGGTGGACCCTGGGGACGGCCAGGAAACACCGTCCTGAAGCACGAGGCAGCTATCCATGTTAAGAGGTGAGGGAACTAAGGGTGTACAGGCAGGAAAGCGGAGGAGGTGGATGGGGGCGGAGCCTGGTGCACACACCAGAGGGGGACAGTGAAGAGGATCACCCATCCCACCCTGTAGTAAAAGTCAACACAGGCTTTTCAGCAGGAGGCATTCTGCTTGATGGTGCAGGGTCCCTCCCGTTGCTTTATGGAGAAGAACTGAGGAGGGACAAGGTGGAAGCAAGAGGGATCAACTACCCTGGTGTGAGACCACAGTCACCAAGTAGACAGTGGTACATTTAACAAAACCATTAACAAGATAGCAGACAGGTGAAAATGGAAGGATTGGGATGCAACTGTTTATGAGCCTAAAATTCAGGGAAGACACTGGCAGCGAGATAGTAATTTTCCACCATGACCAGATGATATGAATTTATATAAAAGTTTTGAAACTCACTAACATCTCAAATTCAGGTAGCAGAGAGAAGGGCTACTGAAGCCAAAGAAAACCAGGAAACTGGTTAACCTCTTCGAGAAAGCAGGATAATGAATAGAGAACAGAAAACAGGACCCATTCATCTGACAAACACTGCCTGCAAAACGACCACGTGCCTGTCCTACTGAGTGCTAGCATACAGGGTGGACATGAGAGAAGTGGTCGACAGAAACATCTCTGGGGTGGGGGATGATTTAAATTGAAGGCCTTCTCCCTTTAGCTACTCAAAGCATTCTCAATCTTGCACATTCAGAAACTCTTCCATCAGATTCTACGCTTGGAAGGATAGGTTAAGAAAGAACAGCAATTAATTTTTAAAAATTTAAAAAACTGGCCGGGCGCGGTGGCTCATGCCTATAATCCCAGCACTTTGGGAGGCCGAGGAAGGCGGATCACGAGGTCAGGAGATGGAGACCATCCTTGTTAAGATGGTGAAACCCCGTCTCTACTAAAAATACAAAAATTAGCCGGGCGTGGTGGCGGGCACCTGTAGTCCCAGCTACTCGGGAGGCTGAGGCAGGAGAATGGCGTGAACCCGGGAGGCGGAGCGTGCAGTGAGCCGAGATCGCACCACTGCACTCCAGCCTGGGCGACAGAGCGGGACTCTGTCTCAAAAAAAAAAAAAAGAAAAAAAATTTAAAAATTTACATAGACATGTTACATGATAAAATTTTTAAAAGAAAGAATGGTGTTTCTACCTGAGTGATGACAGAAGCCTTGATGGGTCGGATCTTGTTCCCCCAGGCTCCAGCGGGTTCCTGGGCACTTTCCAGGCAAGCAGCTTTCTCAGGAAGTGGAGGGAAGGCATCCTTGTAGGTTGGAGGGTCGCTCTCCTCTTCTGAATTTAGAGTGGCAACTGGACCAGCCAACACAGATTAAAAGGAAGCACTACTTTTAGCATTACATGAAAAACACTTTTAAGGGTTTTAGTGCTTAAAAACAGACAAACAAGAACCATCAAATGCTCCAAGGACAACTCCCCCCACCCCTCTCTTCTAATTCATAGTGATAGGAAAAGGCCCCAGGAGGTCACCAGGCCCAGCACCCTGAGTGTGAGAGCTAGAGGAGGCCAGAGACTCCCAGTCTCTGACAGCGAACCTACCCCCATCCACATGGCCTCCTTGGTAAACATCAGCTCAGACATTGTGAGCCCCACTCCCCTAACGGGGTGAGTCCCTTGAAAGCAAGCCTTGCTACGTCAATTTTTAAGTCCTCTAGAGTCTAATAACACACTTAAAAAAATCACAACTATGGCAATGCCAGGCACAGAGCAGACCCCTGCATTTGCAAAACAATGGTCCTACCCAGCACCACCTGTGAGAATTGCCTTTGAAGCAAACTCTGATTTTCCACTGTAACATACAAGGTTAAAAATGATTGCCGTGGAGGCCGGGCGTGGTGGCTCACACCTGTAATCCCAGCACTTTGGGAGGCCGAGGCAGGCAGATCACCTGAGGTCGGGAGTTCGAGACCAGCCTGACCAACATGGAGAAACCCTGTCTCTACTAATAATACAAATTAGCCAGGTGTGGGTGGTGCATGCCTGTAATCCCAGCTACTCGGGAGGCTGAGGCAGAACAATCGCTTGAACCCGGGAGGCAGAGGTTGCAGTGAGCCAAGACTGCGCCATTGCACTCCAGCCTGGGCAACAAGAGCAAAACTCCGTCTCAAAAAAAAAGACTGCAGTGGCAATTGTCACCGCTGATCTCCCCCTGCCCTGCCCAAGGCAGAGGACAGCAAGGCTTGTGGAAATCAGGTTCCCTGATTATCATCACTTCCATCTTCCATAGTGCCCTATTTGTTCATGTGTTTGTGCCATTAGCCACAATCTCCATGAAATCAAGGGTGTGACTGTTTTGGATAACCCAAATCCCCAGGACTGAGCATGGCGTCTTGGCAATAGCAAGGCCCAGTGAAAAACACCATGAATGGATGTGACAGAGAACAGGGGGATGATCTCTGGAATCAGACAGGCTCATGCCCAAGTCCAGGCCCATCGCTTCCCAGCTGCATGCCCATCTACCCGACAGCGCTGACAGGACAGGTGGAAGCATTCTTTCAGTGCCGTCTTCCCTCTCTAGAAAGGGAAACACAGACTTCACAGGGAAGCTGGCTCCAGGAGGAGGATCCCAGGCCCCCAGAACAAAGCAGCTTCTCGGGTTCCAACACCTGACACAGCAGCCACCAGAAATGAGCTTCTGAAATGTGGCTAGTGTGACTAAGGAAAAGTTAATTTTATATTTTAATTAATTTTAAGAACTAATACTCAATTTAGTTATTGGAAAACTTTTAAGTGTGTTTCGAACAACCTGGAGTAGAACAATCTGCTCTTTCAAATGAAGATTTTATAACATCTAAACACAGATCAAGGATTTTGGATGAAAATCTGGCATTCAAATGGAAGGAAATGTCCCACCGTTGTAAATACACATCAGACTTCGAAGAGAAATAATCTCAAATATCAATGGTTCCCCCCCTTTTTTTTACATTAGAGATGTTGAAATGACAGTGTATTAGACATATTGGGGTAAAATATCAAAATTAATTTCACCTGTTCCCTTTTAATAAGTACCAGAGAATCCTAAAAATTGTACACGTGGCTTGTAGTCTATTCTACTGTACAGCACTGCTCTTAATCCCAGCCAGTGGCGTTCGAGAACTCCGAAGCCAGGGTCCAGCCTTCATCCTCAAGGCAGGCTTAAGCAATGCTCTGGGATGCTTCAGAGCCCAGATTTTAGTTTACCACAATTAGGAAAAAGCAGTTTTGAAAAGGACTGCATTAATTACCAATGGTCAAATTCGCTGGCTTTCCAGAAAGCTGCCCACATGTTAAATCTCACTGTACTTGATTCATTTCCTCATGCCTGGCCAGTCGCCCCTGCACGCACAGCAATGCGAAAACAGTGCACAAGATGTTGGACCCTCCCTGCCCCACAACCACAGGGCCAAAAGGTACTTCTAGAAAGGGCATGGGATTTGGTAAAGGCTTTAGAGGGAGCAATGCCTTAGACATTACCAGGAAGAGCACATAAAAGGGCTGTCACCTTTGATTTGTTGCGGAACCAGCCCACTTCGGTGTTCAGCAAAACTCTCTTGGGTCAAAACTGCAACGGAACTCATGGTTGATCTCACACCTACACACAATCCGGGAAAACCACTAAAGCAAAGAAGAATAAATCAGAAGTCAAAGTACAACCCTCAATTATCTATGAGATTGTTAACCTAAGAGTTTTAGCAAAGTTTTACTCTCTTTTTTACCAGCAAACTATACCTTTTTATTTTCCTCACAACCTCTGATGTAAGCTGATACCCAAACTCTCACCAAGTGATAAAAAGGGGGGAAAATGCAAGTAAAGGAGGTCCTAGAACAGGGGTGGCCAATCTTTTGTCTTCCCTGGGCCACAATGCAAGAAGAATGATCTTGGGACACACATAAAATAAACTAATGATAGCTAATAAACAAACAAAAACAAAACAAAACAAACAAAAAAAAACCTCATGTTTTAAGAAAGTTTAAGAAATTTGTGTTGGGCCATGTTCAAAGCTGTCCTGGGCCTCGGGTTAGACAAGTTTGTCCTAGAACAGCTGGTTAACTGTCCCCTCAAAAGTTGCCTGTAATGGAGGAGCTCATCCTCCACTTGGGGCAGTCTGCATCCATTTCTCCACCCCAGGGGCCACAGAGACACAGTCAACACCACCCCTAACCGCAGGGGTGGGGGGACCATGGAACCTGCCACCTGCCTGACCCAGGCTCCAGGCATAGATCAACACCAGGATCGTTCTCCTAACAGCGACCTTGGTTATTCTGTCAATTTGCTCACCACACACCTCTTAATGCTTACAAAATGCATCATGACAGTTGCTACAAAAAGCCAGCGGTCTCTCTCTGCAAGGTGCATCCAGGCCCCAAACTAAACCACCTCCAAATCTCGACTTAACCAGGTGGTTATAAGTGGTAGCTGCGTGACAGGAAAAAGCAGCCTCAGTGCTTTGTAGCAACAGTAACAGACCCACAAATTGCGCTAAATGCCCTTGATCCACACTGACTGGTTATTCTCCCATCCCTCCAGGTGTGGGACAGAACTCGCACAGCAGGGGAAACCTGGCCCAAGGGCGCTGAGTTTCTCATTAGCACAGCCACAGTGCTCAGCGGGATATGGGCTCCGAAAGCCACAGCTCCCTTATGTGAAAAATGGGGTACATTCAGCATTCTGAGGTAGGAATGTTAGCTTCCTCTCCTTCCCTCTCCTTCCCTCTCCCCAGTTCCAGGTGAGCTCCAAACTACTACAGTGAGGAAGAACCCATTTTCTTTACACAATTACGCATCAATTACTCGCACAACAAGGCCAAGTAATAAGGAGTGAATTTTGCATAATTTTTATAACATAATTAAGACCTCTCCCCAAGTTGAAGAAAAGTTAAGGCCTGCAATCCTAAAGAGAAGCAAGACCCCAATTCAGATAATACTGAATAAACATAATTCACATTTAAGAAATAAAAGATTAAAAACAGACGGAAGCCAGATGACACATCTAAGGGACACACGTCTATAGATGGTTCCTGCTGGGAGGTGAAGCTATGGAGACATCTCTGACGAACCACGAGAAACTTGAAGGTGTGATATAAAGAAAGAAGGTACACACAGGACTAAGAAAATACGCATCCCTGCGCCCCCAGGTCCACACACAGCCCAGGGACAGGAAGTCTTCAGACAGGGTCAAACTTACCAGCAAAACGGTCAGTAGCCAGAAGGTCCGTCCTGAGGCCGCCTCTGTCAGCCTGCCAGCTTTTGCTGGTATGGGATGGGAAGTGGGAGAGGAGAGAGAGGAAACCAGAGAAAAGTTACTTATCTACATTTTACAACTCAGATCTTTTTACCTCAAAATCAGAAAAGGTCAAGATATTTATGCTTTGGTTACTAACACCAATACTCAGGCAAGTTTCTTGGAAGAAAAAAAAAACGTTAGCTTGAAACAAAACATATTAAAACAAAACATGAACCAGCTCCAACTTGCAGAGGACAACTATTCCAGGGACCTGAGGGAGTGATCTTTTAAGTGCCAAACTTCTAAACTTAACTATTTTGAAGTAAAATCCTCACAGAACCACTGGTGCTCTCCTGCATGGCTGGATCATCTTTCCCGTACCCCACATAACCGCTGGGCGGCTGAACCAGAAGAAGGGTTGTTGTGCTGGGCTCTGACCTACAACAGAATGTGGACCTCGGGGTCTCTGCAGCGCTTATGGTGACCAAGAGCTACCGTCTTCAAGAATTCTCCGTCTATTTTGCAGTTACTTTGTTCTTCTTGCTGTTAGCCTGTAAAAGTCCTTCAGTCCTTTCTAATCCACTGGGGATCTAGAAACCAGGTCATGAAATCGCAGGATTGAAAGGAACCTTCAAAGGCTGTCTGGGGAGGACCAAGAACTCTGTGAAGTAGGAGGGTGAGTCACCTTGCCTTAGGGGACTCTGGAGATGGGAGGCTGGCGACCACATGTGCTCCTCAACCATGAAAAGGTGGAACTGCTGACAGGAGTGAGGCATGTGTCTAAAATGGGAAAAGCAATGACAGTAACAGGAACACCCCACTCAACTGGAGAAGACTACTCGTACCGTGACAATAATCTTGCCCTTACGACACATGGGTCCGGAGCTGAGAAGGCGGTTCATGGCAATGGGGGAGCATCCAGTAGACTGGATTAAAGGGTCTCGCCTTTCCAGCAGAGGATGTGGACTGGTGGTATTTCTGGATTCTAATCTTGGTCATGAGTTTTTTAAAAACTCTAAATACAGGGCTTGAGTCACACAGGGAACCTGCCACAAACCAGAGACACTATGGGGCCCCAGATGCACCAGACACACAGATGTACCCCAAGACTGAAGGGGAAAGCTGGGACAAACTGATCAAGAGTATTCCATTTAAAAGCATCACCAAAATTCTAGTTTGCAAGTTTTAAAGATTAAAGTAAGAAAATTTCTCCAAAGTGTCAGATTAGCACATTCACAACTCGGCAAGAGCTCCTTGAGATTCCAAGTGTCTGTCCAGTCTGGGAGCAAAACAGGGCAGGGCACTCCAGGCTAAGGTGCCCCAACAGGTGTCCAGTGACACTTGCCTCTGGTCTCCCGCATCCACCCTCCGCCCTCCCACGCTTGCTTGCTGACTCTCACCTGGCATGGTCTCTCACTCAAGGTTGTCCCGGGCTCCAATGTCACTTCTTAAACCCAGACACCCACCCCCTTATCAAGCTAGGTTCTGGGCAAGTCTCTAGTGCCCAGTGACAGCCACACTAGAAGTCTGCAAAATGCAGTTCCGTCCATGTCAGCCCGCACCGACTCTCCAGCACGGAGCTGTGATGAGCCAATCCCCACTGTGCACCCAGTGTCAGTCTCTTCTGAGACCACTCACACACCCTTCAGAAGCCAAGTCCAGCCGGACCCTATACTGAAAGGAGTCTCAACATAAGGGAACCTACTCCTGTGTCTGAGGGAGACCCTGGAGCAGAGCCTCTCATGTTCCTCAGGCGTGCACAGACCCTCAGGCAGCCAGGTAAGGCAGAAGGCAGACCTCCAGAAAACTCCAGACTGGTTTGACAGGCTATACTGGGTCCCTAGCCTCCAGATTCCAAGTGGCAGTTTGTCAGAGCGTGTAACGAATGGTTCACAACTAGAGACACATTTAACATCTAGGGTTCTGGTATCATCAAACAACATTTTGTTTTTCTTCTAAACAACTCAAAAACCTGTTTTCGAAGACTGCGTTTTAAGCAAGCATTTGATGACCCACATGTAAATGCAGACCCTGTCCCCACCTGAAATTCTGGGTGAGATTTTCTTAAAAGTCAGTCTCATTCTCCTTCTGTGCTCCCAATCCAGTGAGGCACAGCCCAGGGGTCCACCTGCCTCTGGTTCAACAAAGCAGCACCTAAGAAGCTGACCCTACAGCCCCATGTCCACCCCGCACTGCTACGCCCTGCTCCTGGCTCTGCCTTCACAGACAACACCCACGAGGGTTTAATCCTGTTCCATGTGGATCTTTCAGCAACCCCAGGACAGCGCCAGGCAACTCCACTTGCTATCTGAAGTTCCCAGGATACCTTGGGCAGGCCTAGATACCCAAGAACAGAGGCTAACATCGGGTATCTCAGATTCTCACTGGATCTAACAGTACTGTCCAAATCAGGATTGAAAGGAACCTCAGATATTAATCTAATCCCATTTCTTAATACCACCAGGGACAGGAAATTCATGGCCTTCTCAGGGCCCGGGTCCACCCCTGCATGGCTGTAAACGCTCCACCTCAAGTTATGACAAAATCTACAACTTCTTTCCCCTTTCTGGCCATGGAGAACAAGTCCGCTCTCCTCCAAGGCTCCTTCTGGTAGGTGAGCCCTATCTCCTGTCTCCTTCAGTCCCTCCCATATGGCCCCAGTCCCTTCGTGATTCTGGCTCTCCCAACTACTTTTCCCATAGGAAGCTCGGATCAATCAGTGTCCAGGTCCACCTAATGTAAACCTCAAACTATACTGAACCTGGACTTTTAATTTTGTTTCCCAGAGTGCAAACATCCAAAGCAAAAAAGGTCACATCTCAGAATTTAACTTTCAGCAAACAGAACTAGAACTAAAGGAAGGAGGGCAGGAACCAAGACCCCTTTCCGCCCTAATACGTGTAGAGCAAAACGTGGAGTCCTGACAGAGCTGTGTGTTGCGTGGGAAACCTGGTGCTTACAAGTTTAGCACAAGTCTAACAGGTTTCTGACAGCAACAAAAAAGGCTTCACATGAGGGGTTCTACTTTTTTGCTTTTAAACGAGGAAGTAATTAAGTTGATTCCCTTGTGATAAGTTTTGCCAACTACATATTCAAGGGGCAACAGTCTTCGAAGAGAATTATCAGTAATACTCCAGGAAGAATTTCATTTCAGCCTCAGTTAATGAGACCCGCAAGTGCTTTAAAGCACCAGACAGGACCGGGTATGGAGGGCACCAAAAAAGCCTCCGGCTGAAACCCAGACTTCTCCTCTTCCAAAACTAAAATTACTCAAGACCACAAACCAAAGTTCAGAATGGGAAAATAAAATCCTGATCCACTCAGAGATCACAAGATCGAAATCTAGGAGAGACCACAGGCGACTGGCGAGCAGAAGGCAGGCTCCGCTCCGCACTTCTCACCAAGTTCTGGAAGTCGGCACCCATCCTGCATGGAGGAACTTTCGCAGATGCCACCTCAGCACGGCCCTCCCACAGGCCACGAGGGCCCGCGGGCGGGGACAGGCTTAAAGGGACAGCAACCCCTCGGCCTCCCCGCCTTTCATCCAAATTCGGTACTTTTCCGTAATGTATTTTTCATCCACGACCCTGGGGCACGTCCAAGTTGCACTCCAGGCCCAAGAAGAGCAGCTTTCCCCACCCCCGAACACGTAGACTGACGCGGGCCCCGCGCGGCAGGTGGAGGTGCTGCGGGGGCCCCGCCGCCCGGTCTGCGCCCAGACCCCCGCCCCGCCGCCACCTGGGGGGAAGGACCCCGCTGGCCTCCCAGGGACCCCCACCCTGGCCGCACACGGCGCCCCCGCCGGAGCGGGGGAGGGGAGGGCCGGCCCCGCCAACGTCAGCGACCTGGGCTCAGGTCGGCCGCCCCTCCGCGCCGTGCGGCCACGGCACCAGGGGTGCCCCACCGAAGCCCCGGGAGGAGGCGGGGGAGCCCAGCTTGCAGCCAAGAGCGGCCCAGCGGCGCCACCGGACTTGAGAAAGTTTGTGCGCGCCCCTCCGCGCCACGGCCACGCGCAGAAGAGACTCGGAGCCGGCCCCAGGTCTGGCCCGGAACCGCCACGCGCGGTAAGCAGGACACCCGCGGGCGGGGGCCGCAGCCTGGGGCCCGGGTGGGGGCCGCGGCACCCGGGCCCCTCCCCCTCCGCGGCCTCCACGTCAGCAGCCACCCCCCACCCCCCCGCCCGGCAGCCCGCCCGCCCCGTCCGCCCGCCCGCCCAGGCCTCCCAGCCCCGTGTTGCGCGCTCACTCGTGGGCCCCCGCCCGCTGGTCCTGCCGCTGGCTTACTCGCCCCCCGCGCGGGAGAAGCCGGGACGCTCCGAGGCGCGGCGCCCGGGCCCCGGCTGCTATATAGGGCGGCGGCCCAATCCCGCCTGGACACGTCAGCGCCCGCCCGCCCCGCCGCTGGGGTCCCCGCCGCCCCGGGCCGCCCAGCACCCGGGAGGCCCACCCAACTGCAGGCGTGGTTCTGCATCCTTTTTTCGGGTGGGGAAGGCGGTGCCGAGGAGTTGGGAAATTAATCACCTCCAGAAAGCAGAGGGAGCGCGCCCCGCAAGAACCCGAGTGGAAACAACCGAAGACCAGAAAGGGAGCAGGAAGGACGGCTGCTCTGGAAGCAGATGTCACCAGTACCGCCCACCTCCCCAAAATCAGAAGAAAAACCTCAAAGGATGCCCACCACATCGTAAACGGATGGCCACACTGGCACGAGGTCCTACAGCGCAGTGAGGCTCCCAGGCGGCTCCAGGGCTTTCATTCCCTCATTCCTGCGTGCCTATTCCTTATGTCCCTCACTTTTATAAACTATCCCCACCCGATTCCTTGGCAATCAACTTAATCTCCCCCCCAAAATGTAAAATCCCCTTCCTTTAAAGCGTGTATTACTTATGGCTCCATCTCTACATAGATGTATACACGCAAAAGAACCGGTGTGTGGCCTCTGAGCCCACGGTGGATACGCAGGACTGGGCGGAACGGAATCCCTACTCTCGGGGTCTCCACCCTCCGGGAAGGACTTGTCACTTCTGCATCCATTGTGTTTACTAAGTGATAACTGCCACTGTTTCTTTTAAGGGTATAAAGGGAGTCGAGCAATCTGTAGAGATGTCAGTCTGAACCTCTGGCAAAGTCGCAGGTCAACAGAATCCTGCATAGGGCACAGGATCAACTACAGGTATCTGGGGACAAGACCGTCCCACACAGGGGAAGAGGTAGGGGCACACCCAGCCTTACCCAGGGAATGGGGTCAGGTCCGCACAGCCTGCAGCCAGGCCACGGGTGCTGTTGAGGATGGTGGGAGCTGGGTGGGGGCTGCAAGCAGCAGAAGGCAGGATCAGACGTGTTTTTTTTTTTTTCGTGGAACACTGACACTAAGTGGCAGGGGAGGGGAGGGCAGGGGAGGCCTACTATAGTTCAGTCTAAAGATGACAATGGCTTGCATTATGGTGGGCATAATGGAGGAAATAAATGGCCAGATTTGGTATATATTCAGAAAGAAGCACCAAGAAGTTCCTTATTGACCAGAAGAGGGGTGTAAAAGAAGTTAAGAAAGACACAGGTTCTTGGCCTGAGTGACTGGGAAGAGCTGCCCTCACTGAGGTGGGTAAAATTCAAGGAAGACTGGATGGATAAGGGGGTGTGATGCCCTGACTGGGCAGGTGGGGAAGTGGAGCAGGCAACTGTATGTGCAAGGTCAGGGGAAAAGCCTAGGAGCCAGCAGAAATACCATGCACTTCATGACACCACCTAGGGAGGGGAGCAGAATCACAGAAGGCAGAGAACACCTGCGGCTTGACGCAGAGAAGGAGCCAAGGATATCATCAGCAAAGCCGTGCTCTAAGTCAGCAGCACGGAACTGGGCAGGTGGGCCTCCCTAGATGTGGAAATAGGCATTCCCTTCTGTGTCACTGCTGTGGTTTGTTGGTAACCTTTCCGTGGGGATTAACCAATCAGCAACTAGTGCAAGTGTGTTTTTTGTTGCTGTTTTGTTTTTGAGGGCTCAGCACTGCAGAGGGAGATGGAGAAAGAGTAACGGGTAGGGATTCGGTCCGCTGTCAAGGAACTTCCAATAAAGCTAGGAAGTCAGCACAGGCACAGTACCTAGTACACAGGACACCGTAAAGAGTTAGTTTAAAAAACACTGTTAGCAGAAGAGATTACAAAATCATATGCTAACTTTGTGCTAATAACCGTCCAGAATGCTTCTGTGCTGATGCTCACAACCAGCATTTCCTCCCAGCAGGCTTAGCACACTGAAACTAATAAATAGTTCGTAGAAGCAAATTTTAGAAATTCCATGGCTAGCAATATTCAGACCAAATGAAGTGTGAACGTCTGTCTGTGACATTTGAGTTTTCAGCCCTCAAAGGGACGGGGGAGAAGTTTGGGTCTGCTCAAGGTAGGAGGTGAGAAGAGATACCCTCCTATTCCATAAAGTCATGATCCCCAAAAGGGCTACACTTACCAGAAGATAGGTAGATCAAAAAAAGAAGAAGAAAAGCCCACTAGTGTAGAGGGGACTACAGGATGCCTTCTCTGACTATCCTGAGCTGGCAGACAGAAGCATCTCTTGAGCTGTAGGGACAATGGACTAGTACTCTACAACCAAGCCCATTTGTCCAGGAACCCCTAGCCCAAACTGAGATATTAACAAAACAGAAAGCAATTCCCCCCCACCCCGCCTCAGGAAAGAATAAACCTCATACCAGGCTAAAAAGGATACCCACAGATCAGCACAAATGGTAGAGAGGCTAAAAGCCCAAAGCTCAAAAAGAAGGAAGGATGGATTAGAAGTAGGATTAGACTCAAGAACTTCGGGAGACAGAACTAAGATTGAGACAATAAAAAAGCATAAGAGACATAAAGGTGACATTTTAGAAAAAAAATCGAGAGATGGAACGAATGAAAGAGCTAAGAACCATGGAATGAGAAACTCTAACATATGTCTATAACTGGAGTTCCAAAACAAAAAGAGAAAAGAAAAAATCCAAAGAACAGAGAAGAAACATTTTTTAAAATAGCTGAGAAAATTCTAAGATTTAATGATACAACATTCTTCCCTCATCCCAAAAAAGACAGAGAAGGTGTCTAGCAGGATAATTTAAACTAATCCAAATCAAAACACACTACAGAGTAACCTCAGAGCACCAAAGACAAGAGCAGGACCTTAAAAGCAACTAGAGAGAAAAGACAGGTTACTCATAAAGAATACTATGAGACCAAAGGCAGACCACTTAAAACAATACATACCAGAGGATAATGGCTATATATAAATTATGGCGAAAGAAATAACTGTCAATTTGGATTTAAGAATTCTTTTTCATTTAAGAATGAGAATAGACATATTCAAAGATAAAGCAACTACTACCAATAGATCCCTGCTGACAGACCTACTAAAGGACATATTTCAGCAAGAAAATGAAAGCCAGAGAGACCAGAAAGAAGGAATACTGATAAACCAGCAACCTAGATAAAGTGAAACAAGTGGTGACCCTATACTAATATCAACAATAAAATTTGAAGGGAATTAAATTATAGATAGGTACGTAAGCAGAATATGCAAGTACAAAATAAAATAAAAGACAGAATTAAAATGCTTAGGCAGCAATAATATATAAGGTGGAAGGGGGATATGAAGTTGCAAGGTTTCAAGATTCTTATTATTTGGGGAGAGGCTAGAGATACTAATTTTAGCCCTTGTTGAGAATGAATGTTAAAAATTTAAAGACAATCTAGGAAAAACAAAGAGTTTTTAACATTCAAACTAAACTCTTACTCAAATGGAAGTTATTGGCAATGTTCTAGATCTTGGATTAGGTGGTAGGTTCAGCGGTATTCATTACGATGTACATTATTACTGGTTACATTATACTGTATTAATAATTGTTAAAGAAAAGAGAGAAAACAAGAAAAAAGAATAGGAGGCAAGAAAAGTAAAAGAAGCAATGAAAAAGCAAGGTAAATAAAACACAAAACTGATGAGAGGAATGAATTCAAACCCATCAGTAATCTAAATACGTGTTAACAGACTAAACTGACCAACTCTAACAGCAGCTATAGGCCATTCAACAGTCCTAAACCATACAGACATATAGGCTGAAATAAAGAGATGGAAGAAGTACTCCGAGCAAATACTAACCATATGAAAGTTGGTTATATTATTTTCAGATAACACAGACTGTAGGATAAAAATCATTATTAAGAACAGAGAAGGTCAAGAACTTAAAAATTCAGTAACTCTGATTACATGTATCTAATAACATAGCTGCAAAACATATAAAGTAAAAACTGAAGGTTACTAGGAGAAATTGATATATCCAAGGTTAAAGGGTGAGACTGACCCAACTCTCTTGGTAACACAGGTTATGGGATTGGAAAATGTATAGAGGATGCAAACACAATTAATAAATCTACTTTATTGAACACATGATTAAAAGTGACACCTTTTTAAAAAACCATAAAACCTGGCCAGGAGCTAAAAAAAAAAAAAAAATTAAACAAATAGTAAAGAATTAAATCATAGTAACATTCTCAGACCACCACTCAATTAGAACTCAACTTAAAAATTTAAAGACTATATAAGTTTTAAAACTTGCTTCTAAGTAACTCATGGAACAAGGAAGAAATCTGAAAACATTTAAAACTAAGCCATTAAGCAATTATATATCCCACCTTGTGGAATGAAACAAGATTGTTGCTTAAAGCCTTGTAACTTTAAGCCATCCTATTAGTGAAGAGGAAAAAAATAAAATAAGCTAATCATCCACTACTGAAACTAGAACAAAAAACACCAGAATAAACAAAAGAAAGGTAGAAGGAAATAAAGATAAGATATTAATGAACTAAAAGACATATACCACAAAGGATAAACAAAACCTACATCCAAATTTTTTAAAAGACAAGTTCAATCTCTGGCAAAAATGATTCCTGAAAAAAGGACAGTATAAGTAGGCAATATTAAGAATTAAAAGGGGGTCAAAAACTACAGCTAAAATGGAGACTTTGAAAAATCATGTAAGAATTCTATTGAGAAGAGTAGTGTCAAAAACTCGAAAACAGATGAAATGGGCAAATTCTAGAAAAATAAGTTACCCAAACTGAGTTAGAAATATAGTTTCAATAACCAACCTTCCCCAATCTTCAAAGAAACAAATATAAAACTTACAACAAGGCCGGGCGAGGTGGCTCACGCCTATAATCCCAGCACTTTGGGAGGCCGAGGCGGGCGGATCACCTGAGGTTGGGAGTTCGAGACCAGCCTGACCAACATGATGAAACCCTATCTCTACTAAAAATGCAAAATTAGTTGGGCGTGGTGGTGCATGCCTGTAATCCCAGCTACTCAGGAGGCCGAGGCAGGAGAATCGCTTGTACCTGGGAGGTGGAGGTTGCCGTGGGCCGAGACCACGCCATTGCACTCCAGTCTGGGAAACAAAAGTGAAACTCCATCTCAAAAAAAACCAAAAAACAACAACAACAAAATAATACAACAAAAAGGCGGGTCTCCAAATGCTTTTGTAAGGAAGCTTTCAGAGATTATCTCCCACACAAAGCTAGGGGGCTTGGACTCATCACAGACAAAGGAGTAGGTGAATCTCACCTAGGTATTTAAAAGCCAAAGCCTGAAACAATCTTGCAAACTGACCCAGAAATAGAAAAACAAATATTATCACGATGAAGTTTAATCCAGTAATGTGGGGGGGTACAATATTAGAAAAACAGAGTAAAGTTACTCGCCACATTAACAGCATGAGGGGCAAAGATAATTTGATCATTTCAAAAGATTCAAATAGGCTGGGCACGGTGGCTCGTGCCTGTAATCCCAGCACTTTGGGAGGCTGAGGCAGGCAGATACCTGAGGTCAAGAGTTCGAGACCAGCCTGGCCAATATGGCGAAACTCCGTCTCTACTAAACATACAAACATTAGCCGGGCATGGTGGCACATGCCTGTACTCCCAGCTACTTGGGAGGCTGAGGCAGGAGGATTGCTTGAACCCGGGAGGTGGAGGTTGCAGTGAAACAAGATGGTGCCACTGCACTCCAGCCTGGGCAACAGAGCAAGACTCCATCTCCAAAAAAAAAAAAATTCAAATGAAGAATCTCAACTAATTAACCCATTCCTAATAGCAACTAGGAATATAAGCCAGGGCAGTATGGCAAGAAAAGAAAGTTACCAGAATTGAAAATGAACCAAAACTGCCAGTATTCACAGACAATATAACTGTGCTGGAAGAAAATCCAGGAGGATGTATGGACACACTATTAGAACTAATTAAAAAGTTCAGTAAGTTTTCTGGAAATAAAACCAATACACACAATCAATTATGTTTCCAAAACACCAGCAACAAACTATTAAAAATAAATCTAAGCCGGGTGTGGTGATGCATGCCTGTAGTCCCAGCTACTTGGGGGGCTGAGACACGAGAATCGCTTGAACCCAGGAGGCGGATGCTGCAGTGAACCAAGATCACGCCACTGCACTGCCGCGTGAGCAACAGCGTGAGACTCTGTCCCCTCTCCACCCCTCTAAAAAAATTTTTTAAAATCTAATTAAGAAAAAAAATGTGATTTATAGAACTTATAAAAACCTTTGTCAAAATACAGAAATGACCTTAATAAATGGAGACAGGCCATGGTCATCTAAAGAAAGACTTAATCATGGATAGTAATTCTCCCCTAATTAGACTAGAAATTCAATGCAAATGTAACTTAAATCCCAAAAGGTATGTGTGTGTATGGAATTTTACAACCAGATTTTATACAATTTTTATTTATACAAGTTTTCTATATGTAATTTTTATAATGTTGCATTGCAAACACTGAATTGTAAAAAAAATTATTTATATACACCATTTTTAGAATAGTTACAAATACAATCATATTTACACAACAAAATTTATACAAAAGATCAAGGACCAAGAACAGCTAATATAACTCTGAAGAAAACAACGTGGAGGAGGGCTTGCTCTCTCCAGTGTCAGTAATTCAGGCTGTGGTGCTAGTGCCGGGGACAGACACAGAGAACAAGGGAGCAGCAGAGTGGGCCCAACGCAGACACCACAGACACTGACATTGCCTGCCTCAGATGTGGTCGTGTGGATCAGCAGGGAGATGGATGATGCAATCAATGGCTCTGGGAAAACTGGTTATCTACAGTAGGAGGGAAAAACTAGGTCCTTATTTGACACCATTTGCAAGGCCTATTAAGGCTTAAGAAGCAAATACTCCACGAGCGAACGATCCCACTTCTGGAGACGTACTTCAGGAAAAAGCTTTCCTGGGCAAAAGGAAATATGTACAAGAATGCTCATCTCACTGCACTGCTAGTAATAGTCAACAAATTTTTAAGAACCTAATTGTCAGTGGATAACATGGATAAACAGAGGTATACAATTTATGCAGCCTACTCCTCTCTTTGCTTTAACTTATCACCTGACAGGAACCCGCTGCAGTGGAGCCATGCTGAAGGGGTTAGGAGGAGCAGCGGACCAGGGGTCATCTCCAAGGCTGTGGGAGCAGAGATGTGGAGGACAGGCGCCCACCACTTCCTTGGCAGCAGTGCAGTCTTATAGGAAGTTATTGGCACCATGGGATGGGAGCTAAGTTTAGCACAATTTGCACTCCCATACTGAGTGTGGTGGTCAAAGTCAGGTCAAAGAAATGTTTCCATCCCATTTGAAAGCTGAAAATTTAAAATTATATGTGGCTCATATTACATTTTTATTAGCACAAACTAATTTTATAATTAAGCTTATTTATACTCAGTTTAATTTGACTTGTAGCATATTCTAATAAGGAACAACTTTTCTTTGGCTCACATGTATTTACTGCTAATATATATTACAGTATATATTATTACATTAAACTCCCAGCCCTAAAATAAAGTCTCACGAAAGTTCAGATGAGACAGAAACAAAGACCTTGCAGTCCAGGGTTTCCTGTAAATTTGCCTTGTTCTTTCTCCACTAACTAATTCTGTCAGTTTCACTACTTTTCAGGAAGTAACAGAAAAGGTAACTTAGTATATTCTCCAGTGACACTGTTCTCTGGCTTATTTCTTTGATTCACGTATTTCTAGGTAAGGTGAAAATACGTAACTTGTGTTTTATCCGAGTCATTATAGGCACCTATAATGAGAACAAATTGTATAAAGAACACCAAACTTGTTGCCAGGATACCTGCTTTCAGAATCTTGCTCAGATATAATTTGGGTCACCTTGGCTAGTTGTTTAAGCTCTCAACTTTAATAATTCACATTTCTAAGTTTTGGGGCCTTTTCTGCAAGTTGTTAAAAAGATCAAGGAAAATGGTATCTAAAAGAACCTGCCCTTTAATAGGTATCTCACTGTTTGGGAATGCTAACATTTAATTCCACTAAACCACTAAACTCACTACTTTCCACTAAATTAATACATTTAGTGGAGTATGCCACTACATTAATTTTACAAATACAGAAACAATCAGCACATATTTCTACAGCTGAGTAAAGAATAATATTTACTTAGAGCCTAATTAAAGAACATGTGTCAGATAAATACAATTTATTTTCTTAATAAGATGGGGGGCTGGGCGCGGTGGCTCACGCCTGTAATCCCAGCACTTTGGGAGGCCGAGGTGGGCGGATCACTTGAGGTCGAGAGATCGAGATCAGCCTGACCAACAGGGAGAAACCCCATCTCTACTAAAACACAAAATTACTCGGGCTTGGGGGTGCATGCCTGTAATCCCAGCTACTCGGGAGGCTGAGGTGGGAGAATCGCTTGAACCCGGGAGGCAGAGGTTGCAGTGAGCCGAGATCGCGCCATTGCACTCCAGCCTGTGCAACAGGAGTGAAACTCCGTCTTAAAAATAAATAAATAAATAAGCCAGGCATGGTGGCACGTGCCTGTAATCCCAGCTACTCGGGAGGCTGAGGTGGGAGAATTGCTTGGGCCTAGGAGGTGGGGGTTGCAATGAGTTGAGATCGTGACACTGCACTCCAGCCTGGCTGACCAAGTGAGACCCTGTCTCAAAAAAATAAAAAAGAGGATAGGACAAATGTTAGGTCCAAAAGAATAAATTGATGGATTTTCATAGAAATAGACTACTCTTTTGAGCTGTGCTGGCCAACATCTACTGGCCACATGTCACTACAGCCTTCACACGTGGCTAGTTTAAAATGATATGTGCTGTAAGTCTAAAATATACATCAGATTTTGAAGATTTAGTACAAGAAATACTATCTAAAACATTTTATTATTAGTTTTAGGATGGATTACATGTAAAATGGTAGTATCTTACATTGGGTGAAACAATATTATTAAAATTAACTTCACTTGTTTATTTTTATATTTTTAAGGCAGATGTTGGAAAATTTTAAATATATGTGGCTCATATTGGACAGCAGTGCTACAGTGTCTGTATTTTCAAACCAAAGCTAAACTATAAACTGACAAGGGAGTTTTTCTCATTAGTAAACTTTATATAACAATCTTAAGGAAAAAATATTTTATTACAAATCTTTTGTGTTTAATGAATAAATTTACATTAGGGGAAAAGAGTATAAAATGCGTCTTCTTCTCAATCATGAAAGCATCTCCTCTACCACAAACACAAACATGGCACACGTGGCAGGCTCAAACATTTCTGGGGAAAAGAGGAGCACGTTACGTTTACAGTATTTCCTAAAGGACTCTTTAATAACCCATTTTTAAAAAATGGGCAAAAGATACAAGCAGGCCTTTCATGGAAATGCAGGAAACATTTATTCAATTTGTATTTTAAAATGCAAGTGAAAAGTAGAATAAGATTCTACATTTCACCTCAGTTTGGCAAAAATAAAATCTGAAGACTCAAAAAAAAGTGTGGGAAAACAGGTGTGGCTGGAGGAATAATTGGTGTGGTCTCTTTGGAGAGCGTACATATTTGATTGTGGACTGAGATTTAAAACATCAATATTCTTTGATCTAACACTTCCTACTTCTAAGAATTTCTCACACATGTGCCCAAAGATAGAGGCACACTTCAGCTTACAGTGCTTCTCTTACTTGGGTTTTTTAGACATTGTGTTTATTATAGGCTGAAGGTTTTGGCAACTCTGCAGGTCTTTCCATGCCTCTTTTCCAACAGCACATTTTGGTAATTCTAGCAATATTTCAAACGTTTTCATTGTCATTGTATCTGTTATGGTGATCTGTAATCCTTGATGTTACTACTGTAATTGTTTTGGAGTGCCACAAACCACGCTCATACAAGGCAGAGAACTTAATCAATCAATGCTGTGTGTGTTCTGACTGCTCCAACTGGCCACTCCCATCTCTCTCCCTCTCCTCATGCCGCCCGATCCCTAGACACAATATTGAGGGGAAACCAATTAATAACCCAACAATTGCTTCTAAGTGTTCAAGTGAAAGGAAGAGCTGCACGTCTCTCATATTAAATCAAAAGCTAGAAATGATTAAGAAGGCACGTGAAGAAGAGTTGTTAAAAGCTAAGACACGCCAAAAGCTAGGCCTCTTGCACCAAATAGCCAAGCTGTGAATGCAAAGAAAAAAGGCTGAAGGAAAAGTGCTACTCCAGTGAACACATAAATGGTAAGAGAGCGAAACAGCCTTATCGCTGATAAGGAGAAAGTTTGAGTGGTCTGGCTAGAAGATTAAACCAGTCTCAAAATTCCCTTAAACCAAAGCCTAATCCAGAGCAAGGCCCTAACTCTCTTTAATTCCATGAAGGCTGAGAGAGGTGAGGAAGCTGCAGGAAAAAATGTCTCAAGCTAGCAGAGGTTGGTTCTTGAAGTTTAAGATCTCTCTAACATGAAAGTGCACGGTGAAGCAGCAAGTGCTGATGTAGAAGCTGCAGTGAGTTATGAAGATTTAGCTAAGGTCACTGATGAAAGTAGCTGCACTAAACAGATTTTCAGTGTAAATGAGACAGCCTCATAGTGCAAGAAGATGCCATCTAAGGACTTTGATAGCTAGATGGCTTCTTTTTTTTTTTTTTTCTTGAGACAGAGTCTCGCTCTATGGCCCAGGCTGGAGTGCAGTGGCATGATCTCTGCTCAGTGTAACCTCTGCCTCCCAGGTTCACACCATTCTCCTGCCTCAGCCTCCCGAGTAGCTGGGACTACAGGCGCCCACCACCACGCCCGGCTAATTTTTTGTATTTTTAGTAGAGATGGGGTTTCACCGTGTTAGCCAGGATGGTCTCGATCTCCTGACCTCGTGATCCGCCCACCTCAGCCTCCCGAAGTGCTGGGATTACAGGCGTGAGCTACTGCGCCCAGCCAATAGCTAGATCGCTTCTAAGAGAAGCCTTCAAAGCTTCAAAAGGCTGACTCTCTTGTTAGGGGCTAGTGCAGCCAGTGACTTTATGTTAAAGCCAATGCTCATTTACCATTCTGAAAATCCTAGGGGTCTGAAGAATTACACTAAATATACTCTGCCTGTGCTGTATGAATGAAACAAAGCCTGGATGACAGCACATCTGTTTAAAACGATTTACTGAGTATTTTAAGCTCACCGTTAAGATCTACTGCCCAGAAAAAAAAAAAAGATTCCTTTCAAAACATTACTGCTGATTGGCAAAGCATCTGGTCACCCAAGAGCTCTGATGGAGATGTACAAGGAGATGAATGTTGTTTTCATGCCTGCTAACAGCCATTCTGCAGCCCATGGATCAAGAAGTAATTTCGACTTTCAAGACTTAATACTTAAGAAATTATTTTTAAGGCTACAGCTGCCATAGATAGTTATTCCTCTCATGGATTTGGGCAAAGTCCATTGAAAACCTCCTGTAAAGGATTCACCATTCCGGATGCCATGACTTTGAGGGGTTCAAGACTTCAGTGGAGAAAGCAACTGCAAGTGTGGTAGAAACAGCAAGAGAACTAGAATTAAAAGTGGAGCCTGAAGATGGGACTGAATTGCTGCAATCTCATGATAAAACGTGAACAGATGAGGAGTTGCTTCTTATGGATGAGCAGAGAAAGTGGTTTCCTAAGATAGAATCTACTCAGGAAGTAGATGCTGAATGAAGATGTTGTGAACATTGTTGAAATGACAACAGAGGATTTAGAATATTACATAAACTTAGCTGATAAAGCAATGGCAGTGTTTGAGAGGATTGAGTCCAATTCTGAAAGTAGTTCTATTGTGGGAAAATGCAATCAAACAACATCACGTGCTACAGAGAAATCTTTTGTGGAAGAGTCAATCAATGCAGTAAACTTCATTGTTGTCTGATTTTACAAAATTGCCAGTCACCCCAACATGTAGCAACCTCTGCTCTGATCAGTCAGCAGCCATCAACATCAAAGCGAGACCTTCCAGCAGCAAAAAGATTAAGACTTGCTGAAGGCTCAATGATCATGAGCATTTTTTAACCAATATTTTATTATTATTTTTTGAGATGGAGTCTCACTCAGTTGCCCAGACTGGAGTGCAGTGGCACAGTCTTGATCTTGGCTTACTGCAACCTCCACCTCCCGGGTTCAAGTGACTCTCCCGCCTCAGCCTCCCAAGTAGCTGGGATTACAGGTGTGCTCCGCCACACCCAGCTAATTTTCGTACTTTTAGTAGAGGCGGGGTTTCACCATGTTGGCCAGGCTGGTCTCGAACTCCTGACCTCAGGTGATCCACCCACCTTGGCCTCCCAATGTGCTGGATTACAGGCCTGAGCCACTGCGCCCAGCCTTAACCATTATTTTAAATTAAAGTATATACCATTGTTTTTCTAAACATGTTACAGCTTTTATATGCACTGGGAAACGTAAAACTCATGTGATGTGCTTTATTGGGATGTCAGGCTTTCTTGTGGTGGTATCACAAACCTGCAGTGTCTCTGCAGTGTGCCTGATGTGCACTGTAGCATTTTTGTAGAGTCAGAAGATTAAACATTTGCATTGGTTCAGTCCGGGACTGGGTAAACAAAGGGTGGCAGAACACAAAGCACTATCACTGACCTCCATAAACGACCTGATGAATGACCAAGTCTCCACCCCCACAGTAAAATATTAATTGATGTCATGAGCAGAGTGCCTTCTAGTGTGCCCTGAACACCGATCCCCACCAGTGATGATGTGTGCTTAGTAAGACTCAGTTTTACTTGCTCTCAAACCTGTTTATGCCAGTTTCACTAGTTAATGTAACTACATTTAGAAATAATTCAAAATAATGAAGGAGTGAAGAGAAATTTATCTATGGATATTAAATTTACCACACTGAAATTTCAAGAAAAACAAGTTGCCTTAAAAAAATTATGGCTGGACATGGTGACTCATGCCTATAATCCTAGCACTTTGGGAGGCCAAGGCAGAAGGATCACTTGAGGCCAAAAGTTTGAGACCAGCCTGGGCAACAAAGTGAGACCTCATTTCTTAAAAAAATAAAAAATAAAAACAATTAGCCTGTGCCTGTAATCCTAGTTACTCAGGAGACTGAGGCAGAAGGATCATTTGAACCCAATTTGAAGCTGCAGTGAGTTACAATCGTGCCACAGCACTCCAGCCTGGGAAAAAGAGCAAGACCTGTTTGTTTAAAAGAAAAAGTCAAATGGAGGAAAACCTTTAAAATCTCAGAGAATCTACACTGATTATGAGTTTCTTAAATTTTTGTTCCACTTAAATGAATGCTGAAAATCCTAGACGACATATTATCAATTTCATTTACATAAGAAGAGAGTATGTGGCCAGGCATGGTGGCTCATGCCTGTAATCCCAGCACTTTGGGAGGTTGAGGTGGGTAGATCGCTTGAGCCCAGGAGTTCAAAACCAACACAGGCAACATAGTCTGAAAGGAAAATAAATCTTGGGGCCCCCAAATCACTAAGTTAAAAGGAAAAGTCTAGCTGGGAACTGCTTAGGGCCAACGTGCTTCCCATTCTCTTCAAAGTCTCCCCTCTGTTCACTGAGATAAATGCGTATCTGACTGCCTCCTTTGGAGAGGCTCATCAGAAACTCCAAAGAATGCAACCATTTGTCTCTTACCTGCCTGTGACTTGGAAGTCCCCTCCCCACTTGGAGTCTTCCTGCCTTTGCTTCGAGCCATCCTGCCTCTCCAGACCGAACCAATGTTCGTCCTGTATATGCTGACTGATGTCTCATGTCTCCCTACAATGTATAAAGCCAGACTGTGCTCTGCCCACCTTGGGCACACGTCATCAGGACCTCCTGAGGCTGGGTCACGGGTGCGCGTCCTCACCCTTGGCAAAGTAAGCTTTCTAAATTAACTGAGACTTGTCAGATTTCCTGGGTTTACAATGGTGAAACCCTGTCTCTACCAAAAAATAAAAAATAAAAATAAAAATAAAAATTAGCCAGGCATGGTAGTATGCACCTGTAGTGCCAGTTACTCAGTGTGGAAGCTGAGGTGGGAGGATCACCTGAGCCCCAGGGGTTGAGCAGTGAGCCATGATGGCACCACTGCACTCCAGCCTGGACAACACAGCAAGACCCTGTTTCCAAAAAAAAAAAAAAAGAAAACATGTAGAATCCAGCCAGTCCCATTTCAAATAGGTCTTCACCCTGTATCAAATGACTGGTGATTAAATAAACCTCTGTGCCTCAAAACAGGTCAGTTAAGGGGGCTTTAACCATACACCCAGTGTCAGTGAACAAGAAGAGGCAGTTTGTTGTTGTTGTTTTGAGACAGAGTCTCACTCTACTGCCCAGGCTGGAGTGCAGTGGCGTGATCTTGGCTCACCGAAACCTCCGCCTCCTGGGTTCAAGCGATTCTCTTGCCTCAGCCTCCCGAGTAGCTGGGACTACAGGCGTGCGCCACCACACCTGGCTGATTTTTGTATTCTTAGTAGACACAGGGTTTCACATTGTTGGCCAGGCTGGTCTCAAACTTCTGACACCGTGATCCACCCGCCTGTCTCCCAAAGTGCTGGAATTACAGGCATAAGCCACCGCGCCCGGCCTATTTCTTTCTTTCTTTTTTTTTTTTTTTTCTGAGACAGGGTCTTACTCTGTTGCCCAGGCTGGAGTGCAGCAGCACAATCGCAGCTCACTGCAACCTCTGCCTCCCAGGTTCAAGCGATTCTCCCACCTCAGCCTCCCAAGTAGCTGGACTACAGGTGTGCGCCACTATGCCTGGCTAATTTTTGTATATTTTTTTGTAGAGACAGGATTTTACCACATTGGCCAGGTTGGTGTTGAACTCCTGGCCTCAGTGATCTGCCTGCCTTGGCCTCCCAAAGTGCTGGGATTACAGGTGTGAGCCACTGCGCCTGGCCTGCAGCTATGTGTTACGTTGATATGTAACCAGTCGTGTTAAAAGATATACATGTTTGTACATGCATAAGACCTCTCTAGAAGGAAACTCAAGTCATTGAGAATAGCAAAAGGACAGGAAGTCCAGAGCCCAGTCCTCAACAAGCATCAACATGAACAGCTGGGTAAAAGATGGACTTGAAAAGACAATTCTGCTGTGAAGCTGTAGAATGTGAAGACGGGAGGGAAGACCATGAAAAATGGCACATATTCCTACACCACATACCCCCAAAGTGTGTTTTAATAGGAAACTATGGATGGACATATGCTAAGTGTTTGTGAGAGTTATCAGCAGAAGGGGAAAGCTCTGTATTATATGAGGCTCTTTACTTTTCAACAAAAATACCTCCACCTGGAGAGGGAAAAGAGGACACTTAAGTATCACCAGGTACTACAAATCAGTGAAAAACAGAGTCACAAAATTTATTTTCTCTGCTGTGCTATTCTCATTACAATTGCCACGTTATCTGCAAGACGTCTGAATTAAAATTTTTTTTTGTTAATTTCCTTTTGAGGAAGTGGTGATGACTTTACATGAACCTATTCAAGCCTTGGAAACTGAGAACAAGATACATAAGAGCTGTCTTTACCATGTGGAGAGCATTTAAAGGGGGACTGAGTTCTGTCCAGTTGCCTGCACAACTAAGAACAATTCTGAAGACACATTTCATCTCAACATGAAGAAAAGGATCACTAAGAGTGAGCATGCTTTCCTGAATTAGCACCTAGGAAAAAAAATGGGCAGAGCTTATTCCCACTGTGAAGTGTACTCTCCACTGGGTGATCATTTAACTTACATGACTCCTTAGGGTCTCCTCCATCTTAAGTTTCTTTGACTCACTGAAGAAACAAACCACTGCTTCTAGGTGGAAATGCATCCGTATGACCCATGGGTTTACTGATGTCTCTAACTGCCATGGTAACACTAGTCTGCCACCCTGAGCCGCTGAAAGGTGTTTCATGGCAGCTCCTGCACACACACATACTCCTCACCAGGGCTTGAAGCCCACGCAGGCCCCCACCCCAACTGTAATGGTGTTCCTGGGAAGGGGATGGGAACAGAATGGCTGTAGGAAGGGCCATTCCCCTTTAGTCCTGCAATTTAAAAATCCCTTCCATCTCCTCACTATAAATCTCATTAAACTACAAGAAACAAAATAATTTGAAGTTTGACCCAGGGCAACAATTTACACTTGATGATTTTTTCCTTCCTACAATTTACATAGGAAAGTTCTATGAGCTAGAATTAGCTTAGCTCATGTTTATAAAGAACTCTGTTATGGATACAAAGCTAGCTAACGCCATGGGTGGAAAATACTTAAGAATCTGAAAGATTAATCTTGGGCTCAGTCCTATCCAAATAGAAACAATACTTTTCTACAAACAAGAAAACACACATCAGGAAAACCCAAGTCTTCAGGTTTTCTCCTCTCAAGGGTGGAGAGCATGTGGCACTCCAATGTGCGATCTGCTGCTGACACTGCTTGGCACATCACCCTCTTCACTTGGCCTGCTTCCTCCTTTGTCTCATGAGAAGGTGGGACTGCATCATCTCTCCAGGTACTCTCTTCCTATCAGTCTACTCTTCAGAGATTAAGCCTCACTTTTGGATATAAAGACTCCCTAGAAACGCTTACTTATATAACTGTCTCCACAAAGAGCTAATTCAACATTAAACTGCACGAATACAAGCACAACGTCCCCACCAAAGCACAGGTATGTTCCTCTATGCAAAGTTAGACAATGGAGATACCGGACTCAGATCAGAACATTACCATGTAAGAGAAAAACTGACATACATCCAGGGAGCAGGAACTTAGATGTCTCATCTATAAAGAGAGAAAACTGGGCAGAACAAGAAAACACTATTTCCTACTATTAGAAAACAAGTATCACACCAGGAAGATAAAGACAGCTTCTCTGCAACTCCAAAGGCATCCAAGGACAGGAAGGGGTCAGGATGGCAGAGAAGGAAGATCAGTAATGAGGGGAAGTAGGATCAGAATAGCAGAATGGCTGGCACCAAAGGTAAGGAGTGCCCTCTAAAGGAAACCTCAAGAAGACATTAGGCATCAACGTGGGGTGAGTATGGCAGTGGGAAACTCAAGTATTAGATAAAAAGGAAACTCCAGCTACTGCACGTGTGGGATGAATGGACTTCAGAAGGGCAACAGCAGAGATAGCGAGACATAAAAAGCTAAAAAAAAAAAATCTGGAAAGTAACACAACTTCAATATGCAGATGGGCTGAAGAAACCACTTTGTGTCCATGCAGTGAAGCAACACATAGCATAAAAGGTAGAAGGAAAGCCTCCATACACTACTATGCATAGTCTTCGGGGTACACAGTTAATGAAAAGAGCAACGGAGGCCAGCAGGTGCAGGGTATGCTACCTTTCTGTAAGAAAGAGTCAGAAATAGAAATGTGTATGTCTGTTTATATTTTCAGAAAGAAACAAGAAGAAAATGTTGGGGTAAGGAAAGAAGGGACAGGGGACAGGGATGGAAATCAAGCTCATCTGAGCAGAACAAGAGTAACAGCTCTGTTTTAGAACCATAAACATCAGAAGAGGCCGGGTACAGTGGTTTACGCCTGTAATCCCAGCACCTTGAAAGGCCAAGGTGGGTGGATTACCTGAGGTCGGGAGTTCGAGACCAGCCTGACCAACATGGAGGAACCCCGTCTCTACTAAAAATACAAAATTAGCCGGGCGTGGCGGCACATGCCTGTAATCCCAGCTACTCGGGAGGCTGAGGCAGGAGAAATGCTTGAACCCAAGAGGCGGAGGTTGTGGTGAGCCGAGATCGCGCCATTGCACTCCAGCCTGGGCAACAAGAACAAAACTCTGTCTCAAAGGAAAAAAAAAAAAATCAGACTCTAAACTCTAAAAATAAAACGTTCCACTTCTTTATCTCAATGCTGGTTATATGAGTGAGTTCAGTTAGTGAAAATTCACTGAGCTATATACATTAAAAAGTGCATGTTTATTATACCTCAATAAAAAGTCTACTTAGAAAATGGAAACAAATGTATCTAACAATGTCAGAGCGGCGGCCTAAGCATCAGAGAATTATTTAACTTTAAAACACAATAATTTGACAATATATTCCAAATGGGATATATCCTAATAATGTCAGTATCGTTACTGTAAGAATATATTGTATGAAAAATATGTGCCATGAAAATGGCACTTATTCATACACTACACGCCTCTGAAAGTGTGTTTTAACAGGAAACTCTGGACAGACACATGCTAAGTGTTTGTGAGACTTATCTGCAGGAGGGGAAGCTCTGTATCACACGAGGCGCTTTACTTTTCAAAGATGCCTCCATCTAGAAAGGGAATAAAAGATGCTTAAGCATCGTCGGCTACTACAAATCAGTGAAAAGCAGAGTCACAAAATTTAGAATAGGTAAGCGAGTTAATATCATTAAGAACCAAGATTTTAGCCTAAGAAAATGATACACATTGAACTGACTGATATATAAACACCATCTCACGGCAAGAGACTGGGGTTCCTTAGAAACATGACTGACTCTAGGTCTAAGCAGAACACGGACGAGGTACAACACCCTCCTGTGACAGGCAGGCAGGGAGCAGTCACAAACCAAGGAGTCACACCCAAAGATGACACAAGCCAACTTGGGTAGAACAACAGAAGCACCAAAATACGGCTTCCACGGGTTGAAGCACAATCACATCCCCAGGTTTATAGTACTAGGGGGAAATGCTACAGAAATGAACTTCAACTTTGGAAGCTATTAGTTCCAGTGCATCCTAAACACTGATAAAGGAAAGAAATCATTCATTTCTTCTTTCTCCCCAGCAGGAACCACATTTCAGAACCTCCAAAATTGATACAGGAAATCTTCTTTAAATAAGAATAGAATTAGAAAAATCTTCACTTTATAATTGTCAGCTGTAGGCTGAACAATGGCCTCCAAAGATATTCAAGTCCTAATTTCTGGATTTGGATATGTTACAGATGAATTAAGAATCTTGAGATGGGAGATCATTTTGGATTATATGGGTGGGACGTAACCACAATCACAAGTGTCCTTTAGATCATGTGCTCTAATGATGGAGGAAGGGGCCATAGCCAAAAAATGGCTGCCACGAGCTGGAAAAGGCCAGGAAGCAGATACTCTCCAGAGCTGCCTGATGGCACCCAGATACCCAGACTCTAGACCAGTGAGACTGATTTCAGCCACAGTGTTGTAATTTGGTACAGCAGCAATAGGAAAGTAATACACCAACTAAATAACGGGTACAAGCAACAAGCAAATGGCCGTTAAACCCAGTAGAGAACTGGTTGATAAAGAACTCTATAATTCAACCTACTGACACCGCACCCGACATCATGTAACCTGGCTGCTCAACGTGCAACACAGAGCACAGTCTGTGGAATATCCTTGAAACCACTGCCCCCCACCCCCCCAACAACAAACAGCCTGAAACCAATTAAGCATCCTGACCTAGCTACAGGAAGTATGAGGATTAGAAAAACACATTAGATAGTGCCACAACACAGTCAACCAAATCCCAAACCTGGGACGTTCCACAGCACAAACAACCCTATTGCCTTCATAAATAAATGGCATTAAAAACAAAAACTAAAAAAGGGAAAAGAAGCTGCAAGCTATAGATTTTCAAAGAGCTAAGAGGCTTAAACCAAATGCAATGTGGAGACCTTCTTTGGATTTCAATTCAAGCAAACAAAGTGTAAAAAGGCTTTTTATGACATCTGGAGAAAACCAAACACAGAATAAATATTAGATAATATTAATGAGCGTGGTTGGTGGTGTTAGCTATGATGAAGGTATTGTGGTTATGTTTTTTAAAGCCGTTTCCTAAAAAATACATGCTAAAGTATTTAGAGGTGACTAAAAGTCTGAGATTTGCTTTAAAATACTCAAATGAAAAATATAAAATATTGGGAGTGGGCAGGGCTATAGTAAAATGCTGACAACTGTGAAAGCTGGGTGACAGGCATATGATTCTCTTCTATTCTCTTTTATTTTGTGGTATATTTTGAAGTTTTCCCAACAAGGTTTAAAAAAGGAAAAGAAACCTGGGCAATATAGTGAGACTGCCTGTACAAAAATAAAAATAGAAAACAAAAAATCAGCCAGGTGTGGCGGTGTACACCTGTGGCCCTAGCTACTAGGGAGGCTGAGGCAGGAGGATCACTTGAGTGCGGGGAGGCTGGGGCTGCAGTGAGCTGTGCCACTGCACTCGGCCTGGGCAACAAAGCGAGACCCCGTCTCAGAAAAGAAGAAAGAGCAAAGAGGACCACTTATCAACGTCTACAGAGCACTGCTAAAGCTACACTCACAGGGTGAATCAAACTTGTAAACTTTATTAATGAAGATGAATGAACTAAGCATTCAAGTCAAGATGTAAAGTGAAAACCAAAGTAGAAGGAACAAAAAGAATTGATGAAATATAAGACCAGGTGCAGTGTCTCAAACCTGTAATCTCAGCACTTTAGGATCACTTAAGCCCAGGAGTTTGAGACCAGCTTGGACAACAAAGCAAGACCCCATCTCCACAAAAAAATAAAAAATACAATAAAATAAAATAAGAAAAGCCATGCATGATGGCACACACCTGTAGTCCCAGCTACTGAGAGGCTGAGGCAGGAGGATCCCTTGAGCCCAGGAGTTCAAGGTTACAGTGAGTGAGTTATAATCACGCTACTGCACTCCCAGCCTGGGTGGCACGTGCCTGTAGTCCCAGCTACTTGGAAGGCTGGGGCAGGAAGATCGCCTGAGCCCAGGAGGTTGAGCCTGCAGTGAGCCATGATTGCACCACTGAACTCCAGCCTGGGTGACAGAGCGAGACTCTGCCTCAAAAAAAATTAAAACAAAACAAAACAGGCCAAGTGCAGTGACTCACACCTGTAATCCCAGCACTTTGAGAGGCTGAGGCAGGCAGATCGCTTGAGTCCAGGAGTTTAAGACCAGCCTGGGCAACATAGCGAAACCTCATCTCTACCAAAAATACAAAAAATTAGCCTGGCATGGTGGCACGTGCCTGTAGTCCCCAGCTACTTGGGAGGCTGCGGCAGGAAGATCGCCTGAGCCCAGGAGGTTGAGCCTGCAGTGAGCCGTGATTGCACCACTGCAATCCAGCCTGGGTGAGGGTGCGAGACCCTGCCTCAAAAAAAAAAAAAAACAAAAACAGAAACATAGCTACTTGGTCAATCAAAAGCAAAATCAGTTTCTTTGAAAAAAGCAATTGAAGAGCAATTAACTCTCTCTAGCCTGACAAAAGAAAAGAACACACACCCGAGATTACAATGATACAATATTATCTTTGCCTGGTTTTGAAATAAGAAGTGTTATAAATGGCAGTAATTGTATCTTCTGGTAGCTCCCAAGGAAATAAGAGCTTCTTTGTCTCACGGGTGCCACGAATTATTTTTGTAACTCATTGGCATTAATTGGGTTCTGATCTCGTTAGGGACCAATAACTATAATCAGGGGGCCAAGGGCATGTGTTATGTCTAGTAGCCACAGCCAACCAGGTCCACCCATGCAGCTGAGCCATTCTATCTAAAACACATGGTTTACACATGGTAGAAAGAGTTGTTCCCCAAAGGAAAATCGGCATTGTTTTGTCTTCCCAAAACAATGAGTAGATGTTGCAGAGATTAATCATTATAGACTATTCTACAGACACGTAAATTTCTATTTTATTTTATTATTTATTTATTTGAGACAGAGTCTCGCTCTGCTGCCCAGGCTGCAGTACAGTGATGCAAGATAGCTCACTGTAGCCTTGAACTCCTGGGCTCAAGCCATCCTTTCCACCTCAGACTCCTAAGGCGCTGCGACTACAGGTGCGTACACCATGCCCAACTAATTTTTTCTCCAAGAGACAGGTCCTGCTATATTGCCCAAGCTAGAAAACATGTAAAATTTTAAACAAAACACGAGCCTAATTAATTGATCACTAAATTTAGAGAACAAGACATCATGACTAAGAATGGTCTGTTCTAGGGATACAGTTTTAAAATTAGAAAATATATACTTATGGCTAAAAGGAGGACAAATAGGCCAGACCCAGTGGCTCACACCTGTAATCCCAGCACTTTGGGAGGCCGAGACAGGTGGGTCACCTGAGGTCAGGAGTTCAAGACCAGCCTGGTCAACATGGTGAAACCCCATCTCTACTAAAAACACTAAAAATTAGCCAGGCATGGTGGTGGGTGCCTGTGATCCCAGCTACTCGGGAGGCTGAGGCAGGAGAATCTCTTGAACCCGGGAGGCGGAGGCTGCAGTGAGCCGAGATTGCACCACTGCACTCCAGCCTGGGCGACAGAGCAAAACTCTGTCTCAAAGAAAAAAAGGACAAATAAACATATACGTGGCTGACCGACGACCATTTCAAAAATGCCCAAAAAACTGATGAAATTCAGCATGTATTATTTACTTTCTATGGAGTTTAACATCAGCAAATGGCTATATGAACAATATTTCCCCAAAGTAACATATTTACTAAAAAGCTAATAGTATAGTATTAAAATAAGCAACAGAATGACCAAGATGTTACTATTGTCAAAGACTGTCCAATAGGCCATCTAAAGAGACAGAATGAAGCAAGGAGACAAATACCACTGTCTGCAGATGACCTGTTTAGAAAACCTCTCTATTATAATGAAGCTCTAGTAACAGTGAAGGCAAGCTTGGCAAGTTGGCAAAACAAAAATTTTACACACACACATATACACGAGAAGCCTGAATCATGGAGATGATGCCAAGACTTAGCCAGGAGATTCATCACAAAAGATGTCTGTTCTATTCCAAGTTCATCTACACCCCCAATCACACTCCAAATAACATCTGTGATAGGCTGAAAAATGGCCACCCAAAGATAGGGAATCCCAATCCCTGAAATTTGTTTTACTTTTCTTGGAAAAGGGGTCTTTTCAGATGACATTAAGTGAAAGATACTAAGATGAGGAGATGATCCTGGATTATCTGGGTGGGTTCTAAATGCCACCCGTGACAGACGAGAAAGCCACGTGAAGAGGGAGGCAGGGGTGGGAACCATGCAGCTGCAAGCCAAGGACTGTGGGGCAGGAGCTGGAAGACGAAGAAGCAAAGAACAATCTCTCTCCTATCCCCCAGAGGGAGTGTGGCCCTGCCAGATTTCAGATTTCCAGTCTCCAAAACTGCGAGAGAATACATTCCTGTTGTAAGCCACCAAATGTGTGGTAATTTGTTACGGCAGCCCTGGGAAAGTAACACAACATCCCAGTAGGATATTTTTTTAACTCTAACAAGGATTCTCCTAAAAATTCACCTAAACATAAAACCAGGCTAGAAAATTTTGCAAAAAAAAAAAAAAAAAAGCTGGGATTCAACTAAAATTAGCAAAGCATACTACAAAGCAATGGTAATTAGCACTTGGTGTTACTGGCTAAGAAAGAGGCACTTGATGCATGAAACAGACTCACGTGTACCTGTGAATTTATTATTTGATACAAGTGCCATTTCAAATCAGCAAGGAATTGGGCCAATTTGTTATCCATTTTGAAAACATATAAAGTTTGATCCCTACCTCACAACATACTCTAAAATAAATTTCAGCTGGATTGGAGATCTGGATGTAAACAATCAAACCCTGAAGCCCTGAAGATTAAGGAGGAAAACCTGTGATTTGGGGCTGCAAAAAGTCTCCAACAACATATACTGTAAAAACCACTGAGGAAGATATTGATTTATTTGACCCTATCAGAGCATAAGAATTTTATAGAACACTAATATAGAAGTCAAGATACAAATGGAGTTTTTCAATGTCTGGAAAACATCTGAATAGGTTAGGACATATGAACACACAAATCACAGAAAATTAACATAAAATTGCCCACAAACACACGAATAGATGTTCATCTTCATGCAGCCTTTATGAGATCCGCAAAGATGAACAAAAGTGATCATTCAGTGTTTATAATGGTGAGGGGGAAAAAAGACTACTCAACCATTGAGGAAGTATAAAATTAGAAGGCAATTTAGAAACACATAACAAAAAATAGAAATATACAATCTAAGTCAGCAATCACACTTCAAAAATGCTACTCTCCAGAAGTGCCTGCAAAAGAATACAGAAGCATAGGTGTGACAGGTGAGGCTCACAACAGCATGCCACAGGCAAAGAACTGGAAGAACACGAGTGTGCGTCAGCACGAAGGCAGTCATACTAAGTGGGACAAGGACACCACACAGTAAGGCGCTGTTACCAACAAGAATCCAACGGCTCACGTATCAGTCTGGAAAAAGCACAGACTACTGTACATTAAATGAAAATGATCAAGCTGCAAAAAGAGAGCGTGTAGGACTTGGACTTTTTTTGTTTTTAAACTGGGGATACGGGCTTCCACATAAGAGAATATCTACATAGCTAGGGTATCAGAGCCCAAGTGGAGTGAGGAAGATGCTCATGGTGGGTGGAGGTGCAGGATGACAGCAGCTGAGTGAGATGAGGAGGCAGCGGGCATCCAAGCAGGAAGGTCAACAAGAGGAGCCTCGTTCCATACAGGGTGAATAATCAAGGAAGTAAACATATTAGAGACACTGGGATCTAAGATTGTCACTGTTGGGAAACGGAGTTATCCACTTGGAAAGCGAGAAACTAGAATAAACCCTGTGCTACTACATTGGAAATGGGGGTACTGGAATAAACTCATGCTTTTCAATACATGGAGATATTAAAAAATGAGACTGTGTTAAAAATACACACGCATGTAGCTGTAGGTATGTTTTGTATATGTATGTATACACATACTCTGTTGACTGAGAGGGCCTGGGTATAGTAACACTCCAGCAACCTAGCTGGTGCCTAGACCCTGTTTCTCTGAGAGCCAACTGCCATAAAAGGGAAGCAGGCCTTCTTGAAGAAAAGGCAGAATCCAGGTCTGGGGCAGGGAAGGTACATGAAGAGCCCAGAATATCCTGTGGTACAAGAAAGAAAGAGAAGAGAAGAGAAAGAGACAGAGAATAATGAGGACATATCAGAAGGACACAGACAGTAATCCCAGCACTTTGGGAGGCCAAGGCGGGTGGATCACCTGAGGTCAGGAGTTCAAGACCGGCCAACATGGTGAAACCTTCTCTCTACTAAAAATAAAAAAATTAGCCGGGCGTGGTGGCACACATCTGCAGTCCCAGCTACCGGGGAGGCTGAGGCGGGAGAATCACTTGAACCCAGGAGGCAGAGGTTGCAGTGAGCCGAGAGCTCGCTACTGCACTCCAGGCCTGGACAGAGTGAGACCCTGTCTCAAAAAAAAAAAAAAAAAAAAAAAAAAAAAAAAAAAAAGGGCCAGGCATGGTGGCTCATGCCTGTAATCCTAGCACTTTGGGAGGCAGAAGCAGGAGGCTGCCTGAGCTCAGGAGTTTGAGACCAGCCTGGGCCACGTGGTGAAACCCTGTCTCTACTAAAAATACAGAAAATTAGCTGGGCGTGGTGGCGCGTGCCTGTAATCTCAGCTACTCAGGAGACTGAGGCAGGAGAATCGCTTGAACCCGGGAGGTGGAGTTTGCAGTCAGCCGAGATGGCGCCATTGCACTCCTGCCTGGGCGACAGAGTGAGACTCAGTCTGAAAAAATAATAATAATGAAAAAAATAAATAGATAAATAAATAAAGGACACAGGAGCTTGAGGGGCTCTCAGGGGCAAACCTGAGATGATGAACATCAAATAAAGTCATGGCAAAAGGGTAACAATCAACCGAATTAACTGGGGAAACCATGAGCCAATATTGACATAAATAAGCAAATTGAACTCTGATTAAAGTTGAGATAGTTGAGATAACTGAAAGTTTGATTTTATTTCAAAAGTATCTCCCTACTATATACTTAACAATTACAAAGATTTCACAGTGGAGAAGCTGGAAGGCAGCACCTGAATCAAGCAAGTAAAGTGCACATCACCACTAAGGGGACTAACTGAATTCTGCACCACCTATTAGGATGCAGAGAAGAACCCAGCCTCCTCCTTGTACTGTTCCAGCCAGAGGCGCAAAACCTAGATCTAATCAAAAGGAAACACCAAACAAACCCACAATAAGGGACCCCACAAAATAACTGCTGGTAATCATTAAAAGTGTCAAGCTCAGGCAGAGGAACCATTCCAGTTTGAAAGAGACTAAAGAGATCTGACAATGAACTGTGGTTCTGAACTAGATCCTTTCAGTGGAATGAGAATGCGCTGCCTGATCAGAAGGCGGCAACGCATTCATGTTGATTTCCTGACTTTGATGGCTGTATTGCGGTTAAGGAGGAAGGTGTCTTGTCTATAAGTAAACATACCAAAATATCCCAGGGTGAGGTTCGTAGTCCCAACTTACTCTCAGGTGGTTCAGATAAAGAGCTGTACGGTACCCGTACCTCCTCTGTAAATTCAGGATCGTTTTTTAAAAAAATTAATGGAGGATATGTACTACTACTGTGATTAGAAAAACTAAACACCCTAAGGCCGGGCGCGGTGGCTCACGCCTGTAATCCCAGCACTTTGGGAGGCCGAGGCAGGTGGATCACAAGGTCAGGAGTTCAAGACCAGCCTGACCAATATGGTGAAACCGTCTCTACTAAAAATACAAAAATTAGCCAGGCATGGTGGCGTGCATCTGTAGTACCAGCTACTCGGGAGGCTGAGGCAGGAGAATCACTACTTGAACCCAGGAGGCAGAGGTTGCAGTGAGCCAAGATGGCACCACTGAACTCCAGCCTGGCTCCGTCTCAAAAAAAAAAAAAAAAAAAAAAAAAGAAAGGAAAACTAAACACCCTAATTTGGAAATAAACATCAATATAGGAGAGGGATGGCAGATAACACTGACCATTCCAGTTCAAAGTCAAAACCCAAATTTTGGGCGGGGCGCGGTGGCTCACGCCTGTAATCCCAGCACTCTGGGAGGCCTAGGCAGGTGGATCACGAGGTCAGGAGATCGAGATCATCCTGGCTAACACGGTGAAACCCTATCTCTACTAAAAACACAAAAAATTAGCCGCACATGATGGCGGGCACCCATAGTTCCAGCTACTGGGGAGGCTGAGGCAGGAGAACAGCGTGAACCCAGGAGGCAGAGCTTGCAGTGAGCCGAGATCCCACCACTGCACTCCAGCCTGGGGGACAGAGCGAGATTCCGTCTCAAACAAACAAAAAACAAATTTTGACTATATCTGTTTAATCACGAGTTCAACTACAAAATGAATGCACATTGCACCCAAACTTTATGTAGCAAAGCATATTGTCACGATTCTAAAGTCTGTCACCCAATCATTTTCTCAAACTTCATAAAAGATTTTTTTTTTCTGGTTCACGTTCTTTCATGAGAAAGTAGATTTTTAAACCACCAGAAAGCATCAAGAAAGCCACAGCACAACCTAGATATGCACAGCAGCACATCCCAAACAACTTCGAGGTCCACATGGGGAACTCCCCCCACCCCGCCCAGTTCTTCCTAGTAGAAGGCGGGCGCCCCCCGGTGCTCCATCTGGGCCAGCCACTAGCACTGCTGAGCCCCAGTCGTACACTGCCCTAAAAGACGAACAAGAGGCAAAACTCAGACACTAGGCAAATCGGAGTAACCCACGACATGTAACAGGAACACTGCCCAGCGAGAATTAGGAATATTTAAGCAGGGTGAAAGCAAGTGACTGCATCAATCAGCAAGGGCTTAAGGAAAGTACACACACATGCACACACACACATTTCCACCACTTCAAGACTGGGGGCAGGTAGAGAAGACAAGCATAAGTACATACTGGAATTAAAATACTCTAAGAAGAAGAATCCTAATGCATGCCAAATAAGTTCTAAATATGCTAAACCAGCCTTCAATAAAGCCATATGACCAACTGATAACAACAATCTAAATACTATACAAGGTAACTGGCGCAAGATTTGATGGAGAAAAGACCTTCACATCACCACCTCAGTCCTTCACAGGCCAGGTCCTCCTCTCTCTGAGACAGTAGGGCTGAACCCGGGGACACCCCAGAGCCCTGTAACACGCAGCCAGCAGTCTGCTGAGCTCGTTGTGCAGACGACAAAGGGAACACAGAACTTGGGTCTCAGGGGCTGGCCAGGCAGCTCCAAGCATGAGCAATTAGATCAAAATAGAAGCCTTGTTTCAAAAGAAAAAAATTGTATTCTTCAAAGTGAACTGATTTCATGCACACATACTATTATTATTATTATTATTATTATTATTATTATTATTATTATTTTGAGACGAGTCTCACTCTGTCACCCAGGCTGGAGTGCAGTGGTGCCATCTCTGCTCACTGCAAGCTCCGCCTCCTGGGTTCATGCCATTCTCCTGCCTCAGCCTCCCCAGCAGCTGGGACTACAGGCGCCCGCCACCAGGCCCGGCTAATTTTTTTTTTTTTTTTGGTATTTTTAGTAGAGACGGGGCTTCATCGTGTTAGCCAGGATGGTCTCGATCTCCTGACCTCGTGATCTGCCCACCTAGGCCTCCCAAAGTGCTGGGATTACAGGCATGAGCCACTGCACCCGGCCACACACATACTGATTTAAACCAATGCTATAAGACCACCTAATCGTCTACTTATCAGCAAATGTTTAAAAAGTAAATATAATTAAATCAGTAATATCATTTGAAACAGTCAAATGAGCTAGGTATTAATAAAATTAGAAAGCATATCACGTAAGAAGAGTGAAAATTAAGAGTAATATACACATTGCTACAAAATAAAACACATTCGGATGATGCAGTGTATTTCATTTTGTTCACACTAGCCAGCAAATACTGGGGTGAATACTACACACCTGTAATCATCTAATAATATACACTCAGGAGTAAGCAAACTCCAACATAAAGAAGACAAAGCAAAGGAAAAGTGAATTTTAAGGTTCTACTCACACACACTTCAGTCTTCTATTTACAAGCTACAAGACACCAAGCAACATGGTTCTCAACTGTCGAATGGTTACAGCAGACAGGCAGAAAAGATCCCAAAGGGCCATCCTTTCCTTTCGTTTTGTTTTTTTTTTTAATTTTTCAAGAAAAAGATTTAAGGCAAAAAGTTTCCTATTCTAATAAATAAATCAGAAACCATACATCTTATAATATTGAAAAGGAAGCCCTAAGGGGTAAAACTGTTTCTGAGCAAGTCACTTGTTTCAAAACCTCAATTTCAAAAATGGTAAAAGAGGCCGAGGGCCAGGCACAGTGGCTCACACCTGTAATCCCAACACTTTGGGAGGCCGAGGTGGGAGGACTGCTTGAGGTCGGAAGTTCAAGATCAGCTTGGGCAATATAGCAAAACAGAGTGAGACCCCCCACAACTCCCATCTCTACAAAAAAAAAAAAAAAATTTAATTAGCCAGGTACAGTGCCTGTAGTATGCTTCCCAGCTACTCAGGAGGCGGAGGCAAAAGGATCATTTGAGCCCAGGAGTTCGAGACTGCAGTGAGCTATGATAGTGTCACTGTACTCCAACTAGTGACTGAGCAAGACCCTGTGTCAAACAAACAAACTAGAGGCCAGGTTAGGTGGTTCACACCTGTAATCCCAGCACTTTGCACTTTGGGAGGCTGAAGCAGAAGGACTTGAGTCCAGGAGTACAAGACCAGCCTGGGCAACATAGCAAACCTCCATTTTGACAAAAAAAATAAAAATTAGCCAGGCACCCTATAGTCCTAGCTACTCGGCAGAAGCAGGAGGATTACTTGAGCTCAGGAGTTAGAAGCTGCAATGAGTTGTGATCACAGCACTGCACTCCAGCCTGGGCGACAGACTGAGACTCTGTTTCAAAACAAATTGGTAAAAGTGCCAAATAAATGACCCCCTTTAAAAACTATTTCTCCCAATTTTACACTTGTACTGTTGCTTTCTCTTTGCCTCCTTACCTCTATCTGTTCCAATGGATCTGGTCCTTTTGGGATAAGAGCCCTTTTCTCCAGTTTCCCCATTTCCCCTAAGGCTGTCTGTTGTGGCAACCCCTTTAGAAGTGCAGCTCTCTCCAGAGTCTCCACATGTAAATCTCCTACTAGGCCAGGAGCAGTTGCTATGCAGGTAGCTGCTGTCTTGGCACCCACGAGAAAACTGCTTTCTCTCCCCAAGGAACCACACACACTCAGAGGTTTGAAGGATGACCAAGGAGCAGGTGAGCTCAGCCACTGTGTCCTTCTCTGCCTGGCCCGAGGTAAGAGAGTCTTTGCTCACAGTGCCCTACCAATGCCCAACGACTTAACTCTAGCTGCCTGGGCCTAGTGTTGGGCAGGACTAACACGCAGCACAACCACTAAATTCACACCGCAAAAGTTCCCTAGAAGGGCATTTAGAACAGCTTTTGCAGCTGAGATAAGAATACACACTGACTGCACCTGGTTGAAGTTATTTCCCCACTCCAGAAAGAAACAAGCAGCATTTGGTCCAGCCAGCCAAACGAGCTGTGATAAGAAAGTCAGCCTGCACTGTGTTTAGAGGCCGACAGAAGGGCCAGGAAGAGCTGCGTCCTGCTGGTGCAGGGTGCCACTCCAGGAGCCCCAGATGGTGCAGGGTCCTCTCTCACAGGACAGAGCAAGGCCAAGAACATCACTGCTCCAACTCATTTATGCAGTCCCCAGCCCACCCACACCATACAACAGGACGCTGGAAGACTGGACAAAGGAATCATGCCAAGAAAGGTGACATATTACAGAAAACAAGCAACAGGAGAGAGGCAGCACTTAACCTGCTACACAACACAGCTGTATACAAGAACACTTGGCTGCCTCAAGGACAGCAGCGCCCTCAATACTGAGCTTGGTCACAGAAGGCACCTGCTTAGCATCCCTGGATCGCAAGTTTGTTAATCCAAGCACATGCAAGTCTCTGGAGAAAGCTGCTCCACAAAGCCATTCGTCGAGACCACACATTCAACAGTCATCCAAGAATACAAAAGTGACACCTTGAGACCTGGCCTTCAGACTGGATTATTTCTACATGAAGCATATCTCTCAGAGCCTAAAAAGCTGATCTAGATTCTGGCAGCCCGTTATAATTCACCAAAAAGTCAAGAAAGGACAAGTTCAGAATATTACTTCTTTTTTTGGAGACGGAGTCTCACTCTGTGACCCAGAATGGAGTGCAGTGGTGTGACTACAGCTCACTGCAGCCTCGACCTCCTGGGCTCAAACGTGCCTCCCACCTCAGTCTCCTGAGTAGCTGGGACCACAAAGGCACACCACCAGGTCCAGCTAACTTTTTTCTATATTTTGTAGAGATGGGGGTCTCACTTTGTTGCCTAGGCTGGTCTCAAACTCCTAGGCTCCAGTGATCCCCCTGCCTCAGCTTCCCAGAATGCTGGGATTACAAAGTGCATGTGTATGTATTACAGGCATAAGCCACCATGCCCGGCCAGATCATTACCTTTTTAGCAATCAACACTATGCTATCTGTTCATCCCTCAAAATACGTATATGGCACCTGCCATGATCAAGTTACTCTGCTAAGCCATAGGGATCCAAACCAAGTAAAAGCATCACCAATACATTAATAGCACACCAATGGCTTCACGTGTAACCCAGGCTTGGGGTGGAAGCAGTAAAATGAAGAGGGGAGTTAGTCCAAGAGGCTTGTGCATCCATCACATGAATTCAGGGAAGTGGCTATCAGCCTTAGAGCTGGATCCTTGACAGAATGATGGAAACACTAACCCAGCAAGAGTCTAGACTAGAAGCCAATCCCCCGAAGGCAGCCACAGATGGACTTGGTCCCAGTGCTAACAAGCAGCAGGTTACTGCAGAGATAGGCCGTGAGTGCCTAAATGGCTTTAGGGCTGGGACTTTGATTTGTTCACTGTTTTTCCAAAACACATTTACTGAATATGTACTTGGTGAAAAATAAATGCCAATTGAATCAATGAAAGATATTCAAAATCCCAAGAAACACAGGACAACTTTACAGCGTGTATTTCAGCACCGAATACCTATCTTGCTGCAAAGGCCTGGTTGGTCCCACTCCTGAACTAGAAAGTGCTGTGTGGGCAGGATATCCCCTTTGACCCTGAGCTTTAGAGAAGCCCCACAGACACTCAAACGCTGGGTAAATCTGTCAAGATGGAATGTTTAAATGTGTGAACTTCTAAAAGTTAAGGGCCAAGATAACAAAAAGAAGAAATAATTACAGATCTTGATTTCCTGGGCCTGTCTCTTCTCCTATAAAAAGTTGATATTAATGCCTTTTGTGTTACCATGAGCATATACATAGACAGCACTTAACCCGAGCTGGCACACAATAAACCGGTGTGGTGTTTTTTATTACTATTATCATCTGTGAGGACACCAGCACTGTAAGGCAACACAGCCCTAACTAAACGACTCCTGCAAGTGGCTTCACTCTACCAGGCTCTACTTTTTCATTTTTGAGACGGAGTCTCGCTCTGTCTCTCCCAGGCTAGAGTGCAGTGGCGCGATCTTGGCTCACTGCAGCCTCCAACTCCTGGGTTAAAGTTATCTTCCTGTCTCAGCCTGCTGAGTAGCTGCGACTACAGGCATGTGTCACTACACCCGGCTAATTCTGTATTTTTAGTAGAGATGGGGTTTCACCATGTTGGACAGGCTGGTCTCGAACTCCTGACCTCAGGTGATCCACCCGCCTCAGCCTCCCAAAGTGCTGGGATTACAGGCGTGAACCACCGGACCTGGCCAGGCTCTACTCTTTCCAACCAAAAAAACGGGGCCTGTGATGGCTATACCCTAGAGCCCTTTCAAGGACTGACCCTTTACAGCAGGGCTCCTCAACCTCAGCGCTGCTGACATTTTGAGTCGAATACTTCTGTTGCGGGGGCTGCCCTGTGTACCACAGGATGTAAGCATCTCTGGCCACAACCACCAGATGATTGTAGGTCACGACAACCACAAAGGTCTCTGGACACTGCCAGATGTGCCCTGGGTAACAAAAATCACCCTGGTGATAACCACTGCTAGAAATAAATAGCGTGATGACTAGTATATAGGAAGCAATGAATACAAAGTTGTTTATTTGTTTTTTTTTTTTTTTTTGAGATGGAGTCTCGCTCTGTCGCCCAGGCTGGAGTGCAGTGGCGTGATCTCGGCTCACTGCAAAGTTCCGCCTCCCGGGTTCACGCCATTCTCCTGCCTCAGCCTCCCGAGTAGCTGGGACTACAGGCATCCGCCACCATGCTCAACTAATTTTTTGTATTTTTAGTAGAGACGGGGTCTCACCGTGTTAGCCAGGATGGTCTCGATCTCCTGACCTCGTGATCCACCCACCTCAGCCTCCCAAAGTGCTGGGATGACAGGTGTGAGTCACCGCGCCCGGCCAAAAAGTTTTAATAGGTGAGGATTTTTATATCATTCATGGATTCTTAAACGTGATCACAAAATCAGATGTTTTATGAGTGACTACCAGCTCCAAGTGTTATCCTTCCAAACTTGAAAACTGAATTTCTGATAAACTGAGTTACCCAGGTTCTGAGGCATCTGTTTAAAAAAAAAAATGAAAAATGAAAAACCCACTCAGAGATTCAGCTTTTTTTTTTTGAGATGGAGTCTTGTTCTTGTTGCCCTGGCTGGAGTGCAATGGCGTGATCTCGGCTCACTGCAACCTCTGCCTCCCAGGTTCAGGCAATTCTCCTGCCTCAGCCTCCCACAGCTGGGATTACAGGCATGAGCCACCACGCCCGGCTAGTTTTGTATTTTTAGTAGAGACGGGGCTTCTCCATGTTGGTCAGGCCAGTCTCGAACTCCTGACCTCAGGTGATCTGCCCGCCTCAGCCTCCCAAAGTGCTGGGACTACAGGCGTGAGCCACTGCGCCTGGCCTCAGCTTTCTTATTTTTAAAAGAAAGGAGCTGAAATCCTACAGGTCAAAAAGTACCCCAAGTCAGGCTGGGAGCAGTGGCTCATGCCTATTATCACAGCACTTCATTGGGAGGCCGAGGCTGGCAGATCATTTGAGGTCAGGAATTCGAGACCAGCCTGGCCAACACGGCAAAACCCTATCTCTACTATTGTGCATGCCTGTAGTCCCAGCTACTCAGGAGGCTGAGGCAGGAGAATTGCTTGAACCCGGGAGGCGGAAGTTGCAGTGAGCGGAGATCATGCTGTCATACTCCAGCCTGGGTGACAGGGAGAGACTCTGTCTCAATAAATTAAAAAAAAAAAAAAAAGTATCCCAAGTCCCCAAGTCATAAGGCTGATAAGAACAGGTCCAGGGAGTAGCTCTGAACCTATTCAAAAAAAAAAAAAAAACGAGGAAAAGCCCAAAATTGAAGTGAGGTCTCCTGACTCCCAGTACAGTCAAAGACACCATCCTTTCATTTTTGTTTCTTTTTTGGGGGGCGGGGGGGACAGGGGGGCAGTGTCATCCTAACCTGGATAAACATCTCAACTCTTTGTTGAGTCAGGGAGAAATAATCAATATCCTGCCTTCTGTACCTAAGACAGCAAGTACTGCTGCAGGTCTCACAAGGTCTACCTCAAGAACTTCTGAGACTACAACAGAGGGAAAAGGCAAGCCCTAGAGTGGATCTGAAAAACGCTTATTTGAAAGAATTCATCGAGACTGCTCACGCCACTTGCTGACTGTTGACTTTGACATCAGCCACTTCTTACCTCTTCCTGCCCCAGGAGAGACCTGCGGTCATAGCACTGGGGTCTCTGGGATACAGCTAAGCCTCCTGAGAGACTGGAATGGGATGGGTAGGGGCTACACGAATAATGGTTTAATTAACATTGACAGTATTAATAGATTAATACTGCAGTGGGCTTGCTGTAGTGATGGTCTACCAAGGAACTTGATTTTTTAGCTTTAAAAATATTCTAAAAGATAACTCAACAAAACAATGTAAAAACTGGCAACCCCCCCATGAGGCTTTACCAAAAAATATATTCTAAACTGTATCTTCAAAACTGTAATTTTAATTATACTTTAATTATAATTTTAATACATGATTTAAATAAAAATAGGATCTTACATGCATTCTTTCACCATCTGCTACACTTATTTTCATTTGAAAAGACACCATGGCCATCTTTCCGAGTACCAAATACAAATTTACCTCATTTGTTAACAACTACATGTTGAGTGGAGTAAACATACCTTAATAAATCCCCTACTGATAGGACCCTTGAACTAATTTTTTTTTTTTTTTGCGATTATAAACAATGCTGGAAAGAACATCCTCTGCTCACTTGGGCCTCTACCCCCACAGGATAAATTGAATTGGAAATGGAATTATATGATGACAGGCAATGCATTGATAGATATTGCCAAGGTAAAACTGCCCACCTCCCAAAGAGTTTAACTAGTTACACTCACAACACCTGATTACAGAATACCTGTCCTCTTCTCCTTTGAGGACAACTAAAATGATCATGTTTATTCTTTTTTCCAGCCTGATGTGCGGGAAATACGATTTTAATGGCAACTCTGATCATCAGTGAGACAGCAATCTTGTTGAGCTTATTGACCTTTTGAATTTCTGTACTGTGAAGATCAAACTAATCACAACCAATCCGTCGTCCACCTTTCTACCAGTGTTTCAGCAACGCTTGTGAGACAAAGCAAAATCCACATCTGGGCAACAGAGCAGTAGGAATGAACAGAAAGAATTATAAATTTAAGTGAAACTCAAGTTGTATGCCAAAAATAACATTCCTAAAGGGCACCCAGGCAAAAGTGATGAGAAAATACTATTAAAAAGGACATCTTTTGCCTCAATTAGTCACACAGTAGACAACGTAAGCTGATGACCTGAGACACCTCAGCCTGCCAAAGTTCCGTTTCATTCACAAACATTAACCTACTCTGCTTTAAGAGAAGGGCTCCCCCAAAAGGTAATTGTGCTTGCAGAAAAGCGTCAAAGTGTATACTGTTTTGCGGGGTATGCAGACCTGGGTAGATGGTAGACTGAGGCTGACTGACAAGGCCAGGTTAGGGAAGCAGTGAAGTAGCTGAAGGCACAAACTGGAGCCAAACCACTAACTCTAGCCTTTGCCTCAGGGTCTACCTCGACCTGTGATAACAACAATACTTGCCTCCTACAGGTGACAGGAAAAGTAAGAAATGTCGTGAATGGTGTGGCCCATGGTCACTTCACCACGATCCACCACCAGTACTGGGTCACTCTGCTCCAGCTCTCCAAAGGCATCAAGATCCGACTGCTAGGAGCCCCGGCTTCTTCCCTGACCTGCCCGTCTCCTACACCCTCTGGTCCTGCTCCACACTGGTCTAATAACTGGTGTTCCACATTCCTCTAACGTGCACAACACAGTCCTGCCCCCGTGCTTTTCACCTCCTGTCCATTCCTCTTATAACGCTCTTCCCCAGATCGCTGCCCATGGCTTGTTTGCTCATCTCAAGTTTGAATCAACTGTCGCTCAATCAGCAAGGCCTCCCCACTATGCCAAACTGCCACTGTGTCCCCCACTCCACTCCCCTCGATACTTTATTTTCCTCCTTTCTTCTTGTCCACATTGGACATACTGCATATCTGCTGGTCTGCTGACTGCCTGACACCGCTTACCAAAACGTGACCTCCGTGAAAGTGCAGGAGAACACACTTGCATTTTCCTTACTGTGTCCCACTTCCTGGAACAGTGTCTCCAGCACGAGCCGTTGTCAGATCAATACATTTACACTACTTCGTGAAGCACCACTAAAATGATAGTAAACGATTTTTTCTTTTTTTAAGATACAAATCACGAAAGCAAAGAATAAGAATAGAGATAAGAACATTAAAATACTGGAGGCTAGAAACTGGAAACAGACCTAAAAGGGCTGAATCCTGTATCGGCAATGGGGAAGGCCAACTGGCAATATGACTGGAAGCCAGGAGACCTGAATTAAAAACAGAGTTGGCTGATAGGTTTAAAAGGCACGAAGATCCCTAAGATGCACCCCACAACTCTGCACAGCCACACAGAGCCAACCTGCACAGTCCCTCTCCTATCCTGGCAAAAAGGTATCGCTTTTCTGTCTGCAAAGGGAAGTAGAATCTTTGGACTGGGGACACCAGTTACAGAGGAGGGAAACAATTCTGAAAAGAGGGAAGTAAGCTCTTTTATGGTTACTGCTGTGCTCCCAGGCCTCTCTCCTCACTTGGCCACTCAGCCAGGCAAAGGGCTACAAGATATTTCTCTGGGGAATCTGAAGAAACCCAAAGAAGCTGACAAGGGTGCTGTAAGGAAATGGCCCAGCCAGGTGCCTCTGCAGTGAAAGCCACAGTCAGCCACAGACACAGGCTCAGAGGCCCTCTGACTCACGAGCAGGCACAAGAACATCACTGCATAGCCCAGAAAAGGCTGACAAAAGCCAAAAACCCACAACAAACCAGAGCAGCCTCAATAGTGACTTAAGGAAAAAGAAAACAGGGAAAAATAAAACCTCATCAATATCTTCCAACAGTTAACAGGAGATACCACATTCATGAAACAAAAAATAGGTTATAAAATAGGAATAGAGGGAACAAGAAAAAGCTCTTAGAAATGAGAAAAACCTTGGTAGAAGGGCTGGAAGACAAACTTGAGAATAACTTCCAGAAAGAAAATGAAAAACCAAAGGGTACAAAACATCAATTAGACAGGAGGAATGTGGTTTTCTTTTATGAGATATATTGTACAGCACGGTGAATATAGTAAATAATAATGTCGATTTCAAAAGTGCTGACAGTAATCTCATATGCTTTCACCACAAAAAACTTAAAGTATTTGAAGTGATGAATTATGTTAACTTGATTTTATTATTTATTGTATCCATAAATCGTAACATCACTTTGTACCCCCTAAATATGTACAAGTATAATTTGTCAATTTACAATTTAAAAGATAAAAACAAAAACAAAAATTTTAGAGGGGGGAAAAAGAAACCTTAAGAAAATTATGAGTGCCAATCCAGAAAGTCCAAGAGTAGAATTCTAGAGAGAGAGAGAGAAAGCAAATAGGAAGAAATCAAAGCAATAAATCAAAAAAATGCCCAGCGTTGAAGAACATGAGTTGCAAATAAACAGGACCAAAGAGTAGGCAAGACGATGGATGAAAACAGTCTCCAAGGGACATCACTGTTCTGGGAGTTCTGAATTTCACAGAAAGAAAAGCCTCTGAGGCCAGATGCAAAGCCTTCACTCCCAGCACTTCGGGAGTCTGAGGCAGGAGAATCACTTGAGGCCAGGAGTTCAAGATCAGCCTGGGCAACATAGAGAGCTCATGTCTACAAAAAGTTTTTAAAATTATCCAGGTGTGGCGGTGCATGCCTGTAGTCCCAGGTACTTGGGAGGCCGAGGCAGGAGCATCACTCAAGCCCAGGAGATTGCAGCTGCAGTGAGCTATGACAGCGCCACCGCACTACAGCCTGAGCAACAGAGCAAGACGCTGTGTCTCAAAAAAAAACAAAAGAAAGAAAGAAGAAAAAAAAGAAACAAAAACCTTCAGGTTTCATGGAGGAAAACATAGTCACACACAAAGGCTCTAAAAATGTTACGTATCAATAAAAGAGAATCAGAACGGCTTAAGACTTCAACAACACTGGAAACTTAGAGACCGCGGAGCAAAATGATGTCCAAATTCCTACTCAGGATAAGAGCAGAACGAGGCACTTTCGTACATACAAATTCTGAAAACTTCATCTGCCATGCACTTCTCAGGCAACTAGTGAAGGATGTGCTCCATCGAAGTGAGACAGTCAAATCAAGAGAATGACATAGGTTCCAGAAAAGTGAGGCTCCAACACAAGAGGGAGTGAGGAGAGTTACAGGAAGATTTCAGGCACAGACAAGCCTGCAGCAGATTGGAGGCGCTGGGAGAGATTTATTCAAGATAAAATGATAGGAATACTAATTTTCTTCAAAAGAAAACGGACAATTTCTTGAAAGATTTAGATAATTGCTTCAGAATTTGGGGTTGAATTGTAGTGACAAAATATAGAAAACTGAGCAAGCAGCAAGCAAACAAAAACAAATAAGACTTGTAATAACCCAGGAAAACAAAAAGTTATCCAGAAAAGTGAAAACAATCCTATTATACCACTTCGTCCAGCTGTAAATGGCAATATGTAGTCATAATATAAACAATCAATACTGAACTAACCAAATTAAGGATATATCACTTTGGGCAGCCATGGATCCGTTTGCACTGAGAAGGCAGAGGGTGAAAGAAAGCTAGGAACTTCCTACCTATTCTCAGTGTCAAGCGAAGAGACATCACATGAAACAGGGGTAGGAGACACAAATACAGACGTCAAGCAAATATGCTCTTTAGAGTTGGAGGCAAAGATCAAGGAAATCTACTAAGGCTGAAGTAGATACTCTGCAGGGGAGGAAACATGATTAGGGGAAGGATGTTGGCACTTCTTTCTTACAAGCCTTTCTAGGATTATCTGACTCTACAAATGACATGAAGCTGTAACCTTGATTTGAAATAAGATTAATATGAATGCTAATAAAAAGTAGTAAGGGAGAGTATGTAGTCAATGTATTCTTACCAAATTAACAACAAGTATCAACAAGATGACTAACACAACCACATGATGTCCAGACACGTCTCAGAACAAATGTCTAGCTCATCTTCAACGGTATTCGAGGAACTTCAGTGTGCTTGGTAAAACAATAGCCTACTAGGGATTTCACTTCTAAAATGTCTCTGACTTTAGAAATACCAAAAAATAACATGTAACCAAGTTTTAAAATATTATACACATGAAAAAAGGTTCTTTTCATTATTTTCTTGGTTTCCAGATGTTGAACGTTGTGGTGCTTTTACAATTGAAGAGAAAAAGCATTCTGACACATTATACTGGTTGGGGTTCTCTGCTTTTCTACTTGGTCAAAAACCTTTACACGCATTTTGGACTTTGTGTCATCATAACTTGGCAATTGGGAAAGCCGCATGATATGCTTCTTTCAGAACTTGGTTACTTCTTACCAAAAGAGGGAAAAGCTTTCGTATCACCATTTGCCTATGGGATGGATGCACAATGAACGGGCCATACCAAATAAAAATATCACTTTGTACTCCAAAAAGCATGTTCTCTGCTTAAGCCCTTTCTGTAAGTTTCAGCTGGGACGCACTAATGGAGAATCCATATGACCCACGAAGGATCGTAAGATATCCCAGTGGACCCGGCACAATCATCTCAAATTCTGTTCAGGTCAGAGTATCTTAGATAAAACTCACTGAAGGGCATCAAGTCCTTCAGTACACAGTCTGAGCCAAGCCCTCTACCATTTGCCATGGCAAGAGTATACCAAATTCTAAACCTGTTGCTCACGTATGCCACCAACTATAAATGTCAGCCTCCTCTTTCCTAGTCTTCCTGTCCACTCAGCACCACCTGGAAAAACTCTTACTCGTCTTTTAAACCGCAGTTCAAGGACCACATTCTGTAGGAAGACTTTCCAACAGGTAACCACTGCCTATTTCCTATGTCCACACCTTACACATATTTCTATCATTGCACTTATCACACCATAATGTAATTACTCTTCTACAAATAAGTCTCTCACACTAGACCACAAGCTGCCTGAGGAAAAGAAAAGTCTATATCCTCTTTTTTTGTTGGCTTTTTGAGACACAGTCTCACTCTGTCGCCCAGGCTAGAGTGCAGTGCTACAATCTCGGCTCACTGCAACCTCCGCCTCCTGGGTTCAAGCGATTCTCATGCCTCAGCCTCTTGAGCAGCTGGGATTACAGGCGCGCGCCACCATGCCAGGCTAATTTTTGTATTTTTAGTAGAGACAGGGTTTCACCATGTTGGTCAGGCTGGTCTCGAACTCCTGACCTCAAGTGTCCACCCGCCTCGACCTCCCAAAGTGCTGGGATTACAAGCGTGAGCCACTGCACCTGGTCGAAAAGACTATATCCTCTCAACCTTTGTATCTGCAGAACCCTTAACCCTACACAGCAATTTCCAGCAAATATTTTTTTGAATTGAAATGAAGAAGTGAGGTCATGAGGCTGAAGTCAGACAACTGGAAGGCCAAAACAACAAAACCTGGAAAAATACGTATTTACTCAAGAAGAAATTCTCCCACCAGGCCACTGAGAAGTTAGCTTTGCCCACTGGAGAGGACACTGTAACAGGGATTCAAGTAAGCCTAGTGGCGCTGAGGGACGTGATATAGGTCAACTATATCTTTGAGGTGCTCTCCTTACACTCAATGCACTTTTACCCGAATGACGTTAATTTGACTCCTGATAAGATGAGCTAAGTCCCTTCAACAGTGCTTGGCACCAAGCAAAACTAATAGCAGTAACAGGAAAGTTTAATCCTCATGATGAATTATTTAATGGGGTTTCAAACGCTGTCCCTGAGACTTGAGGCAGTAGGCTCCAGCTCCATTTTCCCCAAGTCTAAAACTTGATAGGTTGATGTTTCAGACTCAGAGATTCGGTAATCCAAATGATGGAAATAATTCTTACCCAAACACCTTTTCAACTATTTTTAAATACTGTTGCCAAGCATCCTAATATCATGTGTACTTAATGAATTTAGCCTAGGGATACTTTTACATGTCAAAAAATCAAAATATAAACCTAAGCACTACGTTTCATCCAGTGTTTCAGCATCCCAGATTTGCTTCCCTAAATGAACATTAAGCTTATTATGCAATGTGCCGCTACCAGGAGCCTTAGACAAAACCCTAATTGTGACTTAACCTATCTTAATAGGGTTTTAAGGAAGTTAGCTGCTAAGAAAGTGACTATCCTTAAGCAGACACCAAATAAATGTGAAGTCATTGATTGAGGGCTTAGGGTATAGGTAGCTATGAATCTGAGGACATAAAACGCAAAACTGAGGGGCAAATCGTCATGTTCCTTAAGATTACGACTCATCCACATTCCTTCAGCCGTTTAATTTCACCATAATAGGCACTGTTTAATAAGCAAAGCCCAAGTCGACTTCCTTCGATTTTACATGGCGTCCAAACACCATGTCAAGTCTGACCCTCTCATTTTTTAAGTCGAATGGAGAGGATATGTAGCAGCTAGCCTTGAGCACCTAACCACTTTTCAAAGGAGCTACGCACAAAAATACCCTAGCAACATGCCACGGTGTCAGAAAGGCTCAGGTTCCCAACACCATGCGGGTCAGCCATTAGGAACTCAGGAAGTGTTTCCTCTAAGCGGGGGAAACCTAGGAAGGCTTCCTGAACGAGGGGTATTTGCGCCAAGCCTTGACGTGAGTCTCGAACAGTTGCAGTGCCTCCAGGCCACGCGGGAGGGAGGAAAGGACACCCCGGGCCGGGGCACAACCCGCGGGCCGGAGCCGCCCGCGCCCATCCCGCTCAGGCCGCAGCCAGGCACGGCACCCTCCCGTCCCCGAGCCACGTCGCTGCTCGTGGGCTCGCGGAGCACTCCCCAGGTCTCACCTCGGGCCCCACACCAGAAGGAGAAAGCTAGGGGCCGCGCCAGCTCCGCCCTCCCCCGCGGGGCGGCGGGCCCCAGCCCGGGCACAGGAAGGCCACGTCCCCGGGGAGGGACGCCCGACTCGATGGTCTGCGCAGGGCCCGTCGGCCCCACGTGACGTGCGCGCAGCCAATCCCAGAGAGGCCCCCCGATCATCGAGACGGCGGCGGTGGTGGGCTAGACGAGTTTCGCGCGGCCGCTCGCCGTCCCCCGCCCAGTCGTACTCGGCGCCCCAGCTCGGTGCTGCCGCCATCTTCTTGGAGGACAGGAGGAGAGGCGAAGGCTCCCCCTCCCCGTGATCGCTCCGCACTCCCGCCACCACCTGCCCTCCCGCGACCGCCTCTCTCCTCCTCAGTGGGCACTTGTCTCCTTCTAACAAACGGCCTTCCCCCCACTCCAGTTACCCACCGCAAGGCGAAGATTCTCATTACCTGTTCCACTCTTATAAGCATAAGAAAACCGAGCTCATAAGGTAGGAACTGTGGCGAAACAGGGACAAGCCGCCATCTTGGTAAAGGAGAAGAGGCTACGCTTGACCTCCCCCCCCACCCCCAGCCTCTATATGGCCAACTGCCGTGGGAGGAGCACGGCGCTTGCGCAGAGGCGGACAACGCGGACGACTCTGGGCTTGCGCACTCGGAAGCCGGCCGCATGGGGGAGGGGAAGAAGGCCAGGTCGCACTGAGCCAGGAAGCAGTTGGCAAAGGGGCGGGGTGACGCGGTGACGCAATCCGCCTGCGCGCTGGGCGGGGCGGGGCGGGCTGGGGCGGGCTGTGAGCGGACCGCGAGCGCTGGGCGGGTCCGCGGCGCGGTCGGTCGGCGCCTGTTCTCGGGCTGTTTGGCGGGTGAGTGTCTCGCCGGTGTACCCCGCACAAGTTGTGGGCCGGCCCTCCCGAGGAGCTGCGGGGGACGCGCCGCTCGTCCCATACTCTCGGGCGGTGGTCGGCTGGCTCTGGGGTGCCGGCGGGGCGGTGTGGGGGAGGGGCGGCCGAGCCCAGGCTCTTCGGCACTTATCGTGGGCTCCCCCGTCCCGGGCGGTCCTAGTGCCGGCGACAGTGGCTCCGACACGGGCAGGCCCGGGCGCGGGAGTGGGGATTCCGGTGACCCCTTGTTGACCCTGCGGGAATTCCTCTGCACTGTCGTCGGTGCTGGGCCTCGGGGCGTCGAGTGCGGTCGAGGTCGGGAGGTTTGGTGCTTGGAGGGAGGATACAGGTTTAGGCCCGACAAACACTTAGAGCTTGTGTGGCCATCTTGTCTTTCTAACGGTGCCATTTCCTCCCTGAGGCGTGGAGGACTGGCCAGCCCCCAAACCTCCAAGCCCATCGGCTGGATGCCGTGGATAAGCGAGGGGAGAGCGACTAGGCCCTGTCTGCGGGTACCTTCGGCGAGGAGAGGCGACGAAGGTCTGCACCAGCGAGGCACGGACAGGCAGCAGGGGGTAGGGTATAGGGTTGGAGGCCGCCGAGTTGGCCCGGGGATGAGGAGCAAACCTGTGGCTTCCGTGGTCTCAGTGGAGTCCCAACTGTGACCTGGCCTACTGGCCCAGACAAACCTGGCTTGCTTTTTTACCTTTTCGGTCTAATTCTTGTCAGTGCCACCAGACCTTGTCCTCTCTCCACGGAAACACACGAACCAACTACACTGAACTTCTTGTAGTTCAAACTTCTGCACCTTTGGCCATTGCCCAAACTCTTAAATCTGGCTACTTCCCACCTTAACTGCCTTCTCCTTACCTAGTCTGTGCTTGTGGGATTCCGCCCAAATTAGATTTCCTCCAGACAGGCTTAGGTGTTTACCTGATGTTCCAGATGGTATTTGTCCAGTGGACTATTGGTGCTGTGAGGGCAGGGCACATGTTGTCACCCATACTCATTGCCTCGGTTGGTGTCTAGCACCTAGTAGGTTCTCAAATACTTTTTGAATCACAGTGCCTGCCGATATATTTAATGTTTCAAAATAGTTCTGCCGTCATAAAGAAAAACATCATGGTGTAGGGGTCATGAAAGCTGATTCTTGATACTTCTGATTTGAGCCTCATTGTTTTCAGTGATTTTTGATAGCTCCCATTAATGGGTTCTTTGCACCACCCAGCATCCTAACTCATGATGTGTACTGTTATGTATAATCTTGGCATTGATCTCATTAGCTATAAAGGTTGTCCTGATTTTTTTTCCTCAACTTCCACCTTGATTTCTCTCACCAGTGCCACAGCCAGGAATAAAGAACAAGAGCGTTTTAATTAGATCAGATTTACATTCTGACTGGCTCTTAAACTAGCAAGGTGACCTAGGGAAAGGGGCCAGGGTTTCCCTCTATCATTCATAAATGTAATTCAGGGCCCCTTTTTATCCCCAATACCAGCATACAGAAACTGCTGTAAAAGAAGAAGTTGTGGGTATTTTTTTTTTTTTTTTTGTCTGGAGGAATGGGGACACCAAAACTCATTTGGCAGCAGAGGTGAGGTAAGGCCATTTGTATTGTCTGTTCTGTTAGTAGTCATACATGCCACTTATCCCTGCCCCAGTCCCTGTTAGGAGTGTTATGTGGGTATACTGAACGTGGACCTTCCCCGAATCCAAAGAATCCAGATGCTTTGAATAAGATCATGGACCTTCCGGGTTCTACATCGCCAGATGTTGTTCATCTTCTATCTTTTGTTTTGCGAAAATTGGTTTTTTATGTGTATTGGGGTTATTCTGTGGAAGAAATAAGCTGTGGGTCAAGATTAAAGAACTTTAAACAACTTCTGGCATGTGGAATAAACACGATCTGAAGGAACAAAATTTTCATTTGACTACATTTTTGGTCCAATTTGCACCCAGTGTTTAAGTTAATCACAGTGCTTGGCAGTTTGTGTTGCTGGATCAAGGCTTTCTCACTGAAAACCATGTGCTTCAGAGGTTCATAATTCCTCTTTCACCTTCCATTTCACATTAGTTAATAAATTATGAGAGAAAACATTGTGGATCCAAGTTATGTTTCAGAAAAAAAAAAACAGGAAAAAAAAAAGATGGCAGGAGAAACTTGGTAAAGTCAAAGCAAAGTTGAAATGTCAGTTTAAGACAAATAGTTTCTCCATTTTCCCATATGTGTGCACAGGGTTCAGTGAGGCTGAGGGGTTCTGTGGAGGTGCGGGAGAGGTGCTCTATGGTATTTCTATGTTGCACTGTGTGGGTTTGAAATCAGATACATGTAATAGGTGATAAGGTAAGTGCCTGCTCTTTTCTATCCTCAGCATTGGCATTTAATCTTTCCATGTGAACTTAAAGCTCATTTTATCCAATCCTTTAAGAAAAAAGCCACACCGTTAGGGATTCCAGTTAGAAATGGACTAAATAACATACTCATTTGGGGAAAATAAAAATGATTTGATTTATGTAGGACCTGTTTTCTAGTTTGGTCCCTACTTGTTTGGATTTTTAAAAATTCTGTTGTAAATGATGTGCCCCCATTTCTATTCCTTGATATTTGTTGCTGGTACTTGACTTACTTGAGATCTTATATTTAGCTACCTTACTAAATTATCGTATTCTAGAATTTTTTTAACCAGAGTATTTGTATTTTCTTTTTTTTTTTTTTTTTGAGACAAAGTCTTGCTCTGTTGCCAGGCTGGAGTGCAGTGGTGCGATCTCAGCTCACTGCACCCTCCACCTCCCGGGTTCAAGTGATTCTGCCTCAGCCTCCTGGGTAGCTGGGATTACAGGCAGGCGCCACCACACCTGGCTAATTTTTGTATTTTTGGTAGAGACGGGGTTTCACCATGTTGGCCAGGATGGTCTCAATCTTTTGACCTCGTGATATGCCCGTCTTGGCCTCCCAAAATGCTGGGATTACAGGCATGAGCTACCGCACCCAGCCGAGTATTTGTATTTTCTGTGTATTCAGTCCAATCAGCAAAAAAGTGTTTTCTTTTGATTTTCTTGTTTCATTATATTCAGTAAACTCACCAAGGTAGTATTAAATAATCATGGTGAAATTGCAATATCTGGATCTTACTTGGATCTTGATTCACATGAAAAAAATGAGAGAATAGAGAATATGAATACTGATTGGATATTTGATTGCATTAAAGAACTAGCTATGTGTAATGGTTTGTCATTTTTAGGAGCCCTTATTTTTAGATATGTGTAGTGGAATATAAATGAAATGTTACATCTCGTATTTGCTTCATAATCATCCAGGCAGTGGCATTGATGATTGTGGAAATAGATGAAACATTATTGACCTTCAGTTGCTAATTGTTGAAGCTGGATAATGGATAGCACATGGGGGTTTTGTTTGCTTTTTGTATAGGTCTTCATGTAAAAGTTTTCATGTAAGTGCTTAAAAATAATTATGGAAGGGCATTCCTGCCGAATTATCGGTTGTAATTTAAATAGATTTAATTTTCTATTGTTTAGAAAACAGTATTTGCCTTTGGTTTTCAGAAATATCCTGAATTAGATTTAAGCAGTTTTCCTTTTTTTCTTTTTTTGAGACAGTCTCACTCTGTCACCCAGGCTGGAGTGCAGCAGCACCATCTCGGCTCACTACAGCCTTCACCTCCTGGGCTCAAGGGATCCTCCCACCTCAGTCTCCCACTTAGCTGGGATTACGGGTGCCCGCCACCACACCCAGCTAATTTTTTTGTATTTTTTGTAGAGACAGTGTTTCACCATGTTGTCCAGACTGGTCTTGAACTCCTGAGCTCAAGCGCTCCTCCTGCCTCAGCTTCCCAAAGTGCTGGTATTACAGGCGTGAGCCACCACACTCTGCCAGCAGTTTTCTTACTGTTTTCATTATGATTGGTTGCTGAATTTCATATGCCTCATCAGCATCTATTAATGCATGATTTTTTTTCCCCTATACTGTGTTGTTGGATTAATATTGGTAGATGCTTTTGATACATTCCTGGAATCTAATTGCTAGCAAATATTGTATTCAGGATTTTTGCATTTATATTTGTGAGTGAGATTGGCCTATGGCGTTCATTCATTCCTTTGTTCCTTTCTTATGTCTCCATCTGGGTTTGTTATTAAAACTGTGCTGTCTTCATAAAACAAATTGTTTTCCCTTTTCTCTGTAGAGGCTTGGAATAGTTAAATGACTTTGGTCTTGTCCAAGGTTAGATGGAGTTCAACTCTAACGTCAAGTCTTGGTCCTTTTCATTGGTATGTCTTTAATCAGCTGCTTAGTGATACTTGTTTTAGTCAGATTTTCCAGTTTTTGGTTCTGTATTGGTAATTTACAGTGCCCATTTTTTCTGCATTTTCAGATTTGGGGCCATTTTGCTACATGTAGTCTTCTCTGTCATTATTTTAGCTACTTTTCTATATTTGCTATTTTTTCCTGAATTGGGCTTGTGAGGAATTTGTTTTAGAAAACCAGCTTTTGCGGCCAAGCACGGTGGCTCAGGCCGGTAATCCCAGCACTTTGGGAAACCAGGGTGGGAGGATCACCTGAGGTCAGGAAGTTTCACCTGGCCAGCATGGTGAGACCCCATCTCTACTAAAAATACTAAAATTAGCTGGGCGTGGTGGCGGGCACCTATAATCTCAGCTATTCCGGAGGCTGAGGCAGGAGAATTGCATGAATCCAGGAGGCAGAGGTTGTAGTGAGCTGAGATCGCGCCAGTGCACTCCAGCCTGGGCAACAAGAGCAAAACTCCATCTCAAAAAACAAAAAGAAAACCAGCTTTTGGATTTGTTTACCCTTCTTTTTCCCCCCCTCATAATTCATTTTTTCTCTTTATTGATTTCCTGTTTTATCTCCTAAGTTTTGCTTTTATCTTCCTTCCATTGCTTTCTAGAGATTGCTTATGGCTTTGCTTTTGTTACCCTCCTTGATCCTGGGGATATCCAGTAATGTAACAAATTACTGGGAGTTACTTTTCATCTTTTTCCACCCAATTTAAGCAGATAATTATTTGAGAACATTGACTGTAAAAATGTTTTTCAAATTTTGTTTAGGCTTTTTTTTATGGTAGATACATGACTTCAAACATTTTTTAAGGTATTGATTCAAATTTCTCTATGTCTGCTAAATCAGATGTATTTGTTGTATTACTCAGTTCTTCTCTGTCCTTGCACATACTGTGTTTACTGAATCTGTCCGGTTCTCAGAGAACTCTATTAAAGTTTCTCACTTGAATTTTTTTTTTTAAGTTTGTATTTTTCCTAGTCCTTGCTTTATGTGTTTATCTACAGTGATTATTTGAATATACAGGCTTATGAATATTACATCTTCCCTATAAATTGTTTCTTTTATCATTATAGCTTGTTATCCCTGTTATTCTGCTTATTTTTACTTTAATTCCCACCTTGGCTGATAGTAGTGTTGTCTCTCCTCCATGTTTGCACTAGCCTGCTATTTTTTACCTTGTCCCTTTATTTTCAGCCTCTCTTTGTTCCTTTTGCTTTAAGCATATACGTTATAGCTGGACGGTTTGTTGTTTTTGTTTTTTTTTTCCCTTGGTTTTTCAGGCCAATCTGTCTTCTCCTTTAAGCAGAGAATTTGGTTATTTCACATTTATACTGATAACTGATATTCTTGAATTTTGTCCCCATTGTCTTGATTTAGGATTACTTCTGATTTTGTTTCTTCTTGTTCCTTTTCCATATTTTTGCTGGTTTGATGAAGTTGCTGTTTCCTCCATATTTTTCTCTTAATTTGGAAGTTCTCATTGTTATTTTCTTTAATGATTACCTTTTTTTTTACTTTCATAATCAGATACTTATCTCTGTATTATTTGAAAACGAGATGCCAACTCCTTCTGCCAAAACTGTCTGTATTACATCTGACCCTTCTCTTTCCCTTTAGGAAGTTCTACTCCTCCACACTCACACTTGCTCTCAATTCTTAGGTTTTGCTGAAATTAAAGGCTCTTGAACCTTACTGCTACTATCCCTTGGTTAACCAAGCCAAATAACACTGGGGATGCAGGGATCTCATTTCTTCCAAAGTAGCTGGGAACATTTCCAGTCAAAAGGGAAACAGAGGACACAGTATTCAGGAAGTTAAGATTTGGGGGAGGGGAATCGAGAGGCAAAGTGAGAGAAGCTTTTTAATAAGTTTCTAAGCTCCAGAGGGAACCAAATTTGACAGCAGTCATCTTTCTTGGGGTTGTTACTGAAGGTTAGCCAACAGACTCCATGCTTTCCAAAGCTTCAGGGTTTCTAAAATTTGTTTAAAAATTCCACATATCTCTGGCTGGGCACAGTGGCTCACACCTGTAATCCCAGCACCTTGGGAGGCTGAGGCGGGCGGGTCATGAGGTCAGGAGATCGAGACCATCCTGGCTAACACAGTGAAACCCCATCTCTACTAAAAATTAAAAAAAAATTAGCCGGGCATGGTGGCGGGCGCCTGTAGTCCCAGCTACTCGGGAGGCTGAGGCAGGAGAAGGGCGTGAACCCAGGAGGTGGAGGTTGCAGTGAGCTGAGATCACCCACTGTACTTCAGCCCGGGAGACAATGCGAGACTCCGTCTCAAAAAAAAAAAAAGAAAAGAGAAAAAAAAATTCCACATATCTTTAAAAATATTGTCACATTTTTCAGACACTCAGATGCCTTCAGTACTATTTCCTTTCCTCATAAATGTAGTTCACATTGCTCTCTGTACCCCAGTGTCAAAATCTAGTTCTCAGGTAGCTCTAGGAAACTCCAGTGGGTGGCAAACATGTTCAAGTTACAGTGCTCTATGTAATGAAGTCCCTTACTCCTTGAAAGGTTTCAAAGAGAGAGGGGAAATGACATAATTCCAGAGGTCAGGGAAGTATGTATCCGTGTGTATCCCATTTGTGTCCCTAGTGTCTAACATATAGTCAGTACTGAAAAAAAATTTGAATATTATTGAAAATATGGAATATGTGCGTACATATATATATACAGTTGCTTTTATCAACTTAAAAATTTTTTTAATTTTTTAATTTTTTGTAGAGATAGGGTTTTGCTATGTTGCCCAGATTGGTGTTGAATTTTTGGCTTCAAGCAGTCCTGCCTCTGCTTCCCAAACTGCTGGGATTACAGGCGTCAGCCACTGCACCCAGCCACCATCTAATTTTTTTTTTTTTTTTAATGGAGTCTCACTCTGTTGCCCAGGTTGGAGTGCAGTGGCATGATCTCGGCTCACTGCAACCTCCGCCTCCCAGGTTCAAGCGATTCTCCTGTCTCAGCCTTCTGAGTAGCTGGGATCACAGGCACGCACCACCACGCCTGGCTGAATCAGTATTTTTAGTAGAGACGGGGTTTCACCATGTTGGCCAGGCTGGTCTTGAACTCCTGACCTCAAGCGCCACCATGCCTGGCTGAATCAGTATTTTTAGTAGAGATGGGGTTTCACCATGTTGGCCAGGCTGGTCTTGAACTCCTGACCTCAAGTGGTCTGCCTACCTCGGCCTCCCAAAGTGCTGGAATTACAGGCGTGAGCATCACGTCTGGCCTAATTTTTTTAATCGAATTTATTTTTGTAATGATAGATGCTTGTCTTATTCCTAGGGAAATATTTGAAGTAATTGAGATGCTGTCACCTAAAATAATCAAAAGGCTCCTGATTCAGTTAAAAGAATTCATTTAAGTACAGAGTGTAAGCGAGCTACACCAAAGAATGGTGATTAGCGCTCCCAGGGTGGGGAAAAATGAGGATTGTTTATATAGGCAAAATGGAGGTGCCAAACAGAATTATAACATTTTCGGAACTAAGGCTCATTTAAAGATACAAATTTGATTGGCTACTATTGATTACACTTGAAGGGATTTGTTTAACTTCCTTTTGTAAAGAAGTAACAGTCATAAGGATCTCTCATCTCCCAGTCATTTAGTCTAGTTTTGAATAAAGAATAGGGGGTCTGGTTAATATATACATCTAAACACAAAAGTCAGAAAGAATAAAAGTAGTGATGTTACACGAGCCAGCTGTCAGTGCTTAACTTTTCCCTTTGGCCTAATGCATTTGGAAGGTCCTGAAATTGTATTTTCTTTTTACATTGCCTATGTATGTGTAAGTCTTCTTCAGGTCAGTTCACGCTGTTAAATATACGTGCGTATACATACATACTATGTATGTGCGTTTATGTGTGTCTGTGTGTTTTTTTTTTAACAGACGAAGCTTCACAAAAGATGTCTAAGGTAAGATCATACTTCATGTATCTACAGCATAAGGAGAAATTGCTTTATGTTTTCAGACTGTTGACAGTCGGGACTTATATGATTCATTATTTTTAATACAACTGATACATTTGATTCATTAACACAAAGAGTTCTAATTTAGTTGTCTTTTTTTTTTTTTTTTTGAGACGGGAGTCTTGTTCTGTCACCAGGCTGGAGTGCAGTGGCATGATCTCAGCTCACTGCAACTTCTGCCTCCCACGTTCAAGCGATTCCCCTGGCTCAGCCTCCGGAGTAGCTGGGACTGCAGACACGTGCCACCACGCTGGCTAATTTTTTGGATTTTAGTAAATTCGGGGTTTCACCGTGTTGGCCAGGATGGCCTTGATCTGTTGACCTCGTGATCCACCCGCTTTGGCCCCCCGAAGTGTTGGGATTACAGGTGTGAGCCACCGTGCCTGGCCTAATTGTCATCTTAAAAGCTTGGAGCTTTCTCTTTTTTCAGGCTTCTACTTTCTTTTCTCTACACACATCAGTAACAGTCCTTTTGGCCCCCTTAGTTCATTCCCAGCAGACCAGATAATTTAGAATTCTGATAATTTATTATGATGAAATTGATGGGGCTCTTAGACTTGATAAATTGGTTTAAATCAGCCTTTGCAAGTTAGTTCAGAGATAAATTAGTGCTAAAGAACATATTCTGAGAAAAGCAGAACTTGTGGTTAACATTGCAAGATTATTATTTCTGTTTTTTTTTTATCTTTGAATCCTGTGGGTGTTCATTACTGTCCAATGCAAAATCATCATACCAGTTTTTGCATTTTATACCAGTGTTAGCATGGAACACAGATAAGCAAAAAAAAAAGTCATTATTTCACCACTCAGGAATAACCACTGTTAATATGTTACATATATTCTTTTTCACCTGTGTGTGCATTTGACTATACATTTACAAAATGTAATCCTAAAGGAAATACTATTTTGTATCTTGCCTTTTTCAATTAATAAATTGATTTTTAAAATTTCTTCTCATTTTCAGTATGCCACTGTCTAGATTCTGGTTACTTCTGCTATTCTTGCCTTCTCATATCTCTGTCCTCTCTCTCATCAGATACCCTTCTGTCAAGGAATATTGATGCTTCAGTGTAGTCATCTATGATCTTCTCATTCTGTCTTTTCTTTCTTGGTCTTTGACACTAGATACTCAACATCCCACCCCTAATTTGCCTGCCTCACCCTTGATGAAACTCTGTTCTATAGAGCTAGAAGCACAGCAAGAGAGATGCTTTTTTCCTCGATACTTTTCAGAAATGCATTGCACCTAATACCTGGGAGAAGCTATTCTTTAGCCAAGTTTGTTGAATGAAACCATTCATTCAAAGTACTGTCAGCTGTAGCAGTACTTTGTAAGCTTGACTGATTTTCCTGGAACTCCATAGTCTCTCAAGTCGAAATTTGAAATTGCATTAAGATGTATTAAGCATGTATCTTCTATGTATTGTTAAATTCCTAAACAGAATACTGATTAACAAAATGTTAATTTTCAGTCGCATACAACTAAGGAGTTATACTAGATAAGTTTTTCTTTTTTTAATGCTCCTAGTTGAATACTACTGGTTTTCTGATAGAAGTATGACCTTCTGGAAGTGTTTATACTTTTTAAAAAATTTGTGAAAACTGATAACCTATGTTTGTTTCATGTCTAACTGATTATATCTTAAAAGCAACTACTAAGGTGTTTATTAGTTTGTTTGTTTTTTAATCTTATTTAGCAACAGCCAACTCAGTTTATAAATCCAGAAACACCTGGCTATGTTGGATTTGCAAACCTCCCCAATCAAGTTCACCGAAAATCAGTGAAAAAAGGTTTTGAGTTCACACTGATGGTGGTCGGTAAGAAATTAATCTATAGTCTCCAACTTACTAAATAAATATCTCCCCTTTCCAATCTCTGGAGTATGATAACGTGACCTATAAAGAAAGAGGAAAATTTGGCAGAGTCAAATAACTTGAGAATTTGAACAAATATATGTGTATTCATTAGAAAATTTTTCTCAGGAGCAAAATTATTTTTCTGTCACTTTCTTATTTATATGTAGTGAAAGTTTACTCATTGTGTCAGCTAGGCTCCAAAATGGCCCCCAGTGATTCTTATCTCCTGGTATTCACAACTTTCTTGTCCCTTCCTGCATTGAATAGGGTTTTACCTGTGTAGCCAGTAGGACATTGTGGAGATGAAAGTGTTGTCATTTTCTAAGACTAGGTCATAAAAGGCATTATGGCCCCCCACCTTGCCTCTTCTCAAATTACTCACTCTGGAGGAAGCCAGCCCTTCCTGCATTGAATAGGGTTTTACCTGTGTAGCCAGTAGGACATTGTGGAGATGAAAGTGTTGTCATTTTCTAAGACTAGGTCATAAAAGGCATTATGGCCCCCCACCTTGCCTCTTCTCAAATTACTCACTCTGGAGGAAGCCAGCTGTCATGTCAAGAGAACACTCAAGCAGCCTTACAGGGAAGCCCACCAAGTAAGGAACCAAGGCCTGCCAATGGCTGTGTAAGTGACCCGTTTCAGAAATATCCTCCAGGCCAGGCATGGCGGCTCACACCTGTAATCTTAGCACTTTGGGAGGCCGAGGCAGGCAGGAGTTGAAGATCAGGCTGGGCAACATGGTGAAACCCTGTCTCTACAGAAAATATGAAAACTAGCCAGGCATGGTGGCATGTACCTGTAGTTCCTCTCACCTGAGTCCAGGAGGTTGAGGCTGCAGTAAGCTGAGATCATGCCACTGCACTCAAGCCTCAAGCCTGGGTGAATGAAACCTTGTCTCAAAAAAAAAAAAAAAAAAAAAAAAAAAATCCAGGCATTTACAGTGTAACATTCACAATGTCTAATGTCTAATAGAAAATTGTGTGGCATCAAAGAAACAAAAACTGTACATAATCAGGAGAAAAAGCAGGCAATAGAAACAGATCCAGAAATGATAGAAATGGATCTCGATGGCAAAGAAGAACTCTATTACTTAAAGGAAAGCATGAATATAATAAGATAAAGGAAAGATACAACAGAAAACCAAGTGGAACTTCTAAAGATTAAGATACAACCGAAATAAGAAATTTTCATGATAAGCCTGACAGCACATTATACACTGCAGGAGAAAAAGCACAGTAGAAGCACAGTAAGGGAAAAGCTGGAAAAAAAAAAGAAATTGAATGTGCCCTCAGTGTCCTTTGGTACATTGTGAACAGTCTAATATATGGATTATATTCACAGAGAAGACAGGAAAGCAAAAAAAAAAAACATGAAAAAATAATGCCTGGGAATTGTGCAATTTTCAGCAAAGTTGTAAATGCACAGATCCAAGAAGCTTGACAAATACCAGGCAAAATAAATATAAAGAAAACTACACCAGGACGCATCATAACACGCTACCAGAAACTACTGATGAGACAACAAGCAGAAGAAATAATAGAGAAAAGCACACCAAAGCCTGTAATAAGCAAATAGACCATAGATAAACAGAAAGGTCTTTAAAAGTAGCCAGATCAGGCCTGGTGTGGTGGCTCATGCCTGTAATCCTAGCACTTTGGGAGGCCAACATGGGTGGATCACTTCAGCCCAGGAGTTCAAGACCAGTTCAAGAGCAACATGGTGAAACCCTGTCTGTACAAAAGATATAAAAATTAGCCAGCCTTGGTGGGGGATGCCGGTAGTCACAGCTACTTGAGAGGCTGAGGCAGGAGGATCACCTCAGCCTGAGACGTCAGGCCTATGGTGAGCTGTCATCGTGCCACTGCGCTCCAGTCTGGGTGACAGAGTGAGACCTTGTCTCAAGAAAAGAAAAAAGTAGCCAGAACAAAGAAATTTATTACATACAGGGGATTGAAGATAAGAGGAGTGACCACTGAATTGTCATTAGGAATAACATAACTGGTCGGGCGTGATGGCTCATGCCTGTAATCCCAGCACTCTGGGAGGCCAGAGCGGGTGGATCATTTGAGGTCAGGAGTTTGAGACCAGCCTGGCCAACATGGCAAAACCCCATCTCTACTAAAAATACAAAAACCTGGGCGTGGTGGTGCATGCCTGTGACCCAGCTACTTGGGAGGCTGAGGCCAGGAGTATCACTTGAACCAGGGAGGCAGAGGTTGCAGTGAGCCAAGATTGCGCCACAGCACTTTAGTCTGGCGACAGAGCAAGACTCCGTCTCAAAAAATAAAATTAAGTAGAAATTGGCTGGGTGTGGTGGCTCATGCCTGTAATCACAGCATCTTGGGAGGCTGAGGTGGGCAGATCACCTGAGGTTGGGAGTTCAAGACCAGCCTGACCAACATGGAGAAATCCTGCCTTTACTAAAAAAAAAAATACTAAATTAGCTGGGCGTGTTGGCACATGCCTGTAATCCCAGCTACTCGGGAGGCTGAGGCCGGAGAATCACTTGAACCTAGGAGGTGGAGGTTGCAGTGAGCCGAGATCCCATCATTGCACTCCAGCCGGGGCAACAAGAGAGAAACTCCATCTCAAAACACGGTGGCTCACGCCTGTAATCCCAGCACTTGAGGAGGCTAGGCGGGTGGATCACCTGAGGTGGCAAGTTCGAGACCAGCCTGACCAACATGGAGAAACCCCATCTCTAGTAAAAATACAAAATTAGCCGGGCATGGTGGTGGAGGCCTGTAATCCTAGCTACTTGGGAGGCTGAGGCAGGAGAATCACTTGAACCCGGGAGGTGGAGGTTGCGGTGAGCCGAGATCGCGCCATTGCACTCCAGCCTGGGCAACAAGAGTGAAACTCCATCTCTCACACACAAAAAAGGTAGAGATTTAAAAATGAGAAAAGGTGTATGTGGCGGGGAGTAGAAGTAATGTAAATCTTTTGTTGTTGTTGTTGTTTTGTTTGTGTGTTTTGTTTTTGAGATGGTTTGAGATGGAGCCTCGCTCTGTTGCCCAGGCTGGAGTGCAGTGGCACGATCTTGGCTCACTGCAAGCTCCACCTCCCGGGTTCACGCCATTCTCCCACCTCAGCCTCCAAGTAGCTAAGATTACAGGCACCCGCCACCACACCTGGCTAATTTTGTTTCTGTATTTTTAGTAGAGACGGGGTTTCACCGTGTTAGCCATGATGGTCTCGATCTCCTGACTTCGTGATCCGCCCGCCTCGGCCTCTCAAAGCGCTAGGATTAATATAAATCTTACACAGACATCTTCATGAAATAGATGAGTAGGAAACACCTACCAGCCTATTTTATTAAGCCAGCATTATCCTATTACAAATGACAAGAAAACTACAGACTAATATATGTTAGAAATGCTTGTTTTTCGGTGCCATAAAGAAATAGTACTTGAACATAAATTCAGTTTCCTCAGCAAGGCCATTTTTACTTTCTACAGAAAGGGTACACTCGCCAGCAGTTTTGTCAAGAGGGTACACCGAACAAAGAGGATCATTTGTAACCTGGGTCATTTATAACCTGATGCGTCTACCTTACTGCTGTGTCTGGTTTCCACTGGCTGGAACGGTACCTCACATTCTGTATTTGTCCTGATTGGCTAGCAACTTAGAACTTCTTAAAAGAGGCAAAGGCAGAGGAGAACAAAGGAAGGAGGAATGTTGAGAAAGGTAAAATCACCTTCAAATAAGGAAGAGCAACAGGCTATGACCTAATGCTTGCTTGGACCAGCATAAGCATGCCAGGGCAAATATTTAGGCTGAATTGTGCGAGCTAAGAACATAAAGTACTTTGATTTCCTCATTACGGCCAGCAGATATTTAAGAATGTTAGCACAGGTCTTTGAATAAATTATGCTTCTAAGAGAAGTTAGTATTATTCCTAATTAGACGGGGAGTAAAGCCTTTAAAGAGGAGCCTCTACTTTTTACATATACACGAGCTAGACATGGACATCTTAATTAAATCTTACCGAGTCCAGCAATATATCTAAATAAAAAGTCAATGCACTGAGTCCTGCTATGATGCAACCCGTGTGTTTCTAAAAAAATCACCATGCCATACAGCATGATGAATAAACACCACAGGGCTTGTGCAGAAAACAGGGACACAATACTCAGAACCTTCATCAGCGACACAATGGGAAAAAAGATAGGAACGTAAGAATTATACCAGTCCACATGTAAATGGTTAAAAAATAATGACTGCACCATAGAAGCCCTGAGGTTGGTTTGTGCAAGTGGACATCAGGAGGGTTGCAGCTTGTGTGCTTTTGTGTAGCTGTGGAGGGAGGGTTTTCTAAAGTTGGAAAGTCATAACACTACGTGTAAATGGGTGTGGCTCATAACAGGCAGTGAAGAAAGATAGCTGATAGATATTTAGGGGTGTGTGTTGGGAATATCCCCAAGTGGTTTGATTCTGTTGGATGCAGAATTAAACACTGTCTTCTGTATTCTCCTAGTTTCTCACCAATGAGATCATATATAATAAGCAAATACGAAATTTGTATTACTCTGCTATTGTTCCGTAATGTATCAATCCCATTGGAACAAATTCTCATTTTCAAATTAGGACTGACTAAACAAATGGAGTTTATCTTAGGAATACATGATGCAACATTCAAAGTCATTGTCATGCAGTGTAGTTATCAAGGAGGAAGATGATGTTAGCTGAAAAACGAATTTGTAAAAATCCAGGACCCACTAAAGATAAGAAATTAGGCTGAGTGCAGTGGCTAACACCTGTAATCCCAGCACTTTGGGAGCCCGAGGCTGGCAGATCACCTGAGGTCAGGAGTTTAAGACCAGCCCCCCCAACATGGTAAAACTTCATCTCTTTAGTACTTTTGTAAAGTACTGAAATTAGCCGGCCGTGATGGTGGGTGCCTGTAATTTCAGCTATGCTGGAGGCTGAGGCGGGAGAATCGCTTGAATCTGGGAGGGGGAGGTTTCAGTGAGCCGAGGTCATGCCACTGCACTCCAGCCTGCATGACAGAGCGAGACTCCGTCTCAAAAAAAACAAAAGAAAAAAATCACAAACAAGAGTATTAATAATTTTAAGACAGTACCACTTAACAGTCACAAAAAATATTGTTCAGAGATAAATTTAACAAAACGTGCAAGACCTATACACTGAAAACTACAAAACAGTGCTGAGAGAAATTAAAATCTAAAGTTGTTAAGATCTGCCCCATTTGTGGATTGGAACTATTATGCCCTTTCTCCCCCAAATTGTCCCATATTTTTTCTGAGACAGTCTTGCTCTGTCATCCAGGCTAGAGTGCAATGGTATGATTTTGGCAACCTCCACCTCCCAGGTTTAAGTGATTCTCGTTTCTCAGCCTCCCCAAGTAGCTGGGACTACAGGCATGCGCCACCACGCCCATCTAATTTTTGTATTTTTAGTAGAAATGGCATTTTGTCATATTGGCCAGGCTGGTGTTAAACTCCTAGCCTGAAGTGATCCACCCTTCTCAGCCTCCCAAAGTACAAGGATTACTACTGGCATGAGCCACAGCGTCCAGCTCCAACTTTCAGAAATAAAAATTAACAAGCTGATTCGGAAGTTTAAATGTAAATGTAGAGGGCCTAGAACAGACAAAAACAGTTTAGAAAAAGAGCAGAGTTGGAGGATTACAGTCCCTGATTTCAAGACTTAACAGCAGTAATCAAGACAGTGTGGTAAGGGTAGATACACAGATCTACTAAACAGAGCAACAGCCAAGAAGTAGACCCATCAATATAATAAGTTCAATTGTTTTTTTGGTTTCGTTTTTTGAGAAAAAAGCCAAGTTGATTCAGTGGGGGCAAGTTTAGTCTTTTTACAGTCTGTAACAACTAGATGATTATGTGTGAAAAAATGAACTTCAACTCCTGCTTCACACTGTATATCACAACCTGAAATTATAGTAGATTTAAATGTAAAGCTATAAAAACTACAAGAAAATGGGCAAAAAAATTTTTATGACTTTGTAGTAAGCAGATTTCTTAAGACATGAAGAATAGAAATTATAAAAACAATTGTGCATTATTAAAAGTTTGCCTTCTTGAAAAGACATCAATAGGAAAATAAAACGTGAGGAACTCAGAAAGTATTCATAGTACCATATCTGACAAAGGATATGTGTCCAGAATATATAAAAATATTGCACAGATCAGTAAGACGAATGACCCACTTACAAAGAGGGGGCAAAAGATCTGAATAGACATTTCACTAAGGAAGATAAACAAATAGCCAATAAACCCACATAAAGGTGTCCACATCTTTGGTGGTCAGGGGAATACGCATTGAAACCATGAGATGCCACTACCCAGCCACTAAGAGGCAGGCACTCCAGGTGTCAGCAAGGATGTGAAACAACTGGAACTCTTACTAGTGAGCATGTAAAAATGCCACAACCAGTATGGAAGCCAGTTTGGTACTTCCTTAACAGTTAAGACCCAGCAATACTGCTTGTATGTGTTTACCCACAAGAAATGAAAACATGTCCATAAAGATTTGTATATGAATATTCATAGCTACTTTTCTCAAAATAGCCCCAAACTGGGGACAGCAGAGGTATCTAGAGAGTGGATTAACAAATTGTGGTGTAGCCATACAATGGAATATTGCCAAGCACTACAAAGAAACGAACTACTCGTAGATGCAACAACATGCATCAGTCTCAGAGCTTTGTTGAGCAAAAGCAGCCAGACACAAAACAGGCCATGTTGTATGATGCCATTTAAAAGTTTTAGAATAAGCAAAGCTGATACATAGTGACAAAGTAGATTGGTGTTTGCCTGCGGTGGGGACTGGAGAGGGTAGACTTCACAGTTACACAAAGCAACTCTAGGGTTATGAAAATAATCTTTATCTTGAGTGGAGTTTGATTATCTGAGTATCTACTTTTGTCAAAACTGTACAGTTTAAATGGGTGTATTTTAGTATTTGTAAATCGTGCCTCAAAGTGGCTTTAAAATAAAACAGGTAGGGGGTTGAGGGTGAGTAGTGAAAAGTAAAACTAGAAAGCCACAAGAATCCTCAACTTTTAAATTGTAGTATTAATAGCTCAAGAAAAATGGGTGTATCAGGAAAACCCTAACACACCTAATTAGTAAATGAGAGACTATTGAAGAGGAAAGGCAGTTTTTAAAATTTTGTCAGACTTCTAAAGAAACAGGTAAAGGGGCATTGCACCACCGTTTATTAAAAGGATGACTTAATGGGATAACAGGCATTTAGTCAAATTTTTACACTCATATTTAGGCATGTTCAACACATTGTTTTGTTCTTTTCATGTGTGAAAATTGCAGTTCACTTAAAATGCAGTCCTAATTTTGTATGTCTGCATGTTTCTTTTTGTTTTGTTTTGTTTTTTGAGATGGAGTCTCGCTCAGTCGCCCACGCTGGAGTGCAGTGGTGCGATCTCGGCTCACTGCAAGCTCCGCCTCCCGGGTTCACGCCATTCTCCTGCCTCCCGAGTAGCTGGGACTACAGGCGCCCGCCACCACGCCCGGCTAATTTTTTGTATTTTTAGTAGAGACGGGGTTTCACCATGTTAGCCAGGATGGTCTTGAACTCCTGACCTCATGATCCGCCTGCCTCGGCCTCCCAAAGTGCTGGGATTACAGGCGTGGGCCACCGCGCCCGGCTGTGCGTCTGCACATTGCAAATTCACTTATTTGTTCTTGATTTTCCCAGAATTGTTTTATTCTGTAAGGGACAGGGTCTCACTCTGTCACCTAGGCTGAAGTGCAGTGGCATGATCATAGCCTGCTGTAATCTCTAACTCCTGGGCTCAAGCAATCCTTCTGCCCTAGCCTCCCAAGTAGCTGGGACTCTAGGTACAAGCCACAACACCTGGCTAAGGTTTTGGGGTTTTTTTTACTTTGTTTTGGTTTTTTGGGAGATGGGGGTCTCACTATTTTGCCCAGGCGGGGTCTTGAATTCTTAGCCTCAAGTGATCCTCCAGCCTTGGTCTGCTAAAGTGCTGGGATTATAGGTGTGAGCCACTATGCCCAGCCAGAAATAATTTTTCAAAAGAGATGTGTACTCCTTCCTCATGCTTTGCAGAACTTAACAGAGGGTGGTTTAGGGTACCCAGAGGACAGTCCAGCACCAGTAGTACCAAGATCAGAAGCAGTTCTCCATGCAGAATTGAGACCTAGATGATCATCTGCAATGAAGCAGTGGGATTTGTGCTTCCTTCAAATGTAAAATTTAATTTTTGGTATTTTGCATCTTTTTTGAAGTTAAATTTCAAATATTCAGAATATGTAGTCACAGTAGTTCAAGAGAGATTCTCACCTCATTGAAAGCTTACATGGATATGTGTCACCTGAATTAGTCGTGTGAACTCAACAAAGTGAGCGGGAAAGTTGCCCGACATATGACAGTTGCCAGTGCTGGGAAACGGGGATGGATTTAAAGCAGGAAGAAGACAAGGTGGCAGAAGGGGGAGGTTGCAGAGTGAGGGTGTGCATGTGAGCCCACCAGACCACAGGCCCTGTCCTGCTCACACGTTTCTGCAGCTCGGGAAGCACAAGGGTTGTTGACACTATGGGATAGATATGTTCAGTTTTCTGAAAATGTGGTGAGTTTAGTGACTAGCAGAACTGATAATTGAAAACCTGCTTTGCATTCTATTTGTCAAAAATAAAAACCAACCTCTAAAGTACATTCCTCACATTTGTGAACAGTTATGTTTCTAATTATATGATGTTCAAGTTCTGTAGTCTCATAGACCTGGATTCAAATCTTGGCCCTGCTCTGGATAGTACTCTGACCTTGGGCAAATTAGAGTTTCTTTGAGTACCCTCAAAGATCATACTGCAAACATAGTAGTACTGTAGGTACTAAACACAGAATGATGTTTGTGAGGTACTTAGCCCAGTACCAGGCCTTATGTAAACACTTAACCGATTGAATGGTGTCATATGAATAAGGTCATGACAAGGTTTTTCTTTTTATTTAAAGGTGAATCAGGTCTAGGAAAATCGACTCTCATAAACAGCCTATTCCTAACTGATCTGTACCCAGAAAGAGTCATACCTGGAGCAGCAGGTAAAAACATTCTTATGTTACTGTAAGTGTAATTCTACATGAAAGATGCTGAAGACTGCCTAATTAATATTTTATGTCTTAGCTGTGTGTTTTGTTTGTTCTTGTTCAGCTTTGAACACAAGGAAAACACTTTTATGGGGTAGGTGTGCTGCACCGAGGTCCTTGGATTTGGGTTGTAGACTTTCTTTGACACGTATCCATGGATCCATCCTCTCTTGAGTTTGTCTGTAAAATGTAATAAGTAGTTTCTGCCTATATTAAATATTTGATGGAAGGATTAAGTGAGAATGTTTTACATCAAAAATGCTGTGTAACTAGAAGATTACTAGGATAGATGTTCGAATTCATCTACTGTCAGAAAGTTCCAGCACAGGACACCAGCATCCACAAATGACTGTTGAATGAAATAGGCACACATAGTGAGAGCCTAAGACTTGGGCTGCTGCAAGAATATGTAGCCCTTTCAGAATATTTTTGAATTCAGTTTTTAAATGAATTCGTAAATTGCTTTCTTTTTCCCAGGAACAGAAATTATAATTTTTAACATTTGTGTTTTTAACCTTCCCCAGTAGCACAATAATCTTAGCTTTAACCTTCCCCTTTCTGACTTCTCTGGGATCTTTTTTTCTTAATCCCCATGGTATCTTTGGAGAACCTACCTCTGTAGAGAGGCAGTAGACTCTGAAGTCACCTGTCGTAAGAACGTGAGCTTTCCTCTTCACATGCTGCTTATATTCCCTATTAAGTTTGTTTCTTTTCTAGAAAAAATTGAAAGAACTGTCCAGATTGAGGCTTCAACTGTTGAAATTGAAGAGCGAGGGGTCAAGCTACGCCTGACAGTGGTAGATACCCCTGGCTATGGTGACGCTATCAACTGCAGAGATTGGTATGCTCCCCCATGCCCAGGGATCTGCATTTGTTTACTTAATATACTTCATAAATTTATAGATAGTGTTAATGAGTGATTATTAAGTTTGGGATTGCTGTATATAATAAAACACCTAGACAATTTAAAGCGTGTTAAATGTTGACTTTTTAAATAAGGAATTTTATAGAGAGTAATTTTTTTCTGGTACTCTACTGTAATTTGAGATCGCAAAGCCAGTCATCCATAGACTGCTAGTATAAATGAAACACCTGGATTTGAGCCGTGGTTGGTGACCGAGATACTGTAGTACATCCTTTCTATGTGGAAGGAAGTGAAACCTGTTAGAGAGTGGGTTGAGTCGTAGTGTCTGTAAATGACTGCTCATTGGCATCATTTTCACAAATAAGGAAATGAAGAAGTAGAAGATAGAGCAGTCTGTCACCTGTACCGTGCAAAGAATGCCACTTTTGTTGTACAAACTCCCTCCTGGTTCTATTCCTGTCAACATAAAGCATCAGGTTTCCACCACTAGATGAAAAGGGGAAGGTTCTGTTATCTTTCTCCTACATTTAGGAATTTCTCCCTTCTTACATGTGAAAGTGCTGTACTGTTTCCCAGCTCAGTTAAATGCTGTTTCCCAGCTCAGATAAACCTGTTCTTGACCCATGTTCTCTACCACCCTGTTCCTCTGCCCCTTTTCACAGTCACGTTCCTGAAAAGAATTGGCAGCCCTGGCTGGGTGCGATGGCTCATGCCTGTAATCCCAGCACTTTGGGAGGCTGAGGTGGGCTGATCACAAGGTCAGGAGTTCGAGACCAGCCTGGCCAACATGGTGAAACCCTGTCTCTACTAAAAATACAAAAATTAGCCGGGCGTGGTGGCGTGTGCCTATAATCCCAGCTACTTGGGAGGCTGAGGCAGGAGAATCGCTTGAACCCTGGAAGCAGAGGTTGCAGTGAGCCGAGATCACGCCACTGCACTCCAGCCTGGGCAACAGTGCAAGACTCAGTCTCAAAAAAAAAAAGAACGAATTGGCAGCCCTGTCTACACTGGCCCTCTCTCAGGTGCATCATAACCTATTCCATTCAGGCTTTTGACTCTCAGCACTTAGGGGCAGTTATGCTTGGCATAGTTTCCAAAAACTTCCATTTGCCAAATCTAAAAGTCAGTCTTCTGTTCTCATCTTGAAAATGAATTATTAAATTATGTATATTTGGGCGGAGGCACTTGTTTTCCCTTTGAAGTCAGGGACCCCCTGTTTTATACCCTATGATTATTGTTAATGTTTCTGTTTCTCTCAGTTTTAAGACAATTATCTCCTATATTGATGAGCAATTTGAGAGGTACCTGCATGACGAGAGCGGCTTGAACAGGCGGCACATCATTGATAATAGGGTGCATTGTTGCTTTTACTTTATTTCACCTTTTGGACATGGGTAAGTAATTGTTTATCGTGGAGAAATGCTTTACTACATGGGTTTGTAAGTTTTACCCAAACTGTGTATTTTAATATAAGAATTAAGATAATTTGAGAGAGAAGAGTTTTGTATGTATTTTTTTTAAATAAGTGACAATTCTAAAATTAATTTTAGACTTAAGCCCTTAGATGTGGCGTTTATGAAGGCAATACACAACAAGGTGAATATTGTGCCTGTCATTGCAAAAGCTGACACTCTCACCCTGAAGGAACGGGAGCGGCTGAAGAAAAGGGTGAGTGAGGCTGGCGTCCTGCCCTCCCTCTGGGTGCGACTCGGGGGCATGGGGATGAAGAAAGGAGTGTGTTCCCACGCTCAGTCTGCTCAGGTGTCGGGAGGCAGGGCGGGAGAATTTTTCCTGCATTTTAGTGGTGGTTTTCAAGGAGAACCTGATGGTTACAAATTTTAATTTTTGCCTTCATGAAGGTATCAAATTTCTATTCTTTAAATTCTCCTTATATTTAAAATGCCCTCGATGAGTAGCAGTTGGTTACACACAAGTACCTTCCATGGGAGTTAAATGACTCAAATATAGAAATGTGATCTCTCCATGAAGTTTGTTATTTTACCTAAATTCTTTACTGCAAATGACCCATACAAGGATGTATCTAAGTAGACTGGTTCTCTGTTCTGTTTGGAAACATAGCAGTTGTCAGCCAGCGAAGCGCCTCTCACCCGCCAGCAGCTCCTGTGGTGTCCCAGTTTTAGTGCCTCTTCCGTGTATGTCTGTAAAGCCTCTTTATTGATTCTCTGCTATATATTTTTAAATTGCTTACTTTGTTCTGATTATATGCTCCTTAAGAAAGTCCAAATAGTTTATATATGCTAAACTCTAAAAATACAAATCCCTAACTGAACATACCGGTACGTGCATAAAAATACAAATCCCTAAATGAACATACCGATCTGTGCGTGTAATCACAGTTGCTGGGGCAGGGTAGGGGGATACAGCAGGGGGTTCAGGCAGGAGGATCACTTGAGCCCAGAAGTTGGAGGCCAACCTCAGCAACATAGCAATACGCTGTCTCTAAAAAAATATATATATATATTTTATATATATAATATATAATTAATAAATATATATAATATATATTACATATATATTATATCTATATTATTTATATTACATATGTAATATATATTATATTTATATTATTTATATAATATATTATATATATTATATTATTTATATGTAATATATTTATATTGTTTATATATATTATATTTATATTATTTATATATAATACATATTATATTTATATTATTTATATATAATATATATAATAAATATATAATATATATAAAAATATATATATTTAATATATCTATAATATATATTATATATATTATATATAATATATATAATTGTACATATATTTATTATATATATTATATATATAATATATATTATAAATATAATATATAAATATATTTATAAATATATATAAATATTATATTTATACATTATATTTATATACATATTATATATACATTTTTATATATTATATATATATAAATATAATATACATATATTTTTTAAAATAAAAGAGTTTCTAGGCCGAGTGTGGTGGCTCACGCCTGTAATCCCTGCACTTTGGAAGGCTGAGGCAGGCACATCACCAGAGGTCAGGAGGTCGAGACCAGCCTGGCCAACATGGCAAAACTCCGTCTCTAAAAAATTACAAAAGTTAGCCGGGCGTGGTGGCGGGCATCTGTAGTCCCAGCCACTCAGGAGGCTGAAGCAAAAGAATCGCTTCAACCCAGGAGGCAGAGGTTGTTTGCAGTCCAGCCTGGGTGACAGAGCAAGACTCCGTCTCAAGAAAAAAAAAAAAGAATTTCTGTAATTACCCACAGAAAGAACAACTGTTAAGTATATATCCTTCTAGAACATAGCTTATGTTTTTGGTTTTGCAGAATGAAATCACATAGTAATACTATTCTGCCATTTGATTTTTCTATTTAAAAATATTTGGAAGCATCCTCATATATATACTGTATCCTAATTCTTCCTGGATGCACAGCATTCCACCATATGAATATACTCTAACTTGTCCAGTTTCCTGCTGATGAATATTTGGCTTACTTTTTGTTTTACTCTGGCCCCTTTTCTTCTTTGACCAAATTTACTGTTTCTTTGCCCCTTGCTCGCTGCTTTTGCTAGTGATACCCTCTGCCTGGAACAGTCTTCCCTCAGATACCTGTGTGGGGAACTCCCTCACTGAGCCCAACGCTGCACACAAGATTTCACATCTCCATCCCCTGCTCTGCTGGTAGCACTCCCCCCACACTGCATAAAGTATTTCTCTAGCGTGTTTTTTGGCTTCTCCTGACCCCTGACCCCAGGTCCTGAGATCAGGAATCTGCTTTGTTCACTTATGTATTCCCAGAGTTCCGAATAATGTCTGGCACATAATAGATTTGTTGCATAATTGTTGTAATGAACACTGGTGTACATCTATCTTTTCACAATTGTGTGAGCCAAACGAATTCTTAGGAAATAAGTATACATTTAAATTTTTGAAGGATGACTAAATTTGCTCTAAAGTAAGTTTGTAACAATTTACATTTCCAAAGTGTACTCTTCTCTCCACCCCCTAAAACTGTCCTGGTTATGTTGCCAGTTTTTGTAATGTGTTTCCTGTCTGAGAAATTGTATCTCATTTGAATTTGCCTTTCCTTGATTGCCGATGTGAGTATCTGTGCTGGTGTTGATGCCGGTTGGTGTATTCTCTCAGGTTGCAGGGACTTGGCTCTTGCTTTTTTATTGACTTAACACATATACTTATTTTTAGATGTTGACTATCACGTTGCAGATGATTTCACCTGGTTTGACTTTCATTTTTTCACATTTTTCTTGGTGCTTTTTTCCAAAGCAATTTTTAAGCAGCATGTAGTCATGTTTGGCAGCCTTTTCCTAAATTGTCTCAAGTGCCTGCCAGTTTTTTAGAAAGTATTTGAACCTTTGAAGAACCCCTGGAAGCGTAGACGTTTTTATGCTAATAAATACTTTAGTAATTCCTACTTAAGGGAACTTCACCTTTTGTACTCTGCTATATTAAATTTCTTTGAGGTAGAAATGGGGGTGGTGTCAGGGTTAGAATGCTGTAATTCTAATCTCTAATCCTGTATGCGAAACATTTAGTGCTGGATTACAACATCTGAGATGAATCGAAATACTTCGAGCTTTTATCCCTTCCTTCTTGGGCCTCATTAATCACTTCTCTTCCTCCAGTTTCTCCTTGATGCCTACCAGTTTGTTCATTCTGCCCTATCTACAAGAACCTCTTGCCTCCTGCCAGCCTCTACTAGCTTCTTGCCTTCACCAGCCTTTCTTCTAGTCAGACACTTACTGGTAGCTGTTATCTGCCCTCCCCATGATCCTGTTCACTCAGGCTTCCTGTCATCCACCTGCAATTGCTCTCTCATGGGCTTGGCCAACAGTTCAGTTCTCAGATGTGGGCCCCACCTGTGGGGTTTGTGTGATTGGCAATTCTACTTCTGAAACTTCCCTTCCTTGGCTGCTGAACCACTGTGTTTGCTTTTCTATCTGCTGTTTTTTACCACCTTCCTTCCTGATCCCTGAAGGTCAGTATTCCTTAGTATTATTTTGATCACATTATTTCTGTGGCTTCTGATTTGCCCTTCCAGGTATCTTATTTCTTGTTGTGAACCACATTTACCCACAGGAGTCCTCTTTTGACCACTGATGGACTCCTGTCCTTCCAGCTCCCCTGTCTCTTTAAATGGTCCCACAATTCTTGAAATCATCCAGACTGAGAAATGTGTAAATTATTTTTTACTCATCACTTCTGACTCCTCTGCTCACTTTTAAATAGCTTACTAACTGTTTCCGAACTCTTCTCTCCTCCAAAGTGTAAGCTCCATCTTTATGAGGCCAGCATAGGACAAAAGATGAGGTTAGCATGGATGGATAGTAGACCAGGAAAGGGGCCGTAAGATGAGGACAGGTGAGCAAGTTCATGCTTCTTATTGCTCAGTTTCTCCCAGAGATAAGATGGTTCCTCCCATTTAGGAATAAGGATTTATGAAAAGACTGAAGGTCGAGTTACAGAGTAAAGGATGTAGAGAGGAGGGCCTTTTCTGGAGTTCTGAATTAGTGCAGACATTGTACTAAGACCAAATCTCTGACCATTCAAGGCCCTTTTTAGGTCACATTAAGGCTTTCCATTCTTAAAAACCAGAAAGCAAATCCAGTGCACAGTTTGAGGTCGGGATATTTTCTGCTCACGTTGCTCTTGTTCTCTCTTCCCTGAATGGCTCAGGTACTGAGGTGAGACCAAACAAAACTGTGGCCTGCCTGGTGCCTGTGAGAATGCCCACCATGCAATGAGCATTTGAGTGCTAGGGTTTTAATTGATTGACTGATGAATGCATTCGTATTTCAACTTCAGCCCAGTTCTTTCTCCCCTCAAGCCCCATCCCCCACACTACTGCCTGCTTGATAGGTCCGATTGTGGGATTTCACTGCTGACTGCTGGCTGCCTGTTGAATGAAATACAGATCCCCAGGTCGCTAGCCTGGTGTTGATGGAACTCTCCACTTTGTAATTCCAATTTTTGTTTCCTTATCCAACTGGATGTCTTAGATTCCAACCTTTTGAATTTCTTATTCTCAAAATGCACCCCATGTGTCCTCTCTGTGCCTTTGACGAGGTTTTGTTTTTTTTTCTTTCTTTCTTCCTTTTTTTCCATCTGGGGTACTTCTCCCTTCTCTCTGCTTTTAAGACTCCTGCCTGTTCTCCAGGGTCTTCTCATGCCTGTAGCTTCTCTGTGGCAATTACCCTTCTTGAGGCTGATTGTGGTGTGATTTCCATTTTAGCTGTTGTGCTGGGGCTATCGTTAGTCTTCCTGCTGCTTTGTACATTGAGGGTAGTGGTGCATTATTGCTAATGTTATTTTTATTCTGTACAGAGGATCCTCAAAATTCAAGTATAAATACCTTTCTAGCAGTTTTGTAAATTTTTTTTTTTTTTTTTTTTTTTTGAGACGGAGTCTTGCTCCGTCACCCAGGCTGAAGTGCAGTGGTCTCAGCTCACTGCAAGCTCCGCCTCCCGGGTTCACGCCATTCTCCTGCCTCAGCCTCCCCAGCAGCTGGGACTACAGGCGTCCACTGCCACGCTTAGCTAATTTTTTTGTATTTTTAGTAGAGACAGGGTTTCACCATGTTAGCCAGGATGGTCTCCATCTCCTGACCTTGTGATCCACCTGCCTCGGCGTCCCAAAGTGCTGGGATTACAGACGTGAGCCACCACACCCGGCCGCAGTTTTATAAATTTATTTGACAGTAACTTTCGTCATCAGTTTGATTATTGACATTTGTATGATTTCCAATATATTTCTTACAAGATGAGCTAGAATTGGCTACAATAACATACGCAGTTTGCTAAAATTGATCCTGGTTTTGTCATTCTCTCAGATTCTGGATGAAATTGAAGAACATAACATCAAAATCTATCACTTACCTGATGCAGAATCAGATGAAGATGAAGATTTTAAAGAGCAGACTAGACTTCTCAAGGTAAGAACTGGCTTCAGATCCACAACATAAATAACTCCTGTTTACTGTTGTCCATGTTGAGGTGAGAGAGATTGCCTGGGTATGTTCAGTTACGAGAGTATTTTTGCTTTCAATATATTTTAAGACCTCATGCAGTGGCTCATGCCTATAATCCCAGCACTTTGAGAGGCCAAGGCAGATGGATCAGTTGAGGCCAGGAGTTCCAGACCATCCTGGCCAACATGGTGAAATCTCATCTCCATCAAAAATACAAAAATTAGGTGGATGTGGTGGTGCACACCTGTAGTCCCAGCCACTCGGGAGGCTAAGGCAGGAGAATCACTTGAACCCAGGAGGCAGAGGTTGCAGTGAGCCGAGATCGCGCCTCTGCACTCTAGCCTGGCGACAGAGCAAGACTCTGTCTCAAAAAAAAAAAAAATTTGATACAGCTATCACCTAAAGCTTAGAAATTTTATTGTAGGTTTAATTTGTTTTCGTACAATTTGTCCCATGTAGAAAGTATCTGACACTTTTCAAGAAAATGTTACATACCCCCAGCTTTCCAATTCAGTTTTGTAGTCAACAGCAATGTGTTAAGTCTGTGCTAATGTTCTCGTGTTGCCAGTGAACTCTGGGGTTCCCTGTGTGGAGCCTGTCTACTCTGTGTGTCTCTTTCTAGGCTAGCATCCCATTCTCTGTGGTTGGATCCAATCAGTTGATTGAAGCCAAAGGAAAGAAGGTCAGAGGCCGCCTCTACCCCTGGGGTGTTGTGGAAGTGGAGAACCCAGAGCACAATGACTTTCTGAAGCTGAGAACCATGCTCATGTAAGACATTTGGTGTGTTCCTTCTGGCAGAATTTGGCGTGAAGAATATGGATTTCAGACGGGGTGTACACTTGGCCCCCAAGATAGTTGCAGCCAGCAGCTTCATTGCCGCCCTCAGTGTTTCTCACATCGCAGAAGTGGTGTGGGGCTGTTGCAGATTGGTGCTGAGAACCCTCACCCAGGGGCCCTCTGTGGCACTACTAAACTAGCGCTTCTGCCTGTGGCCTGTAGCCTGCAGTACCTTTCCTTCTTGCTAAGATCTTACATCTTTGATGTTAAAAGGAGAAAAGGAGACTAGAACCTAAACTGGGGTCTGAGAGGTCCCCAGTGCTGGTAAGGAAACAGTCAGGCTGTATAGGCCCCTGGTCCACTGCTCCAGGCTGAGCCACCCCTGGTGCCCTGCTCACCAGTCTGAGACTCATTGTATGGCCCTGGTTAGCTTTTTGTGTCTTCCATTTATTATTAATAGCAATTACAGACCTGACTACAAAAATAGTCTTCTTTAAAAATGAATTTCATGGCTGGGCGTGGTGGCTCACACCTGTAATCCCAGCACTTTGGGAGGCTGAGGCAGGCAGATCACGAGGTCAGGAGTTCAAGACCAGCCTGACCAACATGGTGAAACCCCATCTGTACTTAAAGTGCAAAAAATAAATTAGCCAAGCGTGGTGGTGCGCACCTGTAATCCCAGCTACTCAGGAGGCTGAGGCAGGAGAATCACTGTTGAACCAGGAGGCAGAGGTTGCAGTGAGCCAAGATTGCACCACTGCACTCCAGCCTGGGCGACAGAGCGAGACTCTGTCTCAAAAAAATAATAAATTAAATAAATAAATTTCACATATTGTAACATGCATACATTGCTTTTACTCTTGAAAAAAGAGGCTGAGGCCGGGTGCGGTGGCTCATGCCTGTACTCCTGGCATTTTGGGAGGCCCAGGCGGGCGGATCACTTGAGGTCAGGAGTTTGAAACCAGCCTGGCTGACATGGTGAAACCAGCCTGGCCGACATGGTGAAACCAGCCTGGCCAACATGGTGAAACCCTGTCTCTACTAAAAATACAAAAAAATTAGCCGAGTGTGGTGGTGGGTGCCGGTATTCTCAGCTACTTGGGAGGCTGAGGCAGGAGAATCGCCTGAACCTGGAGGTGGAGGTTGCAGTGAGCCGGGATTGCGCCACTGCACTCCAGCCTGGGCAACAAGAGCAAGACTTCATCTCAAAAAAAAAAACCAAAAAGAACAGGCTGAGAGTATTGCTTAAACTATACCTCTTTAATCAGAGGACTTCAAAGAATGACTGATGTGGATAAATCAGTGTTTTGATTAGCTGAAAGTCGCTACATATTTGCCGCATGTCTCACTTAGTTTAGCAATTTGTAGTGAGTTAAAATAAGTAAGCATGTTACCATCCAAGCTGTGTCAAACACAATTTAATGGTTGTGTAAGAAGTTAAGCGCACTCAGCCCCTCCAGGGCTGCATCCTTGTGGCTATCCTGATCCCCATTATTGAGGGGGGTGTAGAGGCTGAAGACAGGGTTTGGGGACTTTACTTTAGTGTCAGTTGTGTGTTTCTCACAATGAGGTAGAGTGAGCCACTCCTTGGCTATCTCAATCCATTTCCCTGGATCCTGAATCAATAGGAACGTGTTACAATGTTTGCTCATTCTTGCCTGCTTTTAAGTATTTTGAATAAGCTAGGCAATTAAAAAAAATTTTTTAAGAGTGCTTCATAAGATGAATGGAAGGTTAAGTTGCTGACTAATATTCTTGGATCCAGAATATTAGTCCTTCACTTTATGGTCTTGTACATAGCTTAAGCTAACCAACTCTTTTTTCTCATATGAGAGTAATATATAAATTTTGAGTTATAGGAGGCATGAATATTTTCATTACATTTTCCGTAAGTCCTTTTAGAAGAGTGTCTTCTATTTCAGACATTGTTGACCTGAAAATCTCTTAAAATCTGTCTGCCATCCTGTGGTAGTGATGGCCTCACACAGGGGTGGCAGTGCCTCTAGCAGAAATCCCCCTGAGAGACTCAGTCGAGACCTGTGTTTGTATATCATTTATTGGGGAAGAAAGGGAGAGCTACACCTCACTAGACATTTCCACGGCCATACTCATTATCCTGAAATCCCAGCAGCTTTATGTACAATTTACCAAGTAATTTTAATTACTGCTATTTCTTCTATGTACTTGATGGGTGGTTTTTTTTCTCATGAGAATGTCATGTGCATGATGCCACCTTGGTGCATTCCTCTTCTCTTTCAGCACCCACATGCAGGATCTCCAGGAGGTGACCCAGGACCTTCATTATGAAAACTTCCGTTCTGAGAGACTCAAGAGAGGCGGCAGGTCATCACACTGTGCCCCTTTCTCTGTATTGTGTCACCCTGAGCCACAATGTTCCTCCTCCTCTATGTGTTCAGCTCAGCCTTCTTGACCATTAAGCAACATGGTTTGGTTTCCTACTCAAAAGTTATTATAAAAGAGTTGTTAATTTAATCAAATTATGCTCTTTTAGCCTTTTTAAGAAAAAGTACATTTAATGATATGCACGTAAAAACTTTAGGCCAGGCACGGTGGCTCATGCCTGTAATCCCAGCACCTTGGGAGACCAAGGCAAGGTAGATTGCCTGAGCGCAGGAGTTTTGAGACCATGAGATTACATGGTGAAGTCCCATCTCTACAAAAATTTAAAAAAAAAAAAATTAATTTAGCCGGGCATGGTGGCACACACCTATAATCCCAGCTACTCGGGAGGCTGAGTTGGGAGGAGCAGTTGAGCCTGGGAGGTGCAGTGAGCCATAATTGCACCACTGCACTTTATCCTGGGCAATAAAACAAGACCCTGTCTCAAAAAACAAACAAAAACTTTAGATGGAAAGGCCAGAGGCTTGTGTCGAGTTCTCCTTCAAAAGCATCACTCTGTACGTGAGGACAAACTTGTTGCCATTAGGAAACTGCAGCACCTGAGTTAAGGGTGAGGCCAGGATGAGTGGCATCCAAGCAGCCAGTGGCCGTTGAAGCAGCAGCTTCGATCCTCGCAAAGTCCTGCAGCCATCCTCACTCACCTTTTCTTTTTAACCATTCTAATATGTTTTTATATAAGTTTTCTGGGAGGCCAAGGCAAGTGGATCACTTGAACCCAGTAGTTTGAGACCGGCCCTGGCAACATAGGGAGACCTCGCCTCTATAAAAATTTTTTTTAAATTAGCCAGATGTGGTGGTGCATGCCTGTGGTCCCAGCTACTAGGGGGAGGATTCCTTGAGCCCAGTAGGTCCAGGCTGCAGTGAGCTATGGTCGCACCACCACGCTCCAGACTGGGCAACAGAGTGAGACCCTGTCTCAACAACAAAAGTTTCCTGTGTTGTAATTCATTAAAATTCTCACATTCTAATAATTTGATGGATTTCTAGATACATATGTTGTACACATTGAAGTCTAATTATGAGTTTGGAAATGAGACATTAAGAAAGATTTTAGAGGCAGCAAGAAAATTCCACCCTCTGGAAGCTGAGTAGGCGCTGGCCCTGAGATGGAGATTAGTGTGCTTTGCAGAGCACAGTTCTCAGGTGTGCTTGGGGAGCTTACCCTTTGCCCCTCGTTCACTCACGCAGATCCTGCTCCTTAAATGTGGTGACTACATTCGCATTAATAAAGAATAACATCTCAAAGCAAATTCTTCAGATAATACCTATTTTTGAGTGGGTAACAGCAAGTGTTGTCGCTCAAGCTTAGAGTAAGAAAAGTCTCTTGAATGTTCCATTTCATGTTGTTCGAACTTTTTAAAATCATTCTGTTCCCTTTTTATTCATTATATCTTTAATTAGAAAAATGATAGGCTGGGCGTGGTGGCTCATGCCTGTATTCCCAGCACTTTGGGAGGCCAAGGTGGGCGGATCACTTGAGGTTCAACACCAGCCTGGCCAACGTGGCAAAACCCCATCTCTACTAAACACAAAAAAAATTAGCTGGGCGTGGTAGCACGTGCCTGTAATGCCAGTTACCCAGGAGGCTAAGGTGGGAGAATTGCTTGAACCTAGGAGGTGGAGGTTGCAGTGAGCCAAGATCATGCCACTACACTCCAGCCCGTGCGACAGAGTGAGACACCATCTCAATATAAAAAGAGAAATGATAAATACATGTCATTTTAAATTTTAAAGTAGAATTTTTTGGGGGGGTAGCAAATAACTATTTGTTGCAGTGTTATGATTCTGATTTCTTTCGATTCTTAGGAAAGTGGAGAATGAGGACATGAATAAAGACCAGATCTTGCTGGAAAAAGAAGCTGAGGTAAGTAGGAAAGTACTATTGGTTGGTTGGTTGGTTGGTTGTTTTGTTTGTTTTGAGACAGAGTTTTGCACCATTGCCCAGGCTGGAGTGCAGTGGCGTGATCTCGGCTCACTGCAACCTCTGCCTCCCGGGTTCAAGTGATTCTCCTGCCTCAGCCTCCCGAGTAGCTGGGACTACAGGTGCCCGCCACCATGCCTGGCTAGTTGTTTTTGTATTTTTAGTAGAGACGGGGTTTCATCATGTTGGCCAGGCTGGTCTCGAACTCCTAACCTCAGGTGATCTGCCCACCTTGGCCTCCCAAAGTGCTGGGATTACAGGTGTGAGCCACCGTGCCCAGCCAAAAAGTACTATTCTTGTGACTGAAGGTGTTTTGTTTACATCCGTAGATATCATTGGTAATTAACTTAAAGTTTATAGTTTTTTTTTTAATTTGTTGAGGAGGATACATATAACTACTTTATTACTATATATACACATCTATATATAATAATAAACATGGATATTTACATAGCATACATGATGCTTCATATATTTAGCTGAAAGACTTTGGAGACAATTTAGTAATGTCACTGATATTTGTAAGTAGATCATAAATATGGAAATATGCTCTGTTGTAAAGGTGGCATTCAGATCTGCTGGAGTTTTGGAAGGCAAACACATTATTCAGTAAACAATAGGATCATAATGGGCTAGCCTTTTGGAAACAAAAAGAAAATACTTCTTTGGTCAAATTAATTCAATATTGATCAAATATTTAAATGTTAAAAATAACCACAAAGTCACCTGAAGAAAATTTAAATGTTTTATAATACTTTCCTGGAGGCATTTCTGAACACATACAAATCATAATGATAAGGATAAAGATGAATTAACATTTACTATTTTTGGCCAGGCACTGTGGGTTACACTTATAGTCCCAGCACTTTAGGAGGCCAAGGTGGGAGAATCACTTCATGCCAGGAGTTTAAGACCAGCTAGGGCAACAGAGTGAGACCCCCCTCGTTCTCTAGAAAAAAATTAAAAAATAATTAGCCATGCATGTCGGCATGCACCTGTAGTCCCAGCTACTCGGGAGGCTGAGGCAGAAGGATCCCCTGAGCCCAGGAGTTCAAGGATGCAGTGAGCTATGATTGTGCCACTGCAGTCTAGCCTAGGTGAAAGAGCAAGATCCCATCCCTTTAAAAAAAAAAAAATATATATATATGTATATGTATGTATATATATTATTTTTATTGTGAGGCCTTCATTGCCCTCCAGAAAAGCTGATTCATTCCCATTCCCCTTTACTTTGCATTTCTCACTGTCATCAGTCTCTTTCCCTCCTTTTAGGTTAGAAAACTTCTCATATTGGCCGGGCGCGGTGGCTCACGCTTGTAATCCCAGCACTTTGGGAGGCGGAGGCGGGTGGATCACGAGGTCAGGAGTTTGAGACCAGCCTGACCAATGTGGTGAAACCCCGTCTCTACTGAAAATACAAAAATCAGCTGGGCGTGGTGGTGTGTGCCTGTAATCCCAGCTACTCAGGAGGCTGAGGCAGGAGAATCGCTTGAACCCGGGAGGCGGAGGTAGCAGTGAGCCGAGATTGCGCCACTGCACTCCAGCCTAGGAGACAGAGTGAGACTCTGTCTTAAGAAAATTTATCATATTGTCTTATCTTTCTTTGGTTATTGTTTCTGTTTGGCTTGCATATTCGTATCATTTACTTGATTTTCTCTTTAGCTGTTGCTTTTTTTATTGATTGGTAAAAAGTCTTTATGTAATAACTCCTGTCATATTTTGGGAAGGTGTAGAAGTTGAAATTTTAGGAATCACAGAACACCCAGAAATAATGTTCAAAGACAGCAAACCTTGAAAACCTATAATGTGTGTGTGTGTTCACAGCTCCGCCGCATGCAAGAGATGATTGCAAGGATGCAGGCGCAGATGCAGATGCAGATGCAGGGCGGGGATGGCGATGGCGGGGCTCTCGGGCACCACGTGTAAGGTGATGTGCACATATCAAGAAGTCAGAGGTAGGCCCTGTTGTCCCTTAGCCTGGAAGACAGGCAGTTACTAACATTGTGTCAGCTTAAATATGACAGGTTCCTCCTTAAGCCTCATTAATATTTTGCATTTTGAAGTAACTCCATCACTAATCTTAAACAAGGAGAGATTGCTCCTGAAAAACAGAAGCCACTACTTTGCCACCTACTTTCTAGTAAAGATTTTTCATATTTTTGTCTCTTCTTTTTTTTTTAAATAATTTCAACTTTTATTTTATTGGGGTACATTTGCAGGTTATTTTCTAAGCTTGCAAATACCAACATTAGAAGGAAATTATGTATTAAAGCACTTTTATTAGTTGTATTATTGGAAATTTGTTAATTGTTAAAACATCTCTTTAAAGGGAATAAAAACGTGTTATTAAAACAGCTTGTACAGATTAAAAGTAGAGATGGCACAAGGAAGAAGAATTATGTGAGGTAGATAAGGGTTCCCTGGATGGTGACTGCTGACCTCCTGTTCCTCAGATAGCTTTGTCCCGACTGATGGTCATTAGTGAATAGATCTGTCTGGCATGGTGTATGCTGGTCTGCCTGCTTGAAAAGAATCTGCAGACTCCAGAGACTCAGGACCAGGAAAAGGCAGATGCCCACTCCCCTGTATCTTATGTATCTTATGGACAGGCAGGCTCTCTGAACTGTCCAGGTGGCCACTCCCATCACTTGCCAGAGGAAAAGCATGAAAGGTAAAGTTAAGTAATGACCTAAGAGTCCAAAGAAGAGGGTAGGTCACATGGAGCTGGGGTAAAGGCAAACAAACCTCATACAAGAGATCTGATTAGAGCTTGAAAGAGAGTTTGAGTTGGCCAAGATCTGAGGATGAAACGCTGGGAATTTGGTAGAAGGTCTCTACTACAATTCAGGGACCTCATTCTGGAAGCATGAGTGTGTTCATGAAAACAGGGAGGGGACTTGAGCCTTCAACGACATACGGCAGGGTGGGTTAGGCAGAAGGCAGGGAGTCTTGAGGCCTCCACAGCATGTGGACAGGTGGCTGAGGAAGGACCCAGAGTGACTTGCTGGAGCCTTAGTCACCAAACGCTCTTGCAGCTTAGTGGGAAAGGTGTTCATTGTAAAATACGGTATTTACACAAAATGCACAAAAATACGTATGTACAGTTTAATAAGTTACTGTAAGGAAAACATCCATGTCACCCCCAACTGAGTCCAAGTTGGTTGCTTTAGTTTCATCATCACAGTGACACCTTAGAATAGTCCTGAGGGTATGTGCTTAGTTCACACTTTACTGATGAGGAAATTGTTGCCGCTCCGAGAGTTTAAAAGTATTTGCTGATGGTGCCATGACTTTTAAACGATGGCCTGCTGACTCTAGAGGCTGGTCCTGCATAACCAGTTAATGGCATGTGACTGGGGAAGTGAGGGTACAGTGGAAAGAGACAAGGATGCCTCAGCGATGCAGCTCATTTGAAGCAGGAAGCAGTGACAGGTGTTTGCTTATTTTCTCTGAGCTTCATTTTCAACCTTTATGGAATGAAAATTTTACTTTTAGATCGATAAAATTTTATTTCTGTATACTTTCTAGTTTTGCAGCATTTCCAGTTTCCAGGAGCCTCATGAATGGCTTTTTGGTTTAGTTAACTTTGTGGTCATGTAAGCCCTGCCTTTTGCTCAGTTTATGACCTTTGTTAAGGAGAAAAGTAGAACTGTTAATAATTAACGCAGCAGACATTGCCTCACTCCCACTTAAGTGTGTTTTGTTTTCTTTTTTCTAGAAAACACTTTCCTGGATAAAAAAGAAAACATTCCAGATGCATGATCCAGCTGTGTGTTTTCAATCCTTGGGAGGGTGCCATCCACATTTTAACAGTACCTGTGCCTGAGAATTTAATTTTTAAAAGACTTTGATGTGTTTTTGTATGAAGTACTTTTAACGTATGTATTTCATTGCTGTGTCACACTCTGTGTTTTGTGAGGTGAATGTCTTCCTTTTCTTTCTCCCTAACCACTAATGTTAGAATTGATTTCCAAGAATCGGCATGTATACTTAATACTGAATTTCTTTGATTTAACTGACTTAACAACTGACTAACCATTGATGAGCACTCCTGATTTTTATCTAGAACATTCAGATTTACCATAATGTTCCTTAGTGGTAGAGGTGTGTGCCTAGTGATGTAGAAAGATACACTGACTTGGTGCAAGGCCATCTGCTTACCACATCACACCACTTGGAGATCTTTGCTTCCTTGCTTTTATGTTTGTACACAACACCTAAAACCAGTTTTGCTGCTATAATTCTATACTGTTGATTCGTCTGCGATTTTATCTGTTAACCAAATAAAACATAATAGAATTTCCTAATGAGATATATCTTTATACTTAAACAGCTTTTTTAGAGGTGAGTTTTAAAGAAGTCTCTTAATTCTGATGCTAGGTTGTTTTTAAAACCACTATGCAAAGAACTCACCACAAGCCACCTTTTGTAGTGTTCTCCACTAATACTGGTTATCCTGTGCTACAGAGAAAATCAAAGCAGTCATAAGCTCCAGTTTTCGTATTGCAAATAAGACTCTTACCTACAAAATGAGATTCAGTGAACTAATTTGGTTTTTACTCAACCAAATTAAAAATTTTTTTAAGGAAAATTAGCAGTTGGTCTATTCAGAATCAAACCTTTTTATATTTTATACTGCACTTTAGTGTATTTTCTGTCACTGTAGGTATAGAAGATCTGCCTCCCCTGTGGAAATTGGGGTCTGTTGGTGGGCGTGCCCCTGAAGCCTGGCTTGGGTTGAAAAGTGTTCCCGCCCTAAGGCCTTGGTGCCCTGAACCTCTGATGCCTACCGGGTTCTCCTGATTTGAGTTTCCTTTAAATACTCCCTTTTTGAGTAATTTTCTGATGGGAGGAAAGTAGCAGTCATCATCTTTTTGTGTGCAGGCTGTCTCATTTATTTTTAGCCATTGTCGTTTCATTCATTTTGTGTAATATAAACCGTGTGTCATGTCAAAGTGAAAGACATTTCAAATCTGTAGCATAGGCTAGTGGGCAGGTCCGCACAGTCGAAGCCACACCTGGTCTGTTTTCTGTGCACTGTAGCCTTAGTGTCACCTTTCTTCTTGTGTCTCCTTATGGTACACTCCAGCGGTTGCCTTTTTTATCATTTCTACTGAAGTTGGGAAATTCAACCCCAGAAATTGACAGATGAAAGGAGACAATGGTTGTGTAGGGAGATGGAGAAAATGCTTAATCTGAGGATGAGACAGGGTTTTTTCATTTTTGTGGGGGCTAGAAAAAACATAAAATGAGGCAGTTAAATAATAATAGTTAATGAAGGTGTGCTACAGAAAATAATCTGGTGTTCTTGCTAACTTTGCCCTTCACTGTTGCTTAATTGTGAACAGCCAAAAGCTATATGTTATGGCTTATTGTGTGAAGGTAACTAAGAAGTGGTGTTCCATGACTTCAGAGTACATCCATGCGGAGTCCATTATTTGAGTTTGACATTTAATAACTTTGCTGGAAAATCTGTAAAAAAGAAAAACAAGTTTGCTAGTGACTAAGCCCCGCATATGTGAGTGAAAGTACTTCAGGCACGCTGCCTCCTGGTAACAGCTATGCAGGGAGGGAGGACCCACACTGCTACACTTCTGATCCCCTTTGGTTTTACTACCCAAATCTAAATAGATACTTTTGATAATAGATAACTGCTCTTTTACTAAGACATAGTCTCTACCTATAGAAATGTATTTTGAAAACACTTATTTTACACAGCAATTTTGTATCCATTTAAACTAACCTTTTATCAATAAAGCACTATTGTTTAGATATTAAATGAGTATTTCTCTTGGTTATTTGCAAGGGAAAGTTGTGAGGTTTTCTGGGAAAATTCAAAGTCTTGACAACATCTTTGTATAAAATCAAGAAAAATTACTTGAATCAATAGTGTCAGTACTGGACAAGTTTGTACGTATTGGAGATCCAGCCCAAAAGAAAGCACAAAAGATTGGAAAGGAATTATTTACAGGTGATCAGAACATCTACTTAGAAAGTACAAGACATCTGGTGAAAATTAACACTAAGAAGTCAGTGATATCTATTTTCTAATTAGAAAATGTAGTGAGAAAAGAAATCGCATTGATAATAGCAACTACTAAATTACTGGAAATATAAGTGAATGATTGAAATATATCTAGGAAGAAATTTCTAACCTATAAATTTTCAAGAATAGGCTAAGGCGGCTCTGCCACTTGAGTAAAGGAAACTGGAAACCTGAATTGATCTGGGTGGCTGGACACCTACACTCCAAGGCCTCTAGCCTTCTTCCTGCCCACTGGACTGATCATCCCAGGACCACCTTGGGCCCCTTTTACCTTGCTATCAGTGTTTTCTGAGCTTCCTTATAGACAGACCCCTGGATACTGAAACTTGCTCTCTCTAGTTCCTCAGCTGACAGCTGCCACGCCTGCTGCCTTCCCTCCAGACTGCCAGCCTCAGGTCACCAGCACACACCCTGCATCCTACCAGGGGTCAGTACCACCCTCTGGCCAGGCTCTCACCTGCACTATCCCCACCCGGCCCTGCCCGTCTGCAGGCAGGGATCCTCTGTTCTGGGGTGTGTGCACCACTCTGGGCCTGGTGGTGTCATTGGGGGTTGGTTAAAGGAAAAGCCCCAGAGGTGGGTGGCACATGAGGGGAGCATCCCGCACAGCTGAGCCCAGTCTTGGTGTGCCTGGGTCTCAGACCCCATAGTTGTCTCAGGAGAAATGGAGGTTCCCCTGAGCCAGCATTTCTCCTGTCTGGGCTTCTGGGAAACGAAGGGTCAGGTTTCACTCTGGAATCCACAGCACCATAGGAGGAGTCTCTTAAGTGCCCGGGTGTTTCCTGAAGTTAATTATTCCCTCAACAGCCACATGGTGACAGTGGGTGACAGGGCCGGGCTAGGAGAGCACGATGGGTAGGGTCTTGAAGAACACATAGGAGTTCAATGAACTTCTCAAGAGAAGGGAAGTGTGCCACAGCAAGTCAGTCTTCCATTCTCGGGTGGGGGTCCCTAGGCCAGAGGAAGGCCGTCCTGGCCGCCACCACGGAGCAGCCTGTCTCAGCCTTAGCACAGCCTCGCGCGATCCTTCGATGATCCCCTTCGGTCCCTGTAGTCCCACGAGGGATGCAATGCGTTGGAGGAAGGAGGAGGCTGGCAGCCAGGGACTGAGCCAAAGGGTGCAAGGACAGCCGGCAAGGCCCGGGCCAAGACCTATCCCCGCCCAGCGAGCCAGGCCTCGCCCAGCACCTATCCGCGCCCAGCAAGCCTAGGCCTCGCCCAGCACCTATCCGCGCCCAGCAAGCCTAGGCCTCGCCCAGCACCTATCCGCGCCCAGCGAGCCTAGACCTCGCCCAAGACCTAGCCCCGCCCAGCGAGCCGACTCCCCGCCCAGGACCTAGCCCCGCCCAGCGAGCCGACTCCCCGCCCAGGACCTAGCCCCGCCCAGCGAGCCGACTCCCCGCCCAGGACCTAGCCCCGCCCAGCGAGCCGACTCCCCGCCCAGGACCTAGCCCCGCCCAGCGAGCCGACTCCCCGCCCAGGACCTAGCCCCGCCCAGCGAGCCGACTCCCCGCCCAGGACCTAGCCCCGCCCAGCGAGCCGACTCCCCGCCCAGGACCTAGCCCCGCCCAGCGAGCCGACTCCCCGCCCAGGACCTAGCCCCGCCCAGCGAGCCGACTCCCCGCCCAGGACCTAGCCCCGCCCAGCGAGCCGACTCCCCGCCCAGGACCTAGCCCCACCCAACGAGCCGACTCCCCGCCCAAGATCTAGCCCCGCCCAGCGAGCCTTGGCTTCGCCTAGGACATTGCCTCGCTCAGCAAGCCGACGCCCCGCCCAACGAGCCGAGCGCTGCACAGATTTATATCCTACGCAGCTGCCTGCCTGCTCCCGCCCCTTCTCCGTCCGTTCACCAATCAGAACTCGATCTTGCGCTTTCAGGCCGCGGGACGGGAAGGCTCCGCCCTGGCGCCCCGCAGGCCAATCGACTGCGCGTCCGCGTCGCGGGGGCGGGGTCAGGGCGGGGCGCGCTGCGCGGGGGCTGCCGGCGGGCAGTTGGGAGCAGGCGACGCCGACGCGAGTCTGGCGGCTGCTGCTTGCGACTGCGGAGGCCGGGCGAGGCCGGTGAGGACGCGGCGGGCGAGCGAGAGGCCGAGGGTGAGGACGTGAAGCGGCCTGGGCGCGTGGGGCAGGGGTGGGCCTCTCCGGGTGGGCGGCGAAGCCCGAGGCCCGAGGCGAGAGGCCCAGGCGGGGGGGGCGCTGAGGCCGCGGTCCACCAGAGATGGTCCCGCCCGGCCTCTGAAGGCCATCGTGAGGCGGCTGGAGCTCCTAGGCGGGTCCGGGTTAGAGGAGCGTCCGTCTGTAGGGAGCCTGCCGCGTGGGGGCAGGCGGGGCGGTGGGCCGGGGAGTGGCCCGCGTGGACTCCCGGGTTGAGGGGTGCCGCGTGGAGGAGGCCGGTGGGGCTGTAGACCGGGGAGTGTCCCGCGTGGACTCGCGGGTTGAGTTGTGCCCCGTGGAGGCCGGCAGGGCCGTGGGCCGGGGAGTGTCCCATCCCGGAAGGACACCCCAGAGTGGGCCATAGGGACCCGCAGGGTATGGGCCTGGAGGTGCCTGGTGGAGGCATTTTGAGCCGTTTGCCTTTTTAGCATTTCTTTAAATTGTATCTTAAAGGTGGGAATCAAGTGTTAGGTGTTAATATTTTTACTCCACTAAGGGCTAGAAATACTCATAAGCCAGTGGGTAGCCTTTGGGAAACCCATGAAAACTGGGGACCAGAATATGGCCCAGTACATTACACACCCGAATTACGGGCACCTTTTCCGTTTACGCTATGGCAGCAACCCCTGGCCTATCATGTGCCATTAATGGATGTGAAAAGCAGAAATTAGAACAAGGCATCATTGAAGGAAAGATTGTCAATACATAGTGTTAAAAAGGGATGGGCAAATTTAAAACCCAAGGCCAAATCTTTAAAGGGTGGTTTTTCTCTCTGGGTTTTTGTTTTTGTTTTGTTTCCGTGGGATATTTTTGTCTGGGCCACTGTGTAAATGTTTGATAACCCTGAGGTGGCAGTGGGTTAGCGTGTTGGTCTTGTGTAGACTGCCTTATAACAGGCGACACAGATTTTCTCAGTACCAGAGAGATGGGAGAGGACATTTGAGGTAGGGAAGCATGGAGTAACCTTTACTTGTAGGCCAAATATAATTTAAATTTTCTACATCTGCTTGTTGAAAGTTTTGTTTTGTTTTGTTTTTTGAGGTCCTTAAAGGTTTAGGAAGCACTTCATGCTCGTTATTTATTCAGTTTTCCAAAACTCTTCAGAGACATGACCAAGTTGCACAGCCCCGTTTTAAAGTAGAGGAAAGGGAGGTTGAGAGAGGTGGAATGACCAGTTTAGGGTCACACCTAGGGTACTTGCAAATACCATCTGTACTTCTCATGTGCCCTATCCTTGTTGCAGATTCTCATTAGGTGGTTCACTGTTAACAAACTAAATGCTGATGATGCAGTTTCCTGGACTGCAGACGTTTGCTGGCTTATTTACCTATAGGACTATCAGTCGTTAGTAAATTTCCAGGTTCCTTGTATACTAATTCCTTTCCCAAAGAGGAAGTTGATATAAGGTGTATTCATTTCTCTCTGCCTCAGGTTCCTTATTCAAAAAATGAGTTTAAAATTTACTTGGCCAGGCACAGTGGCTGTAATCCCAGCACTTTGGGAGGCCGAGGCAGGCAGATTGCATGAGCTCAGGGGTTCCAGACCAGCCTGCTCAACAGGGCGAAACCCCATCTCTACTAAAAATACAAAAATTAGCTGGGCTGGTGGCGCACGCCTGTAATCATAGCTACTTGAGAGGCTGAGGCACGAGAATCACTTGAACCCAGGAGGTGGAGGTTGCATTGAGCCAAGATTGTGCCACTGCACTTCATCCTGGGCGACAGAGCGAGACTCTGTCTCAAAAAAATAAAAAAATAAATAAAAAAAGCTGTGTTAACAAGATGCCTGGCACAAGGTAAGTGCTTAATAAATGTTAGCCATTATTATTATCAGGTGGACAAATAATCCGAGTAGAAAGTAGAACAAGCTAACCCTGGATATTTACAAAAAACAGTAGAGAAAAAATTAGGCAATAATTAAGCAAATTTATCCTGTTTAGAGGGAATGGTATGAACTGGATTGCCAAAGCAAAGATCAATGCATGGGCAATTCCATGTGAGCTCATTTAAATCCATTTGGCCCAAAGAATTCAGTTGCTTCCTTCCTTTCCAAACACCCCTGCTTCTAGTCACATCAATACCTCTTCTATATTCGGACAGTAACAGATTTTTCTTACTGCTGCTTGTCCTTTCAGTTTTGTTCTTATTTTTCCTTCACCCACTTTCATATCAGCTTGCCAGCTTCCCCTTTACTCAGTGCGTCATGAGCTTCATAAACACAGCATAGTGCTAGATATACAGGCAAAACCCCATTGTAGTGTTGGATACTGAGCTGAGGTAATTCCGGTCATGTTCTCTGAGATCAGAATATAGAGTCCTTTGACCATAGCGTATTTGTCAATGCCACAGGGAGTTGAAAAGTTGAGGATCCTACAAAGCAATATGATAAAGCCCAGTCTTTGGTGATTTTCTGGGGAGCGTTTAGTTGACAGTGATTCTATAAATTGGTCTAATCTTTTTGGAAAGTAGCAGTATGTGGCAAAGATTTTGATTTTGGAATCACACTTTTCAAAACAATCTGATAAACTTTGTTGTGTCAGTAGGGTAGAGTACTCCATAGCAAGTAAACATGCTTCCACAAGCTGAATCCCATCCTCCCATCCAAGGAAAATTTGAACCATTTTGATCCATGGAAATATGCTTTAAAATGTGACTTAACTGAAAAGTTGAAATGGTGTGTACACAGCAATCATAGTGTTGTAAAAATACATGAGGAGGTGAACAGGATCAGGAGGGTAGTTAGAGTGTTGTAAGTGGTTTTATTTTAAGAGTCATGAATTGTTTTCCCCTAAACTGGTGTTTTAGCTTATTGCCATTTTAAAATTCAAAAACAAAAAGGCCCTATAATGTTGTAGGATGCAGTGATGAATCTTGCTTAATCCCATCTTTCCCCTTCCCCGCCCATCCTCCTGATTGCTTCCCAAAATGAAAATGTGGTCATGTCCTATCCCAGCTGCAAAACCTACTTTGGTATGAGATTCCAACCAGTTGGCCCACTAGAGCTCGCGCAGCACAACCCCAGGCCACCTCCCCACCTCCCCTCGGGTGTCTCAGCCCAACTATACTCATCCTTTCCCAGCTGCTCCTGCAGTTTCTATGTAGTCCTCTGCCTGTGCACACACTATGTCCTTTGTCCACCTGGTCTCCTGTTCCCCTGTGAGGAAAGCTGCTCCAGGTCAGGCTAGCCAGCGGTGCTGCCTCTTTCTTTCTGCTCTCTCTGTGACTGCAGTGGGCAGGTAGTACTGGTTACTTTCTCAGTCGTCTCCCTTTCTGAATTAAACTTCTGTATCTTTGTGTGCTCTGTGCACACCATGCAATCACGATGGGGTTGAGGCCGCTTGTGGAGCTGAGTGACTGCTAACAAATCACTAACCTTTCTGAGCCTGAGTTCCTTGATGCCAGCTGCACATGGTTATTGTGAGGATTAAATGAGATGACATAAGCGAAGGGCTTGACATGCATCTCCTTGCAGTGGTGGTCATACAGGACACGGTAGCTGTTGTAATGTGTACCAGTGCATTTTTGAGGCCTTGTCTTGGACCTTGTCCTCTTGATGAAGCCTCCTCCCTGTCTCCCTCCAGCTGCCAACTTCCTCTCTACCACCCTCACTTTACTCACTCCAAGGCACTTAAATCACCATTTAATATATATTAGGTACTCTCTTCTTTGTATTTGTCCACTATATAGGGGGGAATTTTTCTCTCTTAGGAACTCCTGTATCCCTAAGCATTTAGACTTGCCTGAAACAGAATAGAGCTCAATAAATATTTGAATGAATTAATCAGATTTCTTCTGAGGCAGAGGTAGATGCCAGGTTTTATGGAGCTTGAAGGTATACAATTTGGGGGAAGGGGAGAACTCTTTAAGAGAAAGAATGCAAAGTTACAAATAAAAACTAATTTAGAAAGTGAGGCTGGGAGCGGTGGCTCACGCCTGTAATCATAGCACTTTGGGAGGCCGAGGTGGGTGGATCACGAGGTCAAGAGATGGAGAGGCAGGTGGATCACAAGGTCAAGAGATGAAGACCATCCTGGCTAACACAGTGAAACCCCCCGTCTCTACTAAAAATACAAAAAATGAGCCAAGTGTGGTGGCATGTGCCTGTATTCCCAGCTTCTCAGGAGGCTGAGGCAGGAGAATCACTTGAACCCGAGAGGTGGAGGTTGCAGTGAGCCGTGATCACGCCACTGCACTCCAGCCTGGGTGACAGAGCGAGACTCTGTCTCAAAAAAAAAAAAAAAAAGTGAATATTTAGAATGAGAACGTAACAAATTTGAAAAAGCTGATGAATAATGCAAATGGCTAAATTGAGAAAAATAACGTTTGTTAATTATCTAACACACCTGTGTAATATTTCTTCCTTTGGCTGTGTACTTTTTAATCACATTTTCATATGACAGGATATAGAAAGAACTCAGTGATTCCTCTAGCACAGTAGATAAATTTTTATTGTTGATAGGGTACATAAAACTTATGGTTTCACATAGACGTATTTGCTGTTTCTAGTACTGCTACAGGTTGGTGTCCCAGAAAAACAGGTGTTCAGGTAAATCCTGTTTCGCACAATTCCATTCAAAAAAGAAAAAAAAAAAAAACACACATCTTAGGCACACAGAATTGTACTGCTATATTGATTATTTTTCTGGTAACTGATCTATTCGCTTATATTTTAGCACGTCTGATGGTAAATTCCCCACAAACAAGCAACTGGCTCCCTCCATTTCAAACCATGTTTCCTTTCCACTGCCCACACACTTCCCTGAGTCAGACCCCATTGGACCTATTCACATTGCCACAGGATCCCTGGCCCTTCACCTTTATTTCATAAAAGCCCTGGTGAACCAGCACAGTGGGTGATAGTATTTCTAGAAGGAATACCCGCATTGAGATTGCTGGTAATCACCTAGGTTTGCATAGTAGAAGTAACTGTAAACAGCATAAATGTGTCCTGTTAAACCCAAACTAAGTGTCTTTCTCCAACTTAATGTACCCTTACGTGGATCTCAAAAATGCCAGCAGCACCTCCCAAGCTACCTGACATGAAGGGGAAGAGGAACAGAGGCAGAGTTGCAGTGGGAAAAGGCAGTAGTCTTAATTTATTGCAATTAGAATATTTTGGGGGTAAATTTTACAAAAGTGTATGACCATAGGGACACTCTGCTTAGGGCCTTTCTCGGGACCTTGGAAGGAGTTGGTGCAAGTGAGGGCCCAGAAACCTGAGCCAGACTAGCTCTATAGTCAAACTGCTTTAGTGGGGGTAGTTTCCTGGTCCCTGGCTTGATGCCAGATAACCCAGTAGGGGAATGTGAGGTGAAGGTGCTAAGTGAATCTTCCAGGAGCTAGTGGGAATGTGTTTGTGAAGGAGGAACTACTTTTAGAAATTGTTTAAATTACTAGGCTTTTATAAATTTCTTGTCCCCTTTATTATTATTATTATTTTTATTTTTTATTTATTTATTTTTTTTTAGACAGAGTTTCACTCTGTCACCCAGGCTGGAGTGCAGTGGTGCAATCTTGGCTCACTGCAACCTCCGCCTCCCACATTCAAGCGATTCTCCTGCCTCAGTCTCCCAAGTAGCTGGGATTACAGGCACACGCCACCACGCCCAGCCAATTTTTTTGTATTTTTAGTAGAGACAGGGTTTCGCCATGTTGGCCAGGCTGGTCTCAAACTCCTGACCTCAAGTAAACCACCTGCCTCCGTCTCCCAAAGTGCTGGGATTACAGGTGTGAGCCATCACGCCCGGTCCCCCTTTATGATTAAAATCTCAGTTGCTTTGTTAGTATAGTAGTTAATAAGATGAATGTTGGAAAACAAGTATCAGTATCTGAACAAGAAATGGAACCCAGAGAGTGTTTAAAAATATTAATTTTGGCCAGGCGTGGTGGCTCATGCCTGTAATCCCAGCACTCTGGGAGGCTGAGGTGGGCAGATCATGAGGTCAGGAGATCAAGGTCATCCTGGCTAACATGGTGAAACCCCATCTCACTAAAAACACAAAAAATTAGCCGGGCATGGTGGCGGGCGCCTGTGATCCCAACTACTCGGGAGGCTGAGGCAGGAGAATGGCGTGAACCCAGGAGGCGGAGCTTGCAGTGAGGCGAGATTGCGCCACTGCTCTCCAGCCTGGGTGACAGAGCAAGACTCCATCTCAAAAATATATATATATATTAATTTTTAATTGAACTATTTTTGAAAGAAGAGCAAATACAACTCTAAGGGGAAAGACAGTTATTCCAGCTTTCTCTTGGAAGGTAAGTAATGGCATACTGTAGGTAGCCCCTATCAGTTAAGACTTTTAAAGCTGGTAGTACTTCTGCAGGATTCTGCAGAGAAACCATCTGACTTCAAAGATAATGTATACTCGTCACTGTAGGTGATTTGACAAATACAGAAAATTAGGAAGAAGGAAATAAAAATCAATCCTCTTACCCCTCCCAATGATAACCACTATAAATGTATTTTAAAATGCATGGATGTGGAGCTGTGGTTCTGGGAGGTGGAGGGAGCATACTCCATCTTGCCTCTCCCACTGTCTGTGGCTGTAAGACCTGGACATGTGCATGGAGCAGCTGTTGAGGACTCCGACAAGTAAACGGTAACAGGCGGATGGGAGAGAAGGCCAGAATTTGAAGCACCACTTTGCACCAGTAGTGAGTTTCTTGTCTTCCCTTCAGCATCCCCTGCCCTGGACTCTGGCTGTCCAAAACCTGAAGGCAGGTACCCAGTATGAACAGGGAGAGCTACAGAGTAGTTTTGTAGTTGGGCCCCAAGACAGAAAGTGGGAGAAAGCCATTATTTTTTTCCCTCTTGCTTCCTCTCCTCCACTCAGCCCTGCAGTGGCAGGAGTGTGTGAACACCTAAAACTCTTAGGGAATGGGGAAAACCCCAGTTGCCTTTTTATTCTCTTCCCTCCTGCAGCTCAGTCCCAGGCAAGATGCAGGCACAAGAATAGCATGGCTAAACGGAGTAATTAAAGCCGTAGGTTTCTGGTTGGAGTCTGAAAAGGGGAGCCCAGGTCACTGGAAGGGATACTAGGGAGATTCCAGAGAGGGAATTGCTCAGGAAAGTGACCCCATGAAGTTGTTAGTTAACTTATAGGCTCAACACTGAGCTATGCACGCGTGATGTGAGCCAGAACAGGTTGCCAAAGACGGAACTCGGCTATGGGATAGACCATCGCCTGGAAGGCAGGCTGGCCACCAAGCAAGTAGGGACCGCAGGACATTGCTGAGGAGCACTGCAAAGGCTTTGAAAGTGAAAGTGACACTGATACCATGTTCTACAGAAGGCTGGTCAGGACCTGGGGACTGAATCCAGCCAGGCCAGTGCCTGCTCAACAAAATACCAGCATTCCCCATAGGATTTAAACAAGATCAAGAGTCTCTAAGAGTGTGATGTTAAAAATGTCCAGGATACAATGCAAAATTTACTCAGCATGTGAAGAACCAGGAAAATAACTCGTGAAAAAAGACACAGGCTAAAGCTGAGGTGGTGCCTATGTTGGAATTATCTGATAGACTGTGGTCTGCAGATTTGTGGCCTCCATGAGCTTGACCTCCTAGTGTTTATCCTGGGAGTATGTGACTGATTTGGCAAAAGCACATTGCAGATGTAATGAAGGGTACGAATCAACTAGCCTGGATTCGTTGTCTAGATTATCCAGGTGGGCCTTAGGTAATTATATGAGCCTTTAAAAGCAGGGATCTTCCTCCAGCTGGTAGCAGATGGGGAAGGCAGAGAGACTGGAAGTATAAGAAGTTTTCAACGTAACATTTCTGGCATGGAAGATGGAAGGGGCCATGAGCCAAGGAATGAGAATGACAAACAGCTGACAGCCAGCAAGAACTAAGGACCTCAGTCCTCTACCCACACAGACTTGAATGAGCCTGTAAGTGTATTCTCCCCCAAGGAAATCCACATAAGACCCCAGGTCAGCTGACACCTTGACTTAGACCTTTTGAGACCCTAAGCAGAGAATTCTGGTGAGTTACATTACACTCAAACTTCTAACCCGTAGACACTGTGAGATAATAAAAGGCTGTTATTTTAAGCTGCTAAGTTTGTGGAAATTTGTTAAGGCTACAGTTAAAAAATAAATAAAACTTTATAAAGCCCCTATTATTAAAATAGTCCAAGAAGTAAAGCTACTCTTGAAACAGATGGAAATATAGAAAGTCTTGGCAAGAAAACAGAAGATATAAAGAAGTGGGAATTTTAGTGAAAAATACAATAACTGAAATAAAATGGATGAAAGAGTGAATTCATAATGCATGGATTTACAGTTCTTTAAATCAGTTTTTTGTTTGTTTTTAATCTTTTTAATACTTTTCATTTTTTCTTGACAACTATTCCTTCACAGTCATTTTTAATATATCTTTTCTGCTCTACATCCTGAGAGAAACTTCTCTAGTAATGAACTGTAGAAATAATCCCTGTAAATATAGTCTTATGTTTTTTAGTCTTGAAGAATTTGCACTGTAATCTGTTGGACTGGGAGCCATGCCGGATATTAGTCTCACCCCTGCACAAATCAGGTCTGTGGCCTTGAGCAAGCAGCTTCGTTTTCAAGGCTGTAGTTTCTTATGGAAAGTAGAGACTGGGCCAGGATTTCATAAAGTAGGAGCTTCTCTCTCCCTCTCTCTCAGCTTGAACTCTTGCATGGGTTCCTTGAATCCTTATGTACATCAAAAATTATTGCTAGATTTGTTTTTTGTTTTGACTTGTGGAAAATTCCAAACATTCACAAAAGTAGAGAAAATAATAAATCAAAGCCCATGTATACAGCATCAATAATCAACACATGGACAATCTTTTTTTCCTGTACCCACTTCCACTGATCCCCAACTCGTTGGATTATTTTTAAGTAAATGCTAGATATTATTTCATTTTATCCATAAATGCTTTAGTATCCATCTCTAAGAGAGGGACTTTTTTCCCCTTCATGTACCCACAATACCACTAAAACACTAGAAAATAATATTAACCTCTTAATATCATCTGATGCTTAGTTAGCATTCGTATTTCTCTGATCTGTAAATATTTGATTCAGGATTCAAATGAGGTCCTATATATAGCATTTGATAACATCATACCTTATAGATAACATGTCTTAGTAGTTTTTATTTACACACATACACACACCGTTTCCTTTTTTTGTTGCCATTTACCAAAGAGACAAGGTCATTTCTCCTGTAGGATTTCTTTGTGGTTCTTTTATTCCTTAGGATATATTTTCCTGGTGACGTAGAATGAAGTTACTGGGCTTTGAAGTCACTTGAAGTAATTTTCTTTAGTTTAGCTGATGTCTTGATTTACAGTTAAGACCATTTGTTTCATTTCGTTTGGGTTTTTAGGACTTGCTTTTCTAAAATATTGATTTAATTTTGCTTTCTAATTATGTGAAACCATTTATGAGGTTCCCGTATCAAAACTACTAAACACCGTGTACAGTTTCCAACATTGTTTACCCCTTTCACTTCCTCCCTCATAGGTAACCATTTTCATTAGTTTTTGGTTTATGCTCTTTTTTTTTTTTTAATATAAACAAATACATACCACTTTGGGAGGTTAAAGCAGTGGCATCACTTGAGCCTGAGAGTTCGAGACCAGCCTGGGTAACCTAGTGAGACCTCATCACTACTAAAAAAAAAAAAATATATATATATATATACGTATATATATATATATACACACACACATATATATTTTCTTCCTCTTTTAACAGAGGTTAGCATGCCATGCACCTGGTTTTGCACCTTTTATTCACTTTCACACCAAAGCAGCATATACAGATCTTGCTTTTTTCTGTAAAGATTTTGATGTTAAATTGGATGGCTTCATACCATCCCCCACAGAAGTGTTGAGAATCAGTTATCCAGATTCACTTCAGCTCCTAAAACTTCTGCTTTTCAGTTTGTAGAATTTTGTTTAACATAAAATCAGGATACCAGGTTGTAGAGGATCTAAAATACACTCTAAAGGAAATAATACATCCGTTTAGTGTTCAGGCAATTAAAAAAAATAACCTGGGGAGTAAAAGTAAGATTTTCAAATATTAGTTATGTAGAAAGAAATCTCTTTGGAACAATTAGTCTGTGTACTATGTTGCTGAATTTGTCTGAAAGTGATCTTCCTTTTCTTGCACACATTTAGCCACTGTTGCATTATGCTAAGGTAGGAAGATTGTGATAACATGATTTTATGGGGTATATTTAATTTTTGGCTACCAAACACTATAAATTAGTAGAAATCAAGAACACATTTTCTTTCCATTTGTTCTCACATTGAGCTGCCTTATCACAGAATCATGGATTCTTAGACCTGAAAAATATCTGATTAACCCTTCCCTTCCTCTGTCATTTTCCAGTTGAAAAAGCTGGGGCTGGGAGTGGTGCCGTGACTCAGTTTGTTAATGGCAGAGTTGAAATTGAAACCTGAGTGTGCTGGCCCTGAATTTCCACCATCCCCAGCTGCTGCTGCCTCCTTCCTTGTTCCCCATTAGCACCTGCCTTTTTATTTGGTCTTTTTTAAATCACAGCTTGGTAGATACCTTTCTGTGTCAGTAAGCGCTCTTCCATCAGCAGAGTTCTTGAGTTGTTGACTGCCCTTCCTGGTGTTTGAGGGACAGGGTTGCCCACATATGGATCCTCCTCAGTGGTCAGCTCTGTGCAAGTGACACAGCCATCCTGAAGCGCCTGCTGGAGAAGTGTGTGCAGATGAGTTCTGCAGCACCCTTCTCCCCAAGCTTCTGGGGCCAAGCGTGGTTTCTGTGATGCTGGGGCCACACTGCCTTCAGACAACACTGTAGCAGTGTTGGTGTGTTTTTATGCAGCAGTGTTCTGGGGAGGGTGTGCAAGCCCACCTGCCCAGCCAGCCATTTCTCATTAGCAGTTTGAAGGCCTTACTTTACAGTACAGGTCTTGACATTTTTCTCTGCTTCCTCACATTGACTATTTAGTTCCTTATTCTAAAAGTTACTAATGCTTAGAAAGAGAATAAAGAAGGATCCGTCTCTTGCTGTGCTGCAGTAAAGAGGTAATGCGCCCCAGGGCCGAGGGATTGAGGAGGAATTCCATTTGAACATCATCAGCAGTGAAGTTTCTTCCCAATGCTGCAGTGGACTTTCATATTAGATGAGTGTAGTGAAATATTAAGTTCATATTCTGGTTTCTTGGGTTGGTCGTAGAGGAGTTTAGTTTTTTATTTTCCCAAAGCAGACAGTGAAAAATATTTTAGGAAAGGTGATTTTTTTTAAATTGCAAAATAGAAATGTTAGCCTCTACCCGTTACTGTGGATGGTGGACTATGCTTTTGTCTAAAAAGCCATGTGCTGATTTTCCAGCAGAAGGGGAAGAGTTTTGGTAGCCAAGTCTGGGCCCAAGTCCTAGCTCTGTCACTTCTGAGTTATTTGTTCCTTGGCAGGCCTTTTTTTTTTTAATAGATTTTATTTTTTAGAGCAGTTTTAGGTTAATAGCAAAATTAAGCAGGAGATAAAGAGATTTTCCATATACCCTCCACCCCCACATACACACAGCATCCCCTACTGTCAACATTTGTCACTAGAGTGGTCCATTTGTTACAAACCTACTCAGTACATCATTATCACCCAAAGCTTTGGCAGACTTTTGAGCTGAATTTTCCAACTTTAAAATGGAAATGACATGTCACGGGGTTTTCTTTTATTATTAAATGAGACTATACCCACAAGAGCCGAGTTTGTAGTAGGCAGGACCAAATGTCAGTAGTGCAAATTGTATCGGCCACCAGAAATGTTTTTAGGAATGAAGACTGCAAAGCATTTCATTCACGTTGAAAGAAGATGGCACAATAAGCTGAGTCCCCCACAGATTCTTGGTTGTTTACTTTGCCACTTTCCTCTGGGTATCTGGGAGGTTTCGCTGGCAGGAGCAGGGATGGGCAGAGGTTGGCACCAGGTTCCTGGGACCACAGAACATGGTGCGCCAAGGACTGTTCATGGCCTTGCCGTGTTCCTAGTCTAGCCTGTGTGTTCTTGCCTCTTTAATACTTGTTTATAAGCGCACAAAGCAAAACAAATGTAATTTTCATTAGTCAAAATTTATGTGAAACAGCCTCAGCCTCCCGAGTAGCTGGGATTGACAGGCTTTGACACCGAGGTTAACCGACAGTCACAACAATGGGGTTACCTGCCGGTATTCTATTAATGTATTTTTTTACATTTCTTTAGAGATAGAGTCTCACTATGTTGCCCAGGCTGGTTTCAAACTGCTATTCTCAAGTGATCCTCCCACCTCAGTCTCCTGAGTAGCTGAGATTATAGGTGTGCGCCACTATTCCTGGCTTTATTAAGGTCTTTTTAAGTTTTCATAAGCTTAGTAATAAACTTAAAGTCTTAAACTTAAGTCTTAGTCTTAAATTTAGTGTTAAAGTCTTAAATATAAGTCTTAGTCTTAATCTTAAAGCTGAGTAATTATTAAACGGATAGTTTATGCCACGTTACTATTATGTGACAACAAACAGATTTTTCTTTGGGATATCAGCAACAGAGTACCACAGGGTCATCTCCTCTCAAGTGAATCTGTCTTCTTAAGATCAGTCTCATGAACAAGGGTATCTTGTTGTGGCCCTGCATCTCAGCTGCAGCCATGTTGACGTCTGTCTGGGCTAAATGAAAATGAGGATGTAAGTCGCTGCTTGGAAAGTGTGCAAACGTGTAAAGATTTCCTCTGTGAGCCACATATTTGAGAAGAGAGTTTGATATTCCTTAAGCTAGGAAAAGTGTTTTTTATTTGTCTAGTGTGTCATGTTCTCGTGGAAGAGGAAGCAATGTTAAAAAACTTGTTTTAAACATTTTTGTTATAAAATAAACACACATAAAAACATGAATCAGATATATGGCTTAATGAATTATAAAATGAACACTGTCCAGATCAAGAAATAAAACTGTGCCCTGCCCACCTAAGAACTCCTTCTCTGTGTTCCATCCCAGTGACAGTCCCTCTCTCCCATCAAGAAGGGACCACTTTAGTAATAACTTCCTGGTGTTTTCTCTTTATGGTTTTATCAGTGGAATGTGCACCTCTAGGGAGTACAGGTTAGTCTTGTCTATTTTTTTTTTTTAGCAGTAGATGTTTAGACATGACTTTCTTATAATGAGTAGAAGAGAAAGAACCTGAAGAAATTTTTAAAGCTATACTTAAGAAAACATAAATGAGAATTATACAGTAGAATAAATAAGAGAAATGACTTCTAAAAATGTATTTCAGTTGTATAAATGTTTACAGATTTGTAGCATTACTTAAGGGAAAGAATGCCTTTGGTGACCAAAGTAAAACATCCTATCCTTTGTTTCAGAAGAACCCACTGTTGGTGGTTCTATATTTAATAAATGTTGTGAGCTGACCAAGAACATATAGATCACTTATTTTTATTTTCATGTTTTCACGTTGGAGGAACCTTCAAAGTGGAAGTCTTCTTCATTTGCATTCTCTTACTTTTGCATTAACTACTCAATAAATAAAAGTTTGTGAAAAAGACAAATATCATATATTCTCACTCATATGTGGGAACTGAAAAAAAGTGATGGTTACCAGAGGTTGGGAAGGGTAGTAGGGGGTGGGAAATTAAGAAGGATTAATTAATGGGTACAAAAATGCAGTAAGAAGAAATAAGATCTATTGTTTGGTAGCACAATAGGGCAACTATAGTTAATACCTTATTGTATATTTCAAAATAACTGGAGGAGTGGATTTGGAATGTTCCCAACAGAAAGAATTTGTAAATGTTTGAGGTCGAGGATATCCCAAATACCCTAATTTGACCATTACACATTGTTTGCTTGTATAAGGATACAAAACTTGAGTTAGACAGCAGTTTAGAAGATCTATTATATAGCATGGTGACTCTAGTTAGTATTGTATTTCTGAAAATTGCTAAGATACATACCGTATTTCTGAACATTACTAATTTTTGTGGATTTTAAGTGTTCTCACCACAAAAAATTTGAAGTTTGTGAGGTCTTGCATATGTTAATTGCCTCAATTTGGCCATCCCGTAGTGTAGACATATTTCAGGGCATCATGTTGTACATGATAAGTATATACAATTTCTGTCAATTAAAAAATAAGAAAAAAAATCACATACCCCATAAACATGTACAATTATGCACTCATAAAAATTAAGTAAAAGTTTGTGGAACTGAAATGAAAAGGCTCGTTTATGATTCTCAGAACTTCATATATCTCATGTTTAATATTAGTGTTGCAAAAACGGTAATTTTGTTAAAGTGTTGTTCTGTTTGTGGTTGTAGTCTTTTGTCTTTTGCTGTTATCATCTTTACAGTACATTTCATGATGTACCAGTTCATGTTTTTTGGTGCCAGTGACATTAAGTAAATACTTAGCAAATGTTTACAGTAAGAATTTAGTTCCTTCCCTCAAGGAGCATCCAGCATGGAGAAAGACAGCTGAAGATGATGGGTAACTGCCAACCTGTGCCAAACGTGCAGCTCAGGTAATAAATGTGTCAGTCAGTGGCTTTGTTTAGGAATTAGGATGGGACCTTGCACTGCCTTGTTGTTTTGTTCATAGTACTCACATTTTGCTTCTCCCGGAGGATTTAGCTCTTCATTTTTTGCTTTCTTGTTTGATAAATTGGACGTGTGCAGAAGTTCAAAAGGTTGTCTTTGTGGGTAAGGTTTAAGTGTACAGTAGGAAATGCCTGGCAGTAAGTCACTGAGAGCCTATTTGAAATTAAGAGATTAAAAAGGTTCTTTTCTAGGTGTGGTGGCTCGCCTGTAATCCCAGCACTTTGGGAGGCCAAGGTCGGAGGATGAGTTGAGGCCAGGAGTTGAAAACCAGCCTGGCCAACATGGTGAAACCCCATCTCTACTAAAAATACAAAAAATTAGCTGGGTGTGATGGCGCATGCCTGTGGTCCCAGCTACGCCAGAGGCTGAGGTGGGAGAATTGCTTGAGCCCGGGAGGTGGAGGTTGCAGTGAACCAAGATGGGGCCAGTGCACTTCAGCCTGGGCAACAGAGCAAGACTCCGTCTCCAAAAATAGCCGGGGGTTCTTGATTTGCTTGTCTTGATGACAAAATAAGCATGAAAAAGAGGAAAGGGCCAGGAGACTCGGAGCAATTAAGTTGTCGTGCAAGGGGACTGGGCTAGAAATTGAGTGAGATTAACTCTTTAAAAGGTTACAGATTAGCGGAAGACTCTGAGAGTGATTGGGTGAGATAAAATAATGCGTGCAGTGCTACATGCTTTGTTGATTAAACACCGAGCATTTGTATCTCACCTCCACCAGTTTTGCCATATTTTTTGCCATACTATGTTTTATTGTATTAAATATTTAAAAATTGATTTTTAAACATAAGACATTTCACAAGGGAAGTTGCCATAAATAATAGATTATTAATAAATATTAAAAACAAGCTAGTATTATTAATTTTAGCTGATACTTAATACTAAATATTTAGTACCTAATACTAGCCTGATCTTCGTTAAAAACAATGAAGACACATTTTACTATCTTTGTGTGTCCCGTGCCATCATGTTGCAGACTTCAAATATACACAATAAAATCTGTTTTAAAAAATATATACCCAATTTGAATGGAAAAATAAAATCTACAGTGCATTAAATAAATAATGACAAGCATAGCACTGTTAGACTTAACAGCTTGCAAGCAGAGACCTTTCCCTTGGCACAAAAGGAGAGTTGAAAAGGACCTGAGCTCCTCCCTAGGCCAGGTGTTTGACCTTCTTGGGCCCTCATTGTCATCTGTTAAGTGGGCTGTGGATAGTGATGAGGGGGTTATTGTGAGTATGGGGGTTATTGTGAGAATGGGCAGGAGCTGGGAAGGGCCTGACCAGGGGCAGGTGCCTCCTGCTACCAGGCATGTGGTCCTTGTTACCCTTATCCAGGCTGTCATTCAGTTCCATATGTGAAATTACATCCCAGACTACCAGTGGCACCCACTCCACCCTGGCGAGACACGTTAGAAAAATCGCGGGTTACAAAGCTGGCAAAGACAAACCTGGCTGTTTTCATCTCCTTTATTGGCATTTTTCCTCAGCTGGAGTAGCCCTTTACTCCACATAAAGTCAGCAGAGGGGAAGAACAGCTGCACGAATGCCTCAGCTCTTGCTGTGCACTGCCTGACACGCGTTGATGCTGTGCTTTGTGGAGCCTGTTTACGTTTGGTAGAAATGGCACCATCTAGTACTTAAAAAGGATCATCACCACAATAACTGTTTGGGCTGGTGGCGAGAGGTGTGCCAGGGAGTGGGCAGCCTAGGGTTGGTGTGGCAGCCCTGGGCTCTCTTGCCTCTGCTGGGTGGGTGGGTGGTGGTGATGTCACTCGTTTGTGAGGTCTAACAGGTTAAATGAGTTAATGGGTATGCCTGGCTCATAGAGCATCTGGAAATATTGTTATTGAGGGTGGTGCTTGTTATTTTATGCTCCACCTATGAGTGCCTGAGTAGAAAATAATCTTTTGTAACACTTTCTTTTGACGTGATTAAGACTCACAGAAGTTGCAGTAATAGTACAGAGGATTCCCGTGTCTCCGATAATTTGTCTTTTACCTTGTTTTAGTACCTAAATAATGTGATAATTCCTTCATGTGGTTTTTTTTTTTTTCATTTTAGTGTTTTCTTCACTCATGGTGAAGAATGGGGGAGATAGAAGGAACATACAGAGTCCTGCAGACTGCAGGGATGCGCTTGGGTGCCCAGACCCCTGTGGGAGTTAGCACCCTTGAGCCTGGGCAGACTCTCTTGCCCAGAATGCAAGAGAAGCACCTGCACCTCAGAGTAAAGCTGCTGGACAACACCATGGAAATATTTGACATTGAGGTAAGAAGCATGATTTTTGGAGGCATATTTCCTTATATCTTCTAACAGTCAAATTATGTACCAAATTCCATTTTGCTGGTTAGACTTTGCATATTAAGTTGATCAAGAGTAGCTTTGGTAACACATGAGAAAATCCTTAGAAACAGTAAATCTGAATTTCTCCTTTTATTTGGAAAGTGGTATTGTATCTTTTGTTTAAAATTGTAGTACAATTTGGTCTTTCTACTCATCTTCTTTCGTGAGAGGCTGGCTAAGAGACTGCTGGAAGGTGCAGACTGGAGCCAGATGGTACACCCAGACCTTCCCAGCTTAAGCCACCTGGTCTCAGCGAGGCCCAGGCCACCTGGATGCGGGGATGCCACTTAGCTTCCATGTGTGTCAGCTTCCTTTTCTGAAACAGAGGGACAATTATAATCCCTCTTTCTCAGAGCTGCTGGTGAGAGGATTGAGCAAACACACAGAGCCTGTCATGCAGGAGGTGTTGTATGGTGTTAACATATAACTTAATTTTCTAGGTCAATGATAATACAGTTTTTATTTTGAAAATTCCCTGATAGAAGATTGCACTGGTAATATTAGCAAGAACAATTAAATATACTAAGAATATATGCATATATCAATATTTAAGTAACACTATTTTTTAGATCCATGTGATGTATTAGAAAACATTTTTTTGTTTTTCTACATGTTATTAGCATGAAAGTTCTTTTTATTCATCTTTTACTTTTTTTTTTTTTTGAGAAAGGGTGTTGTTCTGTCAACCCAGGCTGGAGTGCAGTGGTGCGATCATGCCTCACTGCAGCCTGGACCTCATGGGCTCAAGCGATCCGCCCTCCTCAACCCCGGGAGTAGCTGGGATTACAAGCATGCACCACCACGCCTGGCTAATTTTTGTACTTTTAGTAGAAACAGGGTTTTGCCATGTTGCCCAGGCTGGCCTCAAACTCCTGGGCTCAAGGGATCCTCCTACCTCAGCCTCCCAAGTGCTAGGATTATAGGTGTAAGCCACCGTGCCCAGCCAAAAGTTCTTTTTAAAATTATTTATTTTCATATGTAATACACAAATACATTCTCTTTTTTCTAATTTTTTCTGGCTTTCAAGTAACATCTTTAGAAGCTTTTCTTGCTCTTAATGGCACAAAAGTAAGGACAAGAGAATGAATTTAAACTAGCAGGAGGTTTATTTACACTTGGGAATTTCTTTTGAGGAGTCAAGATGCCACACAGAAAACAAAACTATTATTGAGCTGTGGACCTTATTGCGGAATGCATTGCATGGGGTGGGAAGGAGGGAAGAGGGAACACAGAGGAGGGGAGCTTGGTGGGTGGGGCAGTGAAGCTCTGAGCAAGGTGGTCTCTGGGTTTGAGTGTTGTTTGAAGGCAAGTATGGAGGGTGTAAGAACTCAGGGAACCTGGGTGCTTTTCTGAAGTGCTTATCTGAGGAGGAAGTGAAAGATAATTTCATCAGGGCCATGGTAACTGAAACTGGTAGGACCTGTCTGTCCAACTTCCCACATCACTTCTGTTGCAGAGAAGGAGGTCTGAAGCTGGGCAACCTTTGAACCCTGAAGAGTAGCAGTCGGCTGCCCTTTCACCAGCTCTTGGGTGACTTTCCTGTAGGAAATAGGTTAAAGTCTGGACACTTAATTAGGCTCCCAAATCTTTTTCTTTTTTGAGGCGGAGTCTTGCCCTGTCACCCAGGCTGGAGTGCCACGGCATGATCTCGGCTCACTGCAAGCTCTGCCTCCCGGGTTCACACCATTCTCCTGCCTCAGCCTCCCGAGTAGCTGGGACTACAGGCGCCCGCCACCATGCCCAGCTTATTTCTTTTTTTGTGTTTTTGGTAGAGACGGAGTTTCACCATGTTAGCCAGTATGGTCTCGATCCCCTGACCTCGTGATCCGCCCGCTTCGGCCTCCCAAAGTGCTGGAATTACAGGTGTGAGCCACCGCGCCCAGCCCCAAATCTTTTCAATCAAGTGTTTGGAGGAATTTCCACCATGTAGTCATCCTCCAATAAACACATTTACCATTGTCTAGGCTTGTAATAGGTGCAAAATTTAAGAGAAAAAAAGTGAAAGAAAAATAATTGTACTAATAGGTTTACTTTTAGAGTGTCTTTTTTTTTTGTTCTGCCTACTGGACTTTATCAACTAAAACTAGGACCCAGAAGAAAAAAGCACACATTTGTTGTTGAGTCATAAATAAGATGTAAATTCTTCTCTAAGAAATTCACCTTTACTGAGTATGAGTCATTTTATACCTAAGAAAATAAGAGATGCCATTTTGTGAAGGTTTTACAATATTTAGAGCTTGTCAGTTTTAATAAATTGAGATTATGGTTTCAGTTAAATATAACCGTCATGTTTGGTATTTGAGATATCTGGCAGAGTTACCAGAAATTAAAGAACTTTTATCTGAAGCAAAAGAAAATGGTCTTGCATATTCTGAATATCCTGGGTTGGATGGGGTACTTTTTTTTTTTAAGAGACAGGATCTTGCTATGTTCCCCAGGCCAGCCTCTAACTCTTGGACTCAAGTGATCCTCCTGCCTCAGCCTCCCAAGTAGCTAGGACTACAGGTGTGAGCCACTGTGCCAGCTTGGGGTATTTTTTACATTGTGTTGCCTGCTGATACACACCTTTAGGGAGAGCTAAAATTCAATATATTGTAAGTTGGTTGTATTCTGCTTCCAAGTACCCTGTCCTCCACAACTGCATCAGTTAGCTTTGTTAAGTAACAAACCATCCCAAACATGGAGCTTAAATCACAGGTCTGTTTGTTGGTTTGGAGGCTCTACTAGGCTGACTTGGAGGGTTGGGCAACCTGGGATTGCCTTACCCACACATTTGGCACCCTGGTTGGAACCTCATGTGCAGAATCTCATTCTCCCTCCAGCCCACTTGGCCTCATTTTTGTGGTCACAGAAACGTTCTCAGTCCAGAAGTGGGCACTGCAGTGTCCTTTGGGCTCTTGGCTTGGAGTTTGTCCATTGTCACTTCTGCCACATTTTATTAATCAAAGCAAGCTACCAGGCTAGCTCTGATTCGAGGGGTGGAGAAGTAGAGGCACCTTGATGAGAGAGCGGCCAGGAATTGGTGAGCATTTTTTGTAATCTACCCTGACAAATATTGCCAGTGTACCAGGATACAGCCTCTGGAAGTGCAATTGTCTGTGCCACTCTAAGGTTTGGTGTCAGTGGGCTGGTGTGTAGGGCCTGCCCTGAGTGGGCAGAGTCCCCCTCCTGGGGAAGTCCACCCTGCATAGCCCCACAGAGGCAGGCTTGTCCCGCCCCCCTTCCTTGTTGTCTTTGGATCAAGGCTGGTTGCCTGACCCGAGCCCACCATCACTGTCTTGCTGTCGTTTGTCCACTTGTCTCATTCGTATTCTGTCTTTCTGCCTCTTGACTTTACATTGGAACCAAGAGACAGACTGTGGTCAGGTGGTTTTTGCTGTTGGACCTGTAGACTGAGGCAGACATTCGGCTACAGGGTGTCGGGTGCACTGAGCAGTGAGACCCCTGGCTGGGCAGGTCTGTCTTGGTGAAGACACCACATCCTAGTGCCTGCTTGCTGTCTCCCTGCTCCTGAAATGCAAGTTCTGGGAAGGAAAGGCTGTATTGTATCTACTTCTGTGCCTCTGGTGTTTGGAACAGGGCCTTGCTGAGTAAACGTGTTAAATGAATGAAATCGAAAGTTAGATTTGGTTAACAGACTTTAAGAATGTTTTGAATTTTTCCCTCTATAGCAGTGTTTTCTAACCTCAGGAATTCAATTTTGTTTTGTTTTGGGGTTTTCTGGCCATATGCACCTATCTTATTTGTCAGTTTACTAGATTATCATTTCACTTAAGTCTTAAACAGTAGTGTTCTTCCAGGGAGATGTGCTGATATTAAACTTGAAAAGCACTAGCTTCTTCTGTATTCTCATGGCCAGAAAACACTGACATTGTGTGGTGCTGTGCAGATTCCCCAAGTTGATATTGGAAGTTTACATTTCAGGAGCCTTTTTAACATAGGGGAAATTTTGATGTTTTGTTGGTTTCTTTTTTTTTTTTTTTTTTTGAGACAGAGTCTCGCTCTGTCGCCCAGGCCGGACTGCGGACTGCAGTGGCGCAATCTCGGCTCACTGCAAGCTCCGCTTCCTGGGTTCACGCCATTCTCCTGCCTCAGCCTCCCGAGTAGCTGGGACTATAGGCGCCCGCCACCGCGCCTGGCTAATTTTTTGTATTTTTAGTAGAGACGGGGTTTCACCTTGTTAGCCAGGATGGTCTCGATCTCCTGACCTCAGGTGATCCACCTGCCTTGGCCTCCCATAGTGCTGGGATTACAGGCGTGAGCCACTGCGCCTGGCCATCTGGTGTACTTTAACTCATCTCTAGATTACTTATAATACCTCATACAATGGAAACACTATGTGAATACTTGTTATACTGTATTGACTTTTTTTTTCTATTATCTCTCATTGTACTATTACTTTTTATCATTTTGGTGGGGTTGTTTTTATCCTTTTTGATCATCAGGTGGATTTATCAAATCTGTGGATGCCAAACCTGTGGATACAGAGGACTGACAGAATACCTAGGAGTAGAATTGCTGGGTCACATGGGAAATCTAGGTCTAATCATTAAAGGAACTGCCAGACTGTTTTCCAAAGTAGCTGTGCCATTTTGCATTCCTGCCAGCAATGTTATATGTTCCAATTTCTCCACATATTTGCCAACACTTATTTTTTTCTGACTTTTTTATTCTAGCCATCCTAGTAGGTGTGTAGTAGTATCTCATTGTGGTTTGAGATGATATTTTTATTTTTATTTTATTATTTTTTTTTTGAGGCAGAATTTCACTCTGTCGCTCAGGCTGGAGTGCAATGGCATGATTTCAGCTCACTGCAACCTCTGCCTCCTGGGCTCAAACAATTCTCCTGCCTCAGCCTACTGAGTAGTTGGGATTACAGGCGCCCACCACCATGCCCGGCTAATATTTTTTTTTTTTGTATTTTTAGTAGAGACGGGGTTTCATCATGTTGGCCAGGCTGGTTTTGAACTCCTGACCTTAAGTGATCCGCCTCCCCCCCTCGGCCTCCCAAAGTTTTGGGATTACAGGTGCCAGCCACCATGCCTGGCCTATTTTTTTTTTTTTGAGTCAGGATCTCACTCTGTCACCCAGACTGGAGTGCAGTGGCATAGTCAAAACTCACTGCAGCCTTGACCTCCCCGGGTTCAGGTGATCGTCCTGCCTCAGCCTCTTGAGTAGCTGGAACTACAGGCGTGTACCACCATGCTGGCTAATTTGTTAAATTTTTGTAGAGATGGGGTCTCCCCACATTACCCATTTGTCTCAAACTCTTGGTCTCTAGCAATCCTCCTGCCTCAGCCTCCCAAAGTGCTGGGATTATAGGTGTGAGCTACCACACCTAGCCAGAAGCCAACTCGTAAACTGATTTTTGATCAGGAGAGAAATCTGTATGATGTATTTAGGGTGGAGGCCTATTTGTGGATGTTGACTTCAATTATGTTTTATTTTAAGCCACTTTTGGCATTTATTAATGGGATATTTAGCTAATCAAAGGTCAGTGACTAGTTTTTTTATCTAGGAAAGTCTTGATTTGTTTTTAGTTGATTAAACAAATTCTGTGGTTTTGAACATAGAAATCTGGCCTCAGCTCTAAAGAATCTTGTTTTTGAGCCATAATTGTTTTAAAACCATCTGAAAGTTGTGTGTCAGCTTGCCTTGTCTTGTGTGCTAAGTCATCGGGTAGAAATACTTTCAGCTCCAAACCATGCCAGGTGTGAAAAGTGTCTAACTCCATTGCTGGATGCAGTGGAAGGAGAGTTGAGGTGCATAACTGAGACCCCGTTCTAGAAAGTCTTCCCAGATCTTTAGAGGGTAAGATGTCTAGAACAATTATACTCTCATTAATTCATAATTAACTCTTAGGTTTAGGAGTTAATGCGATTTAAAGGTTTTCTATTATCTGAAAGTTAGTATTATGGAGAAGAGATATGTAATGATTAAAAGAACAACCTGGGATGCAGTTTAAGGGTGTGAGGCCTTGCCCCTGGCAGCGAATGTCCTTTGCCTTTGCTGACAAGTGGGGATTGCATCTAATGAGCATGAGGGTTTTCTTCATTATTGTTCATCTACTTTCTCACGTTCCCCTTTTCTTTAACATACTCACAGTTGTTAGGGTGGACTTTCCTTTTCTTTCTTTTTTTCTTTAGAATTGCAGAGGCTTTAGGTTAAATAGTGACAAGTAGGAAGACAAATTCTCAGTCACGAAGTTCTGTGCTAGAAGACTTTAACTTGCTATTCCAGTAAAAACTTAATGTTTTCATTCTGGCAGGAAGAAATAGTCAAAATTCCAGAAAGTATTGTAGCCAGATGTTTGTCATTGCTCCCACACGAACATCCTAAATATAGCAAATAAACTGCCTTAGAACTTATTTTGGTCTGACCTCAGAAGAAAAAGTAACTCAGCTTCTGAAATTTGGGGATAATAGAGGTTTTATACAAAAGCTCTTATGTGTTTCTGGGATACCAAGCTATTATGTGACTCTGCCCTAGCTTTTAAAACCTGTTATTTTGTCTTGGAAAGTTGATCTATTCCTTTGACCCTGATGCTCAAGAATGTGGTAGGGTGGTGCACAGCAGAGATGTGGACATTTTTATTCTTAGTTTTCCAGTGGTGATGTTGGCACTCCCAGAGCCAGCTCCCCCACCAAGCCCTAACACACATACACAAGCAAGGTTGGTAAGTCACAGTCTGTGTTAGATTACACAGCAAGGGCGACTGATGAAGAAGTTAGGCCAGCAAATGGAAAAGAATAGGGAAATGTCATCCTATTGATCCCTGTACCAGTGAAGACGCCATGACAGTGGTTGTATAGCAGAGAATAACCAAGTTATTTCAGGATCGCAGCAGAGGGTTGTGGGAATGAAACTTGCTGACTGGGTCACCTGGACTCGCACACCATTTGTTGAGCACCTGAGAGTTCTAGCACCCAATGTTGATCACATATCAGGTGACACAGGCAGTGGCTGACCCATGTGAGCTGTGAGCGCCAACTCAGAAACCCCTTGATCTACTCGTGCCCATGTAACTCCCCCATTTTTGATCAGGAGAGAATTTGATTCTGTTGTTATTTGATTCGTGGGAGGCTAGAAAAGCTGAGCTTGTACAGGTTGAGTATCCCTTATCTAACATGCTTAGGATCAGAAGAGTTTCAGATTTTTTTCAGATTTTGGAATATTTGCATTATGCTTATTAGTCAAGCATCCCGAATCTGAAAATCCAAAACCTGAATTGTTCCATGAGCATTTCCTTTGAACATCATGTTGGCACTAAAATTTTTTGAATTTTGGAGCATTTCAGATTTCAGATTATTATATTATAATAATAATATATTATATTATATGGGATTATATTATATGGGATGCTCAACCCATACTATATTTTACTTGACTGCCTCTGAATTGCCACTACCCTTCAGTTCTTCTCATCCCTCCCCTGAAACTTCAAATGTCTACATTCTTGGCCCAACTCCCTGCAAAGAGGTCAGAATCAGGAGGAGGAGTGGGTGGGTAGTGCGTGTTGAACATGCCCTGCCTCCACTGAGCAGGTTCTTCTGGGCCTCCATGACCAGTGTGCCCATCCCCACTCTGTAGCTGGCTTCCACCTGGGGCAGGTTAGGACCAGGTTTTAAATCTCAGCCCTTACCCCCCTGATGGAATGTGGACATGAGTCTCTTCCAGGGCTGGAGATTACATTCTCTTTCCCAACATGGGCCCATCCTAGGGGATTGCCTCGTGCCGCTGGTGTTCTGCCAGTCTCTTTGTTCTCTGTGTCCGTTTCCCTCCTCTGGAAACCCCACTCTGCTGTGGGCCCTGTACCTGGCCTGTTGTGGGCTATAAGTAGTGCCGCTCCTGGCCTGTTCTGATTGCCACCGCCAGCCACTTTGTCCTGGGGTGCCACTCCCCTCTAGTGCCCAAAACCTTTTAGACTCAGCTGTACCCCGGCCTGCTGCTTGTTGTTGTATTGTGGAGAAATTCCTCAAGGTGCTCTAGGCAGGATTGAGGACCGCTGACTTTGAGAAGAGTTCACAGGCTCTGGAGCGTGGACTTCCCACCTGAGCTCCCCTCAGCCTGCCTCATCCATCAGGCACCTTTTGCTGATGCCATTTCTTTCTCACCCTCATTTCTCCCCTTCTGTTCATCCTTGAACACAACAGACCTCAGAGCCCTCTTCTCCACAGCTGGAAGGTGCAGTGCTTTTCAGGGTTCTGCTGGCACTTCACTTCTGGGGGCATTTTTCAGTCATATCGGCCTCACGTAAGGAAGCTAATTCTACATTATTGTTCCTTTTTAGGTATAGAAAGTAGTCATGAATCTCCAGAGAGCTGATGGTAGAATTACAGTGATCTCTGTTCTTTGAGAGAGTGCATTCTACTTTTTTACCTTACCAAGTGTTACATGTATATTTTTCAAGTTATATGATTATTTCACAGATTATGTGTTCACAGTGGTTTAACACTTGCACTGCAGCATCTCAGCTTTCTGGGGATGAAGCTGCCCCTGGTGAAGCCCCCCAAGTCCTTTCCTGCATGTCGAGCAAAGGCCCATTGGGTTACATGCTGCAGCTAGAAGACCAATCAACGCCATCTCTCAAGGTTCCTCATGCTTCTTTTTTTAGAGGGAATTCATCCAAAATGTAATTCGGTTTTCATTATACCATTAATACTTGTACGCTGCAGAAAAACAGGAACTCACAGTGGCCCACAGCCAAAGATAACTACCCAGAGAGAACAACCATTCACATTTTTCTGAATACCCTTCTGGCCTTTTATATGTTCACCTATATTAAACAAAATTGGGACTGAACTATGTGCATTTTTGTAGTCTTTTCAAAAATTAAACATTATATTCTGAACTTTTTTTATATGGTCTTTTAAAAGTTTTTAATGGCTATATAGTGTTCTATTTTCAGTTTCTCTGTACAAAATCTATTTTTTTTTTTTTTTTTTTTGAGGCAGGGTCTCATTCTGTTGCCCAGGCTGGAGTGCGGTGGTGCAATCCAACCTCCGCCTCCTGGGCTCAAGCGATCCTCACACCTCAGCCTCCCAAGTAGCTGGGACTACAGATGTGTGCCACCATGCCCGGCTAATTTTGCATTTTTTGGAGAGATGGGGTTTCCCCATGTTGCCTAGGCTAGTCTTGAACTCCTGGGCTCAAGCCGTATACCAGCCTTAGCCTCCCAAAGTGCTAGGATTACAGGTGTGAGCCACCACACCCAGTCTATACAAAATCTTTATACACATTTTTTATTATCTCCTTGGGGTAAACGTATAGAAGTGGAGGTTCTTCATCAAAGTGTATGTACAGTTTTGAGGTCTTTGATACATGTTGTGAAATTGTATTCCAGAAACAGCAGAAGCACCTCATGCCCCTACCAGTGGTATATGCAGGTGTTCATTTCTCTCACCTTTATGGACATTTCATATTACAATTTTTAGTAACATCTCCTGTTTAATAGGCAAAAGTTAGGATTTTTATTCACATTTTCATCAGACTTGTCTGTTTTATTTTTTGTTTTGTGCAGTTTTTGGTGTTTTTGGTCTACATCATATTTGAAGTTTAAAAATAACTTAAGAGTTGGGAAGATACTGAATACATTGTGTTGGAAGTAAAATAAAAAAGGAAATAAGAATCGAGGAGTGCTGGAGACTTCGCAGAAAGTGATTACTTATGGTGAAGGAAAGGATAGAAAAATTACGGAAAGCCACACAGATGGGATGTGGGTTTGGGCTGTGCTCACCCCAACAGCCTTAGGCCAGCACGTGTTTGGCAGGTATTTGCTGAGCCTCGGTGTGCACCACCCTCTGCCGTCGGAGCTGGGAGTGCCAAAGTGAACGTAGCAGACAGGAGCTCTGCCTCCTTGCGCTTGTTCGGCAGTGGGGAGCTCAACAGTGGACAAGGTATACTGCGAAGTGCTTAGTGCCCAGGAGAGAAATAAAGCACGGAGGGAGCAGGAGACATGGAGCTGCGCTCAGATGGAGATCCACATCCCACACTCCCACAGCCCTGTTCCTGTGGTGGGAGGGGCCGGCACAGATCTCTGTTCTTGAGAACAGTGTTCAGGTGGATGGAACAGCACATGCAGGTGCCATTAGGTGACCCCCATCTGGCACGTTTGGGGATTAGCAAGAGACCATGTGGTGGGAGTGGAGCAGAGAGGCATCTAGGAGGGCTTCTGCTCACATGGAGGGAAATGGAACTCCACCCAGGACGTGATGACTTGGTCCAGAACCAGGTCAGGACAAGAGGGGAGCCTTTGGGTGACATTTGCGGTGACCCAGGATGTGGCTTGGGCAGAAGGGAGCAAGGGAGGTAGTGAGAACCAGTTGCATCCTGGAGAGATTTTGAAGGTGGAGCCTGCAGAATTTGCTGGTGCTGATGTGGAGGATCAGAAACCCAGGAGCCAACATGGTGCAAGGACTGGGCCTGAGCTCCCATGTCCTGCACTAGGGAGCCCATGGGAAGAGCTGCTTTGGTTTGGGGCCATGTGGAGTCGAAGAGGCTCATTAGGCATCTGAGGAGAGGGTTCTCAGGCACTGGGCTTGGTGGGAAGAAGCGTTGTTGCTATGTCCTGAAGGAATGTGAGCTCTTTTCAGTGCACCAGATGCAAGGCGGCCATTGCTGTGACCTTCCAGAAGGTGCTAACATTGCCCTTCTGTGAAGCCACCACTGTTATCCCGCTGGGTCATGGTGAATGCCAAGTGTCAGAGATATTCTGACACTTGGCATTCACCATGACCTAGTGGAAGCCTTTGGGTGACATTGCAGTCACCCAAAGACAGCTTTTCTAAACTGTCATCAGTCTTCGACTTCTGAACTTTTATTCTTAGAGAAATTTAGACTGGTCATTAAAGAGAAACATGAAAAGTATCTGTTGGCACTTCCAACTGTTGTTATTGGAATGCTCTGGAATGTTCTATGCACATGAATGATGCTTTACATGTACAGTTTTGCACTTTATATAGCAGCAGCTTTTTGCCACAGTGGTAGAGGGGATCCCAGTCCTACTTAAAGGCTTTTTCTGGTTTCTAGGAAAGTCAGAAAGATATTCTTTCCTCCTTGATCCACAATCTTAAACACTTGCCTGGAACTAATAAACTTCTGAAAAGCTAGTGATGAGAATCCGTTGCATCCTGGAGATGCAACTGATAAGTTCATGGATCAATCTAAAATATATTTCTTTGAAATAAATCTAATATTCCTGATTATGAAAAATACATTCCTTCTTAATCTTCTGGTTTTAGATATTGATGATGTTTTCTCATAATTACACTTTTTAGATTTGTTTGGTCCTTGCTAATATGCATCCATATGCTTTTTGCATGTATTGATATTTGAAACTGGTAAAGTCAGATCTTTGTAGCAGAAGAAAAACCTCTTTTTTATTAAAGCAATTTTCAATTAAGACAACTCAAACATGGCTTAAAGGCTCTAGACATTACTATCCTAGGAAAAATGTTGGAACATACATGCTAAAAATACACAGTGAGCTCTTTTAAAGTAAACATCTTAAATCAAGGTTATTCAGCTTTATATTGTTTGCTTCTGGCTTTAATTTACATCAATTGTAAATTTCTTAAAAACATAGAAAATAATAGAAACATGTCCTAAATTTAATTATGAATATTAATTGTATTAAGAAATGAAATTGTAAATTGTACATAAGTCCTAACATCATATAAAATTAGACTTGTTAGCTTAACATAAGCAAAAACAACCATCTTGCGAGTCTTTCATCAGCTCTTAGTAAAACACAGGATTTCGTAATGAATCTTCAAATTTTACTTATTTAGAGGAATCAAATTTGGAGAAAACTGAGAACACTAGAGGAGGGCAAACTTGTTTTGGAAATGGTTGCTAGAAAGTAAGTTATAAAAACTAAAACTCTTTTATTGCTGTTAATTTTCCTCAGTAAAGAAATTGATGCTGCTTTTTAAATCATTCAAGTCAAGTAGTTTATAAAATAATAGTATTTTGTTGTATATTGTATGTTTTCTACCTTAGAAAATTTTTTAATATATTTCTTAAATTATAAAATTTATACATCCAACAAAAAATTCAGTCAATATAAATGAGTAGGATGGGCACAGTGGCTCATACCTATAATCCCGGCACTTTTGGAGGCCAAGGCAAGTGGATCATTTGAGCTCAGGAGCTCGAGACAATTCTGGGCAACATAGCGAAACTGTCTCTACTAAAAATACAAAAATTAGCCAGGCATGGTGGCTCACGCCTGTAGTCCCAGCTACTCAGGAGGCTAAGGTGGGAGGATCACCTGAGCCCTAGTGGTGGAAGTTGCAGTGAGCCGTGATTGCACCACTGCACTCCAGCCTGGGTGACAGAGCCAGACCTTGTCTCAAAAAAAAAGAGAAAAAAAAATTTTAATTACCTATTTGCCCACACCCAGAATTAACGTCTTCAACATTTACGTCATATCATCCATTTAACTCTTCTAGACATTTTTTGCACTTACTTATGCACTTTTATATACACACACCCCATCTATATCACTACTTCTGTCCTTTTGATTACATAAGTACTGAGAAGAATTAGCTTCCCATTGTGAATGTGCTTATATGTATTTCTCTCTTTACCTCCTGTAATTTTTATTTTATGAATGTCAACACTATGGTTATTTGTCCAAAGATATACATAACTGTTAGATCTTAATGGATACAAGGTTACTGAGCAAAGGGGCTGGCTGCCTGATGTGCATATGGCACCAGCTTGCTTTGATTTGATTTTTTTAGAGATGGGGTCTTGCTCTGTAACCCAGGCTTGAGTGCAGTAGCATGATCATAGCTCACTGCATCCTTGAACTCCAAGGCTCAAGTGATCTGCCCATCTCAGCCTTCCAAGTGCCCCACCACACCCAGCCAATTAAAAAATATATATTTTTTAATTTTAGAGATGGGGTCCCGCTGTTGTTGCTCAGGCTAGCTTGAGCCTGAGCTCAAGTGAACCTGGCCCCAAGTGATCCTCCGGCCTGATTCTCTTGAGTAGCTGGGATTACAGGCGCGAGTCATTGCTCCCCGCTCAGCAGTGGATTTTGAGAAAAGAAAAGCTTTATTGCCAGTCAACCAACAAGGAGACAGGAGGCCGGCTCAGATCTGTCTCCCCATTCTGTCCTTAAGACAGTATATTTAAGGGAGAGATTTTGGGGGAAGCGTTTAAAGATTGGTTAGCGATTGTCAAAGGGAAAGGGGAGGTTTGGAAAGCCCCCTGGGCATGTGCAGCTGTCTCTTCACGCGTCTTCGTGCATTGCATGTGCAGATTCAGGGGGAGTATGGAACGTGGTAGAGATTCCAGCTGTGCTGTTAGCAAGCTCCTTCTGTGCAGGCTCCAGCTGGCCACCTTGGTTCCCACCAATTTCACCCAGATTTGTTATCTTACAAACAGAGGGAGTTTCAGCAAGCTGCTGTTTTTCTTATCTGCCATCCTGTAAGTTCAAGCTTTTCTGTTAGTCACTGGTTTCTTTAACTGTTTGGGATATGGTTTCAATAACACTTTTTCCTCTAATAAGTGTCCTTTTATTGTCTCACTTGTACCTTTTTGGCCTAAATTCAACCTTATATTCAACCATGTAACCAAGGTCCCCTTGCTTTTTTGTTTGTTTGGAATATACTTGGGATACCCATGTCCTTCTTTTATTTTCAGCCTTTCTGAATCATTTAATGTGTTTGAAATATGTTTCTTATATACAGCCTAATGGCTCATGTTGAGCGTTCGCCACATTCTAGTTGCTCTTCTAAAACCCCTTGTCTGCGTTGTTTTATTCGGTCCTCTCTGTTAGAACTAGTCTTCTCTTTTATACTTGGGAAACGGAGGGACAGAGATGTTTTTGAAAGACGTACCCGATACTAGAGGCTCCAGCCAGAGCAGCTGGGAAGAAAGAAAAGGAGGGAGGAGAAAAGAAAGGAAGAGAGGGAGGCCGTCCACACTGGAAAGGAGGTAAAAACTGTTTACACATGACACTACGTTGTATATAGAAAAGTTTAACATACCTGTCTCTCTTTTAAAAAAAGCTATTAGAACTAATAAACGATTTCAGGAAGGTTGCAGGATACAAGATTAATATACCAAGATCAATTGCATTTCTATGCACTAGCAATGAACAATTCCAAAATAAAATTAAGAAAATTGTTTTATTGGCCAGACGCAGTGGCTCATGCCTGTAATCCCAGCACTTTGGGAGGCTGAGGTGGGCTGATCACGAGGTCAGGAGATCGAGACCATCCTGGCTAACACGGTGAAACCCCGTCTCTACTAAAAATACAAAAAATTAGCCAGGCGTGGTGGTGGGTGCCTGTAGTCCCAGGTACTCAGGAGGCTGAGGCAAGAGAATGGCGTGAACCCGGGAGGCGGAGCTTGCAGTGAGCCGAGCTCGCACCACTGCACTCCAGCCTGGGTGACAGTGTGAGACTGTCTCAAAAAAAAAAAAAAAAAAAGAAAATTGTTTTATTTACAGTAGCATTAAAAATAATAAAATACTTTGGATTCAATTTAACAAAAGAACCTTAAAACTTGTACACAGAAAATCATAAAAGTATTGAAAAAAATCAAAGATCATCTAAATAAGTTGAAAGACAATGTTCATGGATCAGAATACTTAATATTGTTAAGATGGCAATACTCTCAAACTGCTCTACAGATTCAATATGATTTCCATCAAAATCTCAGCTAGCTTTTTAGTAGAAATTGACAGCAGATCTTACAATGTATATAGAAATGCAAGGGATAGCCAAAAACCTAAAATAGCCAAAAACAATCTCAGAAAAGAAAAAAGTTGGAGGACTCACACTTTTCCATAGCAAAACTTATTGTAAAGCTTCAATAATCAAGGCAATGTGGTATGGCATAAGGATAGACTTATAGATCAATGAAATAGACTTGAGAATCCACAAATAAGCCCTTACATTTATGGTTAATTGATATTTTCAAAAAGAATGTCAAGACAATCAATGGGAGAACTAATAGTCTTCCACAGATGGTGCCTAGGCAAGTGAATATCCACATGCAAAGAATGAATTTGGACCCCTACTTCACATCATACTCAAAAACTAATTTAAAATGGATCATTAATGTAAATGTCAGAGTTGAGACTGTAAAACTCTTAGAAGAAAACCTAGGAGTAGATATGACACCAAATTCCAAAGTGATAAAAGAACAAATAAAGATGCTATCAAGAAAGTAAAAATAATGAGAGAAAATATTTGCAAAAGATATATCTGATAAGGAACTTACATCTAGAATATACTTTTTAAAATAACTCTTATAGCCTGGGCAACATAGCAAGATCCCGTCACTACAAAAAAAATTAGCCAGGTGTGGTGTCACTTGCCTAGAGTCCTAGTTACTTGGGAGGCAGAGGTGGGAGGATTGCTTAAGCCCAGGAGATCAAGGCTGCAGTGAGCCGTGATCATGCCACTGCACTCCAGCCTGGGTAACAGAGTGAGATCCTGTCCCAAAAAAATATCTCTAATGCTATGGACTAGGTGTTTGTGTTCTCCCAAAAGTTTTGTATTGAAGCCTTACCACCAATATGGTGGTATTTGGAGATAGGACCTTTGGGGTGATTAGGCCATGAGGGTGGAGCCCTCACGAGTGGGATTAGTGCCCTTATAAGAATAGACATGAGGCGGGGTGAGGTGGCTCATGCCTGTAATCCCAGCCCTTTGGGATGCCAAGGTGGGCGGATCACTTGAGGTCAAGAGTTAGAAACCAGCCTGGCCAACATGGTAAAGCCTCATCTCTACTAAAAGTACAAAAATCAGCTGGGCATTGTGGTGGGTGCCTATAATTCCAACTACTTGGGAGGCTGAGGCAGGAGAATTGCTTGAACCCGGGAGGCAGAGGCTGCAGTGAGCCAAGTGTGCCACTGCCCTCCAGCCTGGATGACAGAGCAAGACTTCGTCTCAAAAAAACAAACAATCAAACAAACAAAAACTCTTCGGACTTAAAAAGAAAAAAAGAAGAAGAGACATAAGGGAATTTTCTTCCTCTCTCTCTGTGCTACTCCACTTGTGAATAGAAGAAAATGGCCATCTGTTAACCAAGCCTTATACATCACCAGAAACTTTATCTACTGCCAGCTTGACTGCAGACTTCCAGCCTCCAGAACTATGAGAAATAAATGTTTGTTGTTGAAACTGCCCAGTCTATGGTGTATTTATTATAGCAGCCTGAACCAACTAAGACATCTTACAACTCTGTAAAACAACCCAATTTAAAATCTTACTCAAGGTTACGCAGGAACTCAAGAATTCTCACCCAGGTGATCCACTTTCTTTGAATAACAGTTGTCTTTCCTTCTCTTTCTGGAGCTCTGATACTGTAGTTTTGTGCTCTTGTATTATAGAGGCAGTTGCTTTATTAAATAGTTTTTAATATCTGTTTCTTTTTTATCTTGAATACCTTTTAATATTTGCAGCGCTTATTCTATTTTGATCACCCATCTTTGAAGCAGATAAGTTATTCACAGGTTGGCTATTTTAAGGAGGTTCTCTTGGGGATTGGCTGGTCATAGACTCATTGAAATGTAAAGTTCATGCCATGACTCGAGCTTGGTATGTGGGTTTGGATGTGACTTGCTTGAGATTTCTTCTTTGGTCTATCACCTCTGCTCTTCTAAGCCAAACTGGGCCCACACTTGGACCCTGCTACCCAGGTCTCTTCCCATCCTTGCTCTTACAAGCAAGGGACTGAAGTTTTGCACCTCACTGTGCCCTTCACCTTTGATAAGTGTTCTTAGGGCTTCTGCTGAAGTTGGCCCCGTGGCATAGTGCTTGTGCCCCCACTACAGATGCCCAACCCCTTGCTCTGTCCCTATTGCTAGTGGTGCTTCTCCCCACAGTTTTGTGATGCAGGATTTGAGAGTTCCTACTTTTGCTGAAAATAGAGTTTCTTATTTACCTTTTTGATTTTGAACGAGTCCAGCAAATGACTAAGGAGATGACAGCTGGCACTGCCGTCTTCAGGACAGGAGTCACGAGGCATCTTCTGGATTATCATACCCCAGTGTCTGCTACAGCCCCTCTCCTAGGTTCCTCGTAGACACATTTGTGATTCCTAAATTTGGATTTTCTTTCATCATTTTTATCTCTAGAAGAATGCATCTGTTTATTTTTCCACACCACTGATTCCAATTCAAGTCTTGTCCATCTGTTGTTTGGGCCTCCTGTTGAGGTTCGGTTTCTGGAGTCATCTTTGTAATATCCCCTTTTCATTATTTAGTTGGATTCTTTTTCCAGTCTCCTCTCATTTTATGAATACCTTTACCTCTAACACTGACCTTTTTGGGGATCTTATTTTTTTCTTTAATTTTAATTTTTTCCCATTTTTATTAATTTTTATACAAAGGCAATAGTTGTACATAGGATCTTATTTTTTTAGATTATGTTTTCTTTGGTATACCAGGTTTACTCATTCTTCGGTGACTAATTTCTCTGCTTTTCAGGTAGGTCTCTGTAGTTCAAGAGTTTGGTTTAAATGTCTAACCATTCTTAGTGTCTGTGTATTTTTGCAAATGAGGTTCAGGTTGATCAATAATGGTCTTATTGGCCTTTTTTAAAGGCTGCTATTTGATTTCCCAGGCAGGCTTCCCTTCTGAAAATGACAGCCACCTGGCCACAGGGCTGTGGGAGTGAGCTGCGTCCTGACCATAGTGAGTGGGTGGGGACGCTGACAGACACGTTTCCTTTTTGTGAGTTTTCACAAGTACGCACAAGTAAGGACAGGCAAGCTGCTGGAACTCTTTTGGTTGATGAAGAAGAAAGAAAGGAATTGCTTAAGAGCTTGCTTTGAGAGATCTTACTGCTGAACTAAGCTACTCTTCTGTTTTGCTTTTTCTCAGATGCTAAGTAAAAGACAGTAAAGAAGAAAATAATTATATGTTTTGTGCCCAACTCCTAAAACAAGCCAGTTAGTAGCAGGTTGCTTCTTTGGCTTCTGGTGTTTGGCATACACTGTCTGCAAATGTGCTGGGAAGATGGGGTTGTAGTGAAGCGGGGCCTCCTTCACCTTGGGGTGTGTCCTTCTTGATGTGCCCTTGCCCAGGTGGAAGACTTTAATAGACATAAAGCAGTAATGGGCGAGTGTTCTACATCACCTGCTTTTGTGCTCAGATGGCAATCCCCTCCACATTTCCACTGGTGTCTCTGTGAGGAAGCTCATCGCAGGTTTTGTATTCTCGGGCCCACCTTCCCCCACTTCTGAGAGCACTAGAAGGCACAATTTTCTCTCCTGATGAATTTGGGAATTCAAGTAGGCAGCTAGCAGAATAGACGCCAAGTGAACCTCCATTTAATGACTCTTCTTCCAGTTTTCAACCTCATCTGGTCGTGCAGAGCTTCTGCTACCACTACATTGCAGTAGTTAGGAGGACCACTGTGGATTTGGCTTTTTTTCTCCCCACTCTTGGGGAAGAACCCTTTTTCCCAAGCTCAAGATGTTAAAGCTGTACAGTCGTTTTCCAGAGAATACCATTGAATCGTTCAAGGGCCAGTCAGGAGACAGAAACTGTACCAGTAATTTGAACAGGGAAATTTAATAGAAATAATGATTAACCAGCAACAGAGGATTAACTACTAAGACGGGAGGGAGATGCTAAAGAATATAGGACCAGGAGATATGGTGAGCAGCTGCCACACCAGGGCTGAGGGAAGGAATATCCAAAGAAGCAGCAAAGTTGAAAGAGGCCTTCTCTCGCAAGGCTGAGGTGCAGACCCATTGGCATTGGATGGTGAAGTTCACTAAGGTGCCATAGGAACCGGCTGGCAGGGAGGAAACTGCCCACCAGTGGGACCGGAATGCCAGTGAAACTCATAGGATGGTGTGAGCCGCTGGCTCTCCTGCACACAGCTAGCAAGAAAGCCAAAAGCCCAGAAATGGGGAGAGAAGGCCCTTCTTGTTGTATCTCCCCAGAGCCCTCTACTGGCAAAGCCAGCTTGTGTAAAAGGAATGTCTACAGGGTGCTACTCCAGTGTCACAAAGCAGGGTAAAGAAGGGTGGGTTTGGAATGGAAAGGCAATAAATAAGTAATTGAGTCACCAGTATTAACAGGTTCAAATTGGGGGATTTCATGTTGTACTGTTTCCTTGAGTAGTTTAAGAGAAACGATTGTAGAAGAGCTAGGGTATGAATGAATCCATTGATACATAAGCTCAGTTTTTGCCCACATCTCATGGTAGAGATGATTTATCTGCCAGTTGGTCTCTTCAGTCTAGAAAGATGAAGTGCCTGGGGATTCATTTGTCCCTCTATGATACAGAACCCTTCCCTTAGAAGCAGAAGTAGCAGTCTGGATGTGTTGGCTCATACTTCTAATTGCAGCACTTTGGGAGGCTGAGGCGGATGGATTACCTGAGGTTAGGAGTTTGAGGCCAGCCCAGCCAACATAGTGAAGCCCTATCTCTGCTAAAAATCCAAAACCTATTATCTGGGTGTGGTGATGTATGCCTGTAATCCCAACTACTTAGGAGGCTGAGGCAGGAGAATCACTTGAACCCGGGAGGCAGAAGTTGCAGTGAGCCGAGATGGCACCACTACACTCCAGCCTGGGCAATAGAGCGAGACTCCATCTCAAAAAAGAAAAAAAAAAAGCAGAAGTAGCAGTTAACATCTTTTTGCTGAGATTTAACGCTACTCCTGATGGTTCTTTTTTTTCTCTCTCTTTTTTGAGATGGAATCTCACTCCATTGCCCAGGCTGGAGTGCAGTGGTGGCATCTCAGCTCATTGCAACCTCTGCCTCCTGGGTTCAAGCAATTCTCCTGTCTCAGCCTTCTGAGTAGCTGGGACTACAGGCACCTGCCACCACACCCGGCTAATTTTTGTATTTTTAGTAGAGACAGGGTTTCACCTTGTTGGTAAGGCTGGTCTCAAACTCCTGAGCTCAGGTGATCCACCCGCCTCGGTCTCCCAAAGTGCTGGGATGAAAGACGTGAGCCACTGCACCCGGCCTCCTTATGGTTCTTAGTGCAATTTGGAGTAGAAGTTTGGTGTACAGTATTTTAGGAATATGTGAGAACCCAAGATTTGAAAATGTGCCAAAATGAGAGTGAAATGCCTATCAAAAATGTTGGTGACCTTTCAAAGAATGTAGCTACAGTTTCCTTTTGAGCGCTCAAGATTATTTTCATTGTACAGTATAATATTATAAAAGGAAATTTGGGATTGATCTAATTAGGCAATAAAAATCTTAAGTAATGAAACTTACAGTACAGATATGAATTATATAATAGGAGGGGCCATCTAGATAGATAGAGGAGTTATAATTTGGCAAATGAACTGTAAATGAGCACATGAAACAAGTTAAAGGACAAAAGCTGTTTCAAGAAGAATTTTCCCACAGAGCTTAAGACAAAGAATAAAGAAGTACTTTGTTAGCCAGGCCTTTGTCGCCCATTTTCATCTAGACACAACCTTTAATAGTTTTGTAAATGTAAGTTTTTAACAATATTGTTTATACCTAAGCCTGGAAAAGGACCTTAACACCATGACCAACTAGAAAACTGGAAACACTGAACAAAAAGTTTTGCTTTTTAACTTGTATTTTTTATACTATGTTCTTAATACTGTTTCTCCTCCAGCCTAGTATTGAAACAGTTCTGATTTGAGTCAATGTTGAGTTCAGCAGGAAGCACAGTGTGATGGCGGGGTTTTCTTCCATTCTGAGCATCTGGATGATGCCAGTGCTCTAACTGGCTGTGAGGCCCTTCCGACCTAGTGCAGGGAGAATCTTGTTTCATCTGATCATTTGGTACTTTGGGAACATGCAGTGATTATTGTAGTCCACCTGATAGTGAATTTCTGTATTTTTAGGACCAGAAGGTATGTTTTAAGTCGAGAAGATTTGAAAGGATAAAAGTGGACATGTGGGCCAGGTGCTTTGGCTCACGCCTGTAATCCCAGCACTTTGGGAGGCCGAGGCAGGCTGATCACGAGGTCAGGAGATTGAGACCATCCTGGCTAACACGGTGAAACCCCATCTCTACTAAAAATACAAAAAAATAGCTGGGCGTGATGGCGGGCACCTGTAGTCCCAGCTACTCAGGAGGCTGAGGCAGGAGAATGGCATGAATCCAGGAGGCGGAGCTTGTAGTGAGCCGAGATCGCGCCACTGCACTCCAGCCTGGGTGACAGTGCGAGACTCCATCTCAAAAAAAAAAAAAAAAAGACATGTGACTGATACAAGTGACACTGAAAATAGAACTGATTATGACACTTTATGACCTACTGTCCAGGTCGTAAGGCATCTATACAAATTATGGAGAGTGAACCTGTGGAAAATTACTTTGGCAAGAATTCTTGAAAAAAGTTTGGTTTCTTTAAAGTACATTATGGAAAATATTTTGATTTTTAAAATATGTTTTACATGTTGGCAGGAAAAAGAAATTATTGGATGCTGTGTTGAGTAACATGCACCCATCATGGAATCAAAGGGCTCTCCCTCTCATCTGTGGTCTTACTTTTTGTAGACCTTATTAAGAAGCTGTTTTGCACGCTTGAGGACCTGTCCCGAATGAACCCTACTCCCTACTCAGGAGGGGCATGAGCCCTCGCTGTGTGTGATGTTTTCTGGTGATGCTCACACTGTTCTGTGTGGGCAGACAGCGAGCAGCAGTATTGGACTTGGAGAGGCCGTGTGCCAGGCATGGTGCTCAGCGGCTTTCCTGTGCTACCTTATTACACTCCCATAAAACCCATTCAGGGTAAGAGTTGTGTTGTTCTTCAATTGAGGAAGCCGAGCCTAAGCATACCCACCAAGTGGAAACCAGGATTCCTACTCCAAAGCCTCTGCCCTTAGGACGGTGTGAGGAAACCTGTTCCTTGTGATCAACTCAGGAGCCACAAAGGGCCTGGAGAATATCTGCTCCTCTTCTACTTAGAGCAGAGGATGACTGACCCTTGGCTTAATGGCTGTTGGTACTGTTTTAGAGATGATTATACAATATACCAAAAAGTTCAAAGAGCTAAAAATATATCTCTATACCTTATTTTATATTTATCATTTTGACCATCAATTCTTCCTTACATTTAGCTATTCAAATTAAATCTGTTTTTTCTATTTTGGTCTTCTTTAGGTTTGAAAAATAACAGGTCAGCCTCTTCCCAGATTTCTTGACATCCTTGGAAACCATGCATTTATGCCATTGCAGAGAAGCTCAAGAATGGCCCAGATCCCTGTGGTCACCTGGCTGGTTTGCAGAGCCTTTCTTTGTGGCCTGCATTGTACCTCACACACTGCCTGCTACTTCTGGTCATGTTGAATTGCCCACCTTTTAATAACTTATGTCAGGTTGGACTTCAGTATTTATGGTCATAACAGAAATGTTTCTTCCAGTTATGAAGTGATTTGTTTTTTCATTAATAGACATCTGAGTGCCTACTATGTGGGGGGAAAAAAGGGCTCTCCTGACAGTTGTTTTTTTGTTGTTGTTGTTTGTTTGTTTGTTTGTTTTCCAATAATTTCAGTTGAAGTATCAGGAACTACCTGGGATTCTGTCCTCAGGGATAATTCTTTCTGTTGAAAGTCTCCAAGAGTGTGGTGATCTAATTATTGATCAAAGTTCATAATATGGTTTCTGCCCTCCTGAAACATATGGCCTACAAATTATCTATTTTTATGTTTAGTACTTTAAAAATGATATATTAAAAAATTAAACTAGAGTGATGATACAACTATCTGATCTTTGACAAACCTGAGAAAAACAAGCAATGGGGAAAGGATTCCCTGTTTAATAAATGGTGCTGGGAAAACTGGCTAGCCATATGTAGAAAGCTGAAACTGGATCCCTTCCTTACACCTTATACAAAAATTAATTCAAGATGGATTAAAGACTTAAACGTTAGACCTAAAACCATAAAAACCCTAGAAGAAAACCTAGGCATTACCATTCAGGACATAGGCATGGGCAAGGACTTCATTTCTAAAACACCAAAAGCAATAGCAACAAAAGCCAAAATTGACAAATGGGATCTAATTAAACTAAAGAGCTTCTGCACAGCAAAAGAAACTACCATCAGAGTGAACAGGCAACCTACAAAATGGGAGAAAATTTTCACAACCTACTCATCTGACAAAGGGCTAATATCCAGAATCTACAATGAACTCAAACAAATTTACAAGAAAAATCAAACAACCCCATCAAAAAGTGGGTGAAGGACATGAACAGACACTTCTCAAAAGAAGACATTTATGCAGCCAACAAACACATGAAAAAATGCTCATCATCACTGGCCATCAGAGAAATGCAAATCAAAACCACAATGAGATACCATCTCACACCAGTTAGAATGGCGATCATTAAAAAGTCAGGGAGCAACAGGTGCTGGAGAGGATGTGGAGAAATAGGAACGCTTTTACACTGTTGGTGGGACTGTAAACTAGTTCAACCATTGTGGAAGTCAGTGTGGCGATTCCTCAGGGATCTAGAACTAGAAATACCATTTGACCCAGCCATCCCATTACTGGGTATATACCCAAAGGACTATAAATCATGCTGCTATAAAGACACATGCACACGTGTGTTTCTTGCGGCACTATTCACAATGGCAAAGACTTGGAACCAACCCAAATGTCCAACAATGATAGACTGGATTAAGAAAATGTGGCACATATACAGCATGGAATACTATGCAGCCATAAAAAATGATGAGTTCATGTCCTTTGTAGGGACATGGGTGAAATTGGAAATCATCATTCTCAGTAAACTATCTCAAGGACAAAAAACCAAACACCGCATGTTCTCACTCATAGATGGGAATTGAACAGTGAGAACACGTGGACACAGGAAGGGGAACATCACACTCTGGGGACTGTTGTGCGGCGAGGGGAGGGAGGAGGGATAGCATTAGGAGATATACCTAGTGCTAAATGACGAGTTGATGGGTGCTGCACACCAGCATGGCACATGTATACATATGTAACTAACCTGCACATTGTGCACATGTACCCTAAAACTTAAAGTATAATAATAATAAAAATAAATAAATAAACTAGATTGATGTGTGTTTTGGTGTAGTCCCCTTAGAAAATTTGTTCTCATGAAGTATAAAGTTTTGTTCTCTGAATAACTTAACTTGCATACAGTGATCTATGTTAAGTGATCAAACTTCATAGTGTAGACACTGTACCAAACTTGTCTTTTTTTGGGTAATTTCTGTGATATGTATTCTGTTCTGCGTGACCATTTTAAAAGAGACCTTGGTAAGCTGAACTGTGTCCAGAAGAGATTGATCAGGTGAGGATTTAGGGAGGTAGAGGTTGGAGAGACATTTAGACGAAAGGCTAGGAATTATTTTCAAGCAGAACTGTCCAGCGGTAGAATCAGCTGCTTCATTGAGTTGTAGGTTCTTGGTGTATCAAGCAGAGGCGAAGTTCACAGCTCAGAGACTTTTGTAGAGAGGATTATTATAAAATGTGAAAGATCAATTTTCATGAACTCCAAAGGTTTTTTAAACCTTTTTTCCTTTTTTTTTTTTTTTTTTGAGACAGTCTCGCTCTGTCGCCCAGGCTGGAGTGCAGTGGCGTGATCTTGGCTCACTGCAACCTCCACCTCCCAGGTTCACACCATTCTCCTACCTCAGCCTCCCAAGTAGCTGGGACTACAGGCGCCTGCCACCATGCCCGGCTAATTTTTTTTGCATTTTTAGTAGAGATGGGGTTTCACCATGTTAGCCAGGATGGTCTCGATCTCCTGACCTCGTGATCCGCCCGCCTCGGCCTCCCAAAGTGCTGGGATTACAGGCGTGAGCCACCATGCCTGGCCCTTTTTTCCTTTTAATTACATTCTTATTGAAATATAACTTACATAAGAAAGTGCATGTGTCTTATGTGTGCAGCTTGATAATTTTTCATATGTATACACTTATGTATCCCCACCCAGAGAATGGAGTAGAACAGGCTCCCTGTGCCTGTCTCAGTTATGACCCCCAAAAGTAGCCAGTGTTTTGATCTTTAGCATTATAAATTAGTTTTGCCAGATCTTCAGGTTCATTTAAGTATGTATATATTTATCAGGTACATGAATACAATATGTACTATGTGAAAATTATCAGTGTTGTTGGTATAGCTGTGGTTTGCTTGTTTGTTCGTTGCTGGGTAGTATTCCATTGTAAAAACAAATCACTGTTTATCCATTCTGCTGTTTAATTGACATTTTGGTAGTTTCCAGTTTTGAGCTCCTATGAGTAAAGCTTCTGTGAACATTCTTTTTTTTTTTTTTTGAGACAGAGTCTTGCTTTGTCTCCCAGGCTGGAGTGCAGTGGTGCAATCTTGGCTCACTGCAACCTCTGCCTCCCAGGTTCAGGCAACTCTCCTGCCTCAGCCTCCCAAGTAGCTGGGATTACAGGCTGTGCCACCACGCCCGGCTAATTTTTGTATTTTTAATAGAGATGGGGTTTCACCATGTTGATCAGGCTGGTCTTGAACTCCTGACCTCAGGTGATCTGCCTGCCTCGGCTTCCCAAAGTGCTAGGATTACAGGCGTGAGCCACCGCATCCAACCAGACATTCTTGAATTTGTCTTTAGGTCTCTATAAACAGATATTTCTGTTGGGTTTATACCCCGGACTGGAATTGCTAGGTTATAGGGTATACTTCTGTATACCTTTAGTAGATACTGTCAGTTTTCCAAAGAGATAATACAAATTTACAGTGTTTGAGACTCCAGATGTTCTACTTTTCTTGCCAACATTAGGATTATCCATTTTTATATTCTCAGCTATTCTGGTGAGGGTCTAGTGGTATCTTATTGTGGTTTTAGTGTGCATTTCCTTGATGTAATATTGTCCAACTTTTCTTGTTGTTTATTGGACATTTGAATATCCTCTTTTGTGAAGTGCCTATTTAAGTCTTTCGGCCCATTTGTCATTAATTGGGTTGTCTGGTTTTTCCTTATGATTTGTAGATCTTTATATATGTTGACTACAAGACCTTTGTTGGGTTTGTTTGTTTGTTTTTGAGACGGAGTCTAGCTCTCTCGCACAGGCTGGAGTGCAGTGGCATGATCCCAGCTTACTGCAACCTCCACTCCCAGGTTCAAGCAATTCTCCTGTCTCAGCCTCCCAAGTAGCTGGAACTACAGGCACACGCCGCCACACCCGGCTAATTTTTGTGTTTTTAGTAGAGAGTAGTGAAAGTTTTGTATTTTTAGTCAGGCTGATCTCAAACTCCTGACCTCACATGATCCATCTGCCTCGGCCTCCCAAAGTGCTGGGATTACAGGCATGAGCCACCACACCCAGCCTCTTTGTTGGGTTTTTGTATTGCAACTATCTTCTATTTTGTGGCTTGCCTTTTTCCTATCTTAACAGTGTCTTTTGATATACAGAAGGTTGTAATATTCAGGTAGTCGATATCAGTCTTTTGGGGGTGGGGGAGCTAGTGTTTTTTGTGTCCTGTTTGAGAAATATTTGCCTACCCCAAGCTTTATTGTTGTGCCTTTCCGTGATTCATATTGAATTAATTTTGTGCATGGTGTGAGGTTGGAGTCAGTGCTTATTTTCACCTGTATGGATATGCAGTTTCCCTGGCACCATTCATGAAAAGATCATCCTCCCTGTACTGAAGGTTAAACACACATACATATGTTTGTTTGTGTGTATATATACAAATACCCATATAACTGTGAATTTTTGTGCCCGTATTTACAAACCCTGTCCTGGGTGTTGGACATTGCTGGTTAACAGGTGCCTTGTGAATGTGCTTGCACCTGCGTGGTTAGTGTCTATCGCCTTCATTAGTGTAGTCAGGCAGGGCTCCTGGAGCACACTCTGGCTGCACTACTCTAGGCAGTGCAGGGGCTCAGGTAGGACGGGGAACCCTGACCTCCCCATTGACTCACAGGGGCAGCCAGGTAGTTGAAAAAGGGTACAGCTAAGAGAATTTCATATTCTCTGTGCCACCTGAAGTGCACACTCAAGCTCCCACAACAGCCGTCAGAATCAGGAGCAGTGGTGGACAGTCCGGGAATCTGGCCGTGTGTGGTGCCTCTCCTGTGAGCCAGAGCTGGAGCTACTAGGATGGAGAAGGTGCAGTCCTTGCCCTTTAAACTTGCCATCTGGTAGGAGGAACACACCCAAACAAATAAACGGGTCACAGTCAGCAGCAATGCCAAAGGGCAGTTCTAGAGTCGAGTACCAACTGGTGTGTAATTAGGTAGAATTGACTGGATGAAGAGAGACCACAAATGAGCTGACTTTTTATCAGATTCTCAAAGCATTCACTGGAGACTGATAGAAGGGAAGTGAGAGAGAATTCTTCTCTAAGGGAATAGCCTGGGCATGTCATTATCCCTGCACTCAGGTGAAGCCAGGTAGTGTGAGGCTGTATCAGGGTGAGGGACTTGGTTGTATGTAGCCTCCCCACCCCAAGTACTGACTCAGGGAGAGTCATGAGGAGGACTGTCCTGGTGATCCTGGATGGAAGTGTGGACAGACAGTATGGCTTTGAAAGAACTTCATAGGGTTGTTTGGGCCCACAGTGAGTTAGTGCAGCATACTCCACGGTTCATAATTTCTGACTAGTTAACAGTCTCAGAAACCCTGGTCTGGCTGCATTCTCCCCATCCTGATGGACCACATGTGGAGCGCTGGCATGCCTCCTCCCAGATGCCCACAGGCATCAGAGTAAGTTCTTACTGGAGAAGGCCCTAAGAGATTATGTCAGAGCAAGTTCAACACAGATTTGCCCTTTTGTTCTTTAGAAATTGTATGTACAATGTCAGGTCACTTCGTAGCTCACCTTTCCATTTTAAAGAGGCGTTCCTTGTACTTTCATTCCGTATGCTGCTTTGTTACAATGGATTTGCAAGGTTTTATTTCTTACACAGTGAGAATCTGGTGACTAAACCTCAAGGGCCATAATGTCCTTTGGAACAATGAGATTTGCCTCCCCCAGTTTGCACATATTGTTTATTAATTGTGAAGATGATATATGCCTATTGGTTAAAAATTGAGATGTTATAGAAGTGAAGAAGTAAGAATGCTCTTGCCCCACCTCCACCTCTGCTTAGTTCTTTAATGATGGTTACTTTTAAAGATTTAGTGAACAGCTTTCCAAACTTATTTTTATTACATATAAATGTATCCATGGGGCATATGTGTTTTTAATAAAATGGAATCGTTTTATACATTGTATAGAAATGGAGGCCTTTTTTTCTTTTTCCTTTTAATTTTTATCTTTTGTAGAGACAGGGTCTCTGTTGTGCCGTCTGATCTTGAACTCCAGGCCTCAAGCAATCCTCCTCCCTCAGGTTGCTGAGTTCACAGGCGTGAGCTACCATGCCCAGAGTCCCTTTTATTTTTTTCTTAATTAAACTATGTGTTGTAGACTTTTTTCAATGATAACACAATAGAGAGTTCTGTGTTCTTTTTAAGGGTTGCATAGTTGTCCATTATGGATATGTCATTATTTATTTTACCAATTCTTTTTTTTTTTGAGACGGAGTTTCGCTCGTCGCCCAGGCTGGAGTGCAATGGCGCAATCTTGGCTCACGGCTTACTGCAACATCCGCCTCCCGGGTTCAAGCTATTCTCCCGCCTCAGCCTCCTGAGTATCTGGGATTACAGGCGTGCACCACCATACCCGGCCAATTTTTGTATTTTTAGTAGAGACAAGGTTTTGCCATGTTGGCTAGGCTGGTCTCGAACTCCTGAGCTCAGGTGATCCACCCACCTCAGCCTCCCAAAGTGCTAGGATTACAGGCATGAACCACCGTGCCCGGCCTATTTTACCAATTCTTTACTGAATTTGTCCTTAACATGTTTAGGTCTGTACAGTTGTATGAAAGTATCTGTAGGAAAAAGTTCTAGAAGTAGAATTACTGGGCAAAGGTAAATGCACACTTTAAATTTTCAAAGGTGTTTTCAAATTATCAGGTCATATGAACTTACATTCTTCCCAGCACTCTGTGAAAGTGGCTGTTTCTCACAGACACACCAATATTGGCATCATCATTCTAACCCTCTTTGATGGGTGAAAAATATCTTACTGTTTTATTATTAAAGAAATTTAGTATCTTTTTAAATGCATAGTAGCCATTTGTACATCTTCATCTAATAAGAGCAAAATAAAACATTGTAACTTTTTCCATTGTGATTCTAGATAACTTTGTTAAATGTGTTTCTGTTCAGATGTTTTTCACTTTTATTTAAGTCAAGTCTGTCCATCTTTCCTTTTTGCTATGCTTAGGAAGACTTTACCTTTCCCAAGATTATAGAGATTCTTCTCTGTTTGATTCTGGTCTTTAGGTCCACTGGAATTTATTTTTGTGAGTAATGTACAATAAAACTCTATTTCCATTTTTCTTCTTCTGTTTTTTGAAACAGGGTCTTACTCTGTCACCCAAGGTGGAATGCAGTGGCACAATCTCAACTCACTGCAACCTCTGCCTCCTGGGCTCAGGTGATCCTCCCACCTCAGCCTCCTGAGTTAGCTGGGACTACAGGTGCACGCCACTACACCCAGCTAATTTATATATATATATATATATATATATATATATATATATATATATATTTTTTTTTTTTTTTTTTTTTTTTTTTTTTTGTAGAGACAGTGTTTTGCCATGTTGCCCAGGCTTATCCTGAACTCCTGTACTCAAGAAATTCTCCTGCCTCAGCCCCACAAAGTGCTGGGATTACAGGCGTGATCCCACCATGCTCAGCCCATTCTTTTCCTTAATGGGAGAGTCCGTTGCCCCACCTCCTTTATGAACAGTTCTTCTCATTGATGTGAAATGCTACCAAATAATATTTTTTTTCTCTTTGTAATTTCCGATTGACCAAATAATTATTTACTGGGATCTTATATAAATAAAGACTCTTAAGACTTTAGCTTTTTAGTAAATATTAAAATTACTTTTTTTTTGAGACAAAGTCTCACTCTGTCACCCAGGCTGGAGTGCAGTGGCACGATCATGGCTCACTGCAGCCTCCTTCTTGCAAGTTCAAGCAATCCTCACACCTCAGCCACCTGAGTAGCTGGGAATACAGGTGGGCACCGCTGTGCTCGGCTAATTTTTTAATTTGGGTAGAGGTGAGGTGTCACTGTATTGCCTAGGTTGGTCTCAAACTCCTGGGCTCAAGCAATCCACCCACCTCAGCCTCAAATTGCTGGTATTATAGGCGTGAGCCACCGCACCTGGTGTAAATATCGAAATTATTTGATAAAATATTTACCAAAACTAGAAATGGTTTCTATAGCTTAAAGTTACAAAGAAATAGGACTGAAAACACACTAAATGTAAAATGGAAGGAATTTTTTAGCTTTATTTATTTTGTTGCCAGTTTCTGAGCACAAATGCTTCAGACTTTTTTTTTTATATATAGTTTATAAATCTTAGTTATACACTGGAAGACAAAGTGATTTTATGTGTGGGAAAGTAGTTTTATGCACAGTTTTCATAAACCCTTGCTGTTTAGTCTTTCAATCCTTGTTATTTTTCCCATCTCTCTCTGCACAGCCTAAATGCGATGGCCAGGTATTACTGACACAAGTGTGGAAGCGTTTAAACCTGGTAGAATGTGACTACTTCGGGATGGAGTTTCAAAATACTCAGTCCTACTGGGTAAGTGCTTATGACGTGCCCAGGCGTGGAGCCTTTGGGCCTGCTGTGATGACAGCCGCAAGATCTTTCATCATTGCCACATCATCAGCATTAAATGTTTTTGCTATTAAAATATATTCTTGTTAGCTGTAGAGAATATGTCTGCCTTTAATCCAAGCCTGAATTCACACTCTCCCTAAATGTGTTCTGTTTGTTAGCACATGTGCTGAGGAAACTCTCTTAAAAGGTATAAAAGCAACCTCTAATACATCCTGTATGAAAATCATTTCGAAAGTGGACTTGTAGCAAACTTAACCAGTTATGCCTCATTTTACTTAATAGATGCAACCTTAAAAAGTGTGGAGTTTTAATATTTATAGATAGAACTGTTTTAAAGAACCATACATCAACCCTTTAGTTCAAAAAGCATGTCAGCGTTATTAAGTTCTGTCCAGCCTTTCAGATACCCTTGGCAGTGCGACCAGATTTATCCAAGTCTCCTGTTCTGGTGACATGACGTACCTCTTTTTTGCAGAAGCCCGCTCATCAGTTTGTTCACAAATGCAGTAGTACCAAATATTTGTTTGGTGTTAACAAATTCCCACAAATAATTATTGGGACCCATTCTGCGCATAGCAGCAACTGAATAGAGGTATCCCAGTATCATATAGCAATTTTAACGTCTTCCCATGCTTCCCAAAGCAGGCATTGCTGTCCTTCTTGTACAGTTTGTTTTATCAGGATTCAACCTTTAAGAGGGGGGGTAGAGTCAAAATTTTCCTGACATAAAAATTTATCTTATTATAACCATTTTTGTTTTTATAGCATACTTGTTAAATAGAGACATTATTTAATAGATTGGATTTCTTCTGTTAACTCTTCTTTAGATTTGGCTTGAACCTATGAAACCCATCATTAGGCAAATACGAAGTAAGTCCTTGGTTTGACTCTTTAAAATCTGTTTGTTTAAGATGTGTTGTCCTGGAATGTTTAAAAGGCATGTTCAACTGTTCATTCTCACCACCGTGTATGGTTAGCAAGAAGTAATCACCAATAGCGGACAAACTTGGAAGTCATTTTGCTGTTTAGTTTTAGTAATTTTAACTCAGAAGATTCTAGGTGACTTGCTTCACATTCGGAAATAAGAGCATATGCTGTTTGATATCGTCTTAATTTTTGGCCAATATGCAAAAATAACTGCAGTTTCTCCCTTGATTATGAAAAGACATTGAGATTCTTCTTTTAAGTAGCTTTTAATAAAATAGTTGATACTGTTTTACAGTTATAAACATAATTGTAATTGTGAATATAATAATAACAATTATATTATTATTTTTGAGACAGGGTCTCGCTATTTGTTGCCCAGGCTGGAGTGTAGTGGTGTGAACACAGTTCTCTGCAGCCTCAACCTCCTGGGTTCAAGCTGTCTTCCCACCTCAGTCTCAAGATAATTATTTTCGTTCATCTACTTATTAAATTTTTTAAACTAAGGCATGTAGTAGCACTTCTCAGTTCTTCTGTAATTGTGTCAGATGAAGTCTATAGTTGTCTGAGTCACCCATAATTTTTTGTATTACTATTATAAATTGAAGAAAAACGTGTAGAAATAACTTCATTATATCAGAACAAGGATCTCTGAGGAAAGAAAAAATAACTATTTTATACCAATAAACTAAGATAATGTACCTTTACAGTAATCAGATTTCAAAAATAATGTGTTTTTATTACTATTAATAATACTGGCCCGGTGTGGGGCTCATGCCTGTAATCTTAGCAATTTGGGAGGCCCAAGCGGGCAGATCACCTGAGGTCAGGAGTTCGAGACCAGCCTCGCCAACATGGTGAAACCCTGTCTCTACTAAAAATACAAAAATTAGCTAGGCGTGATGGCGCATGCCTATAATCTCAGCTACTCAGGAGGCTGAGGCAGGAGAATCACTTGAGCCTGGAAGGCGGAGGTTGCAGTGAGCCAAGATGACACCACTGCACTCCAGCCTGGGCAACAGATTGAGACTGCATCTGAGAAAAAAAAAGTAGATGTAAACACATTAACTTTTTTTTAAAAAAAACTTTTTCATTTATCATTTTTTTCCCTAAAACATAAACTGGGGGCCGGGCACGGTGGCTCACGCCTGTAATCCCAGCACTTTGGGAGGCCAAGGTGGGCAGATCACAAGGTCAGGAGATCGAGACCATCCTGGCTAACATGGTGAAACTCCGCCTCTACTAAAAATATAAATTAGCCGGGTGTAGGGGCATGGTGGGGGGCGCCTGTAGTCCCAGCTACTCAGGAGGCTGGGGCAGGAGAATGGCATGAACCTGGAAGGCGGAGCTTGCAGTGAGCCGAGATCACGTCACTGCACTCCAGCCTGGGCGACAGAGAGAGACTCTGTCTCAAAAAAACCAAAACAAAACAAAAACATAAACTGGGGAAAAAATGTCTCTCTCTCTCTCTTTATATATATATATATGTATGTGTGGGTATATATATGTCTGTGTGTATATATATAGAGAGAGAGAGAGAGAGCACGCGCATGTTTTTGTGTGTGGAGGGGTGGGCAATCTCGTTCTGTCACCCAGCCTGGAGTGCAGTGGTGTGATCTCAGCTCAGTGCAGCCTCTGCCTCCTGGGCTCCACCAGTCCTCCCACCTTGGCCTCCCAAGTAGCTGGAACTTCAGGCATGCGCCACCATATCTGGCTAATTTGGGGTTTTTTTGGGGGGGAGAGGGGCGGGTAGAGATGGGATTTCACCATGTTGCGCAGGCTGGTCTGAAACTCCTGGGTTCAAGTGATCCACCAGCCTCCGCCTCCCAAAGTGCTGGGATTACAGATGTGAGCCACTGCACCCAGCCTATTTAAATTTTTTAATGTGCAATTTCCTACTTGTTTTTATTTATTTATTTATTTATTTTTTGAGACGGAGTCTCGCTCTGTCGCCCAGACTGGAGTGCAGTGGCACGATCGCGGCTCACTGCAATCCCCGCCTCCCGGGTTCACGCCATTGTCCTGCCTCAGCCTCTGGAGTAGCTGGGACTACAGTCACCCGCCACCACGCCCGGCTAATTTTTTTGTATTTTTAATAGAGACGGGGTTTCACTGTGTTGGCCAGGATGGTCTCGATCTCCTGACCTTGTGATCCGCCCCCCTCAGCCTCCCAAAGTGCTGGGATTACAGGCGTGAGCCACCGCGCCCAGCCCTACTTGTTTTTAAGGCTTCCTTGAGTAATCCCTGCTGAATGCAAAAGATTTTAAAATTCTATATATATATGTGATTGGTACTTGGGACTCATAAATTCATATACAGGAAATGCTTCTTTGTTTTTTCTTTTGTTCGGAGACAGGGTCTCACCCTGCTGCCCAGGCTGGAGTGCAGTGGTGCAGTTGTAGCACACTGCAACCTCAGACTGCTGGCCTCAAGCCATCCTTTCACCTCAGCCTCCCAAAGGGGTGGGATTACAGGCACACACCACCACACCTGGGCAGAAATTTCTTAATATCATATTATTTGAAAAGATTTGCTGTAACAGTCCACTTGGAAGCATGACCTCAGTTATACAGTAATATATGAAAAGAGAATAAATGCAAAGATCGGCCTTATTTGTGAAGTTTAAATTTTTTTGTTATAGGGCCAAAGAATGTGGTGCTTCGCCTAGCTGTAAAATTTTTTCCACCTGATCCTGGTCAGCTACAAGAAGAATATACAAGGTAAAGAGCTCACAGAGCTGAAGCTGTTGTCAGCAGGAATCTTGTATTCACCTGTTATCTCCCACAGCACCTGGCTCATTGAAAGAATGAATAAGCCTGATATACACAGAAAAGTGACCATGAGTGTAGAGTGGTTAACAGAAGCATGTTGGCAGTTGACCCTTGCACAAACACATGTGAATAAGACTTCAGTGTAAGGTTTACAGTACAAATTTGAAAATAAAAAATGGAATGGGATGTTAGGGTCATGTTGAACTTACATTTTCCAAATGAACATAGATTTATGCATGTTCATAAGGTTCTCAGGGATTTTGCTCATATATACTTATTTATCAATAAAATATACTTAATTGGTAGAAGTACCCAGTGTGTTAGTTCTTATGGATTTATGGAGCAGAAATACTTTGGGTCACTTCTTTTGTGCTACTATTTTGAATTAAAGATCAATTCTTTATAGGAATGATCTAAAGATGGCAGGGTGCAATGGCTCACGCCTGTAATCCCAGCATTTTGGGAGGCCAAGGCGGGCAGATCACGAGGTCAGGAGATCGAGACCATCCTGGCTAACACAGTTTTGAAACCCCGTCTCCACTAAAAATACAAAAAATAAGCCGGGCATGGTGGCGGGCACCTGTAGTCCCAGCTACTCAGGAGGCTGAGGCAGGAGAGTGGCATGAACCCGAGAGGCGGAGTTTGCAGTGAGTCAAGATCACATCACTGCACTCTAGCCTGGGTGACAGAGCGAGACTCCGTCTCAAAAAAAAAAAAGAAAAGAAAATTATCCAGGCGTGGTGGCAGGCATCTTTAATCCCAGCTAATTGGGAGGCTGAGGCAGGAGAATCTGTTGAATCCAGGAGGCAGAGGTTGCAGTGAGCCGAGATTGGCATTTCAGTCCAGCCTGGGCAACAAGAGCGAAACTCTGTCTCAAAAAAAAAAAAAAAGAAAATATTAACAATTGTTTCATCTGGACAGTAAGGTTATGGAAGGTTTTTCTTTGTATTTTTTGTATTTGTTCACATATCAATTATATTATGAAGAATAGAGGAATAACCTAAAAAGCAACTGAAAACCCAAAATTAGATATAAAAGAGAACTATGATGTTGTAGTGGTATCAATAACTTTTTTGCCTTCTGGCTAAAAGTGTACTCATAAATGAATCAGATGTCTTATGAACTCTCTTTTAAAGGTTTCTGCATATCATTTTAGCAACACAAAATCGTAGAATGTCAGCTGCAAGGAAATGGAGAGACCACATTAGTTCACCCTCTTATTTTTAAAGGTTTAGGAAACTCCAAAGATGGCAAAAAGTATTTTTATGAGTGACCATAGATCTTAATAGTGTATTAAATGCCTGACATTTACCAAAAAAAAAGTCTCTTTTGAGGGAATCACTTTTAAATAGAGATAGATAGATAGATAGATGATAGATAGATAGATAGATAGATAGATAGATAGATAGATACCTGAAAATGATGGATAACAAAGTGTCCCCTCATTCAGGATCCTGGGTCTCAAGTTCTAGGACTCATGCTGATAACTCAGTATTATAGTTACTCCCTTCTCCCCCATATTTATGTGGAGGATTCTTTTTTCTGTTTATAAAAATGTACATGTTTGTGGTAAAAGAATTTTTTTTCCAAATAAAGCTAAGGGCCAGGTGCAACGGCTCACACCTGTAATTCCAGCACTTCAGGACGCCAAGGTGGGGGGATCAGTTGAGCTCAGGAGTTCAAGACCAGCCTAGGCAACATGGGGAGACCTCATCTCTACAAAATATCAAAAAATTAGCCAGGCATGGTGGCATGCACCTGTAGTCCAGCTACTCTGGAGGCTGAGGCAGGAGTATCACTTGAGCCCAGGAGGTTGAGGCTGCAGTGAGCTGTGGTAGCGCCACTGCACTCCAGCCTGGGCAATAGAGTGAGAGCCTGTCTCAAAAAAAATAAGTAAACAAAGATAAGTAAAAAGTAAAAGTTCTCCATTTACTCAGCACCTTATTCTCCGCATAAGTACGTATCTTTCAGATGAAAGCATAGATGTGCAATAAACACATAGATATCAGAACTTTAAAGAAATTACAAATGTTATAAAACAATATCAAATGATACGTATTGAACTGTAGGTTGATTTTTCCCCCCACTTATTAAGCATGCTGTGGACATTTTTCCATATCGTATATAAAAATATACTAAATTAGGCTGTAACATAATTTCATCATTCTCATATTCATCCATATTTCCAATATTTCTCTGTTATAATGCTGCAGAGAAACATTGTTCACATACCTTTGTGAACTATGGGAATATTAGTCTAGGAAAGTTTGTAGAAATGGAATTGCTGTGTTAAAGGGTATGTACATCCTGAATTTTAAGAGAATGTGGTAAATTTTAATATTGTGCACTGGGGCATGAATTCCACTAGGGACAGGGGGTTGGTCTTGCTTACCTTTGCATTTCCAGCTCCCAGAACAGTACCTAGAACGTAATTCACGCTCAGTAATTATTTGCTGATGGAATAAATGAACATATAAATATTTTCAATTGCCTTCTCTCATTACATTCTCACTAATGGTATTCCAAAGTGCCTGTTTCTCAGATCCTAGCCAAGACCAGATATTATCAATCCGTTAAAAAATTTCACAGCCATGCTTTAAGCTGTGTTTTCATTGGATATTTCTCCTATTTCATCCAAAACTGTGAGTGCAGTTTTATGTGACTAACAGAAGTAATGTGAATTTGTGACCTTCCTCCTTGAAGGTATGGCTGCAGATGTGTAATTATATGTGGGTAGATGGTATGCCTGAAAAGGCTAATTTCTTTCTTTTTTTTTTTTTTCGAGACAGAGTTTCGCTCTTGTTGCCTAACATGGAGTGCAGTGGCATGATCTCAGCTCACTGCAACCTCTGCATCCGGGTTCAGGCGATTCTCCTGCCTCAGCCTCCCAAGTAGCTGGGATTACAGGTGTGCACACCACGCCCAGGTGGTTTTTGCACTTTTTTTAGAGACAGGGTTTCACAGTGTTGGTCAGGCTGGTCTCGAACTCCTGACCTCAGGTGATCCACCCGCCCCAGCCTCCCAAAGTGCTGGGATTACAGGCGGGAGCCATCGCCCCTGGCCAATTTCTTTTTTTTATTGTTCACATCAGAGTGCCTTAGTGTGTTCAGCACTTCCTTTGCGCTCTCCCATGTGTGTGACTCAGTCTGCTGAGTTGGTTTATCATCTGACCTTCACTTGGTGACTGTTTGTTTCATGAAAGGCCTTTTGTGACTTTGCTGTTTCGTGACCGCCTTGCGTTTTGCTCACTGTTGGGTCACTGCCACTTCCCAGGGCTCATTTGCTGTCTTGCTGTGGAGACATGTCTATGTTACATTCAGAGAACATTTGGAATTGATCTCTGTCTTATTTTGAACTCTCTTCTAGATACTTGTTTGCCTTGCAACTTAAGAGAGACCTGCTGGAAGAGCGTTTGACCTGTGCTGACACCACAGCGGCCCTTCTCACGTCCCATCTCCTGCAGTGTGAGTATCTCCCCGCCAGCGGGGAGCATTCACTGACCATGGCACAGATATACCCGCACTCAGAACTACAATTAGTTGCTGATGTATTTGCCTAGTTAGTGAGCCTGACCATAGAATGAGGTGTTTCAACTTCAGTGTTTTTTATAAGCTACAGATTAACTTCTGTAAAGTGGAACTCCTTGAGGCAAATAGTTTCCACGTAGCAAACACAGGCCAAGGCCAAAATCTGTAGCCACGTTCCTTCTTTTGGGTTGTCTCTCATTTATGCCTTTGTGCATTTTACCAGCAATGCATATTCAGTCTAAGAGTCAGAATATAAACCAAACTCTGAGCAAACCCTGGAAAGGGCCTCACTGGGATAAAAGTTACAGTCCTCTCAGATTAGTAAAGCATTAGCCATGAAGGAAAAAGAAGACATTTCTTCAGTATCTCACACAGATCAAGAGATGGTTCAGAACTGTGTCAAGAATTATAGTTACTTCAAAAATAAACCATGAGAAGTGTAAGAGGAGGTTCTGGCACCTTGCCGAGCCCCCAGCGATGGGAATAGAAAAACAGAAATACCCACATTGCTCCTGGACTAGAGGTGGGACCACAGCTAGCACAGAACTAATGTTTCTGAAATTTGAATCCAGGAAATATGACATAGAAAGTTCCAAAATTTTAGGAATTAATAAGTATATAGGTTATTTGCAGCTTCCTTGGTCCTTCCCCAGACATACCTTCTTCAAATAATAAATTTTATTATGGGTTTGCTATCCTCCACCAGGGGACGTGTTGATTAATAAAAGTTTTCAAAGTGACTTTGGTTCTTACTCATTTGGCTGAAAGACTTCTCAGGTAGACACATGGCAACGAATGCAATGTATGACTGAACCAGATCTTTTTGCTATAAAAAACATAATTGGGCAGTTGGTAAAATATGACTAGGGTCCACATCTGGGATGGAGCCTCAGATCGTGGCCCTGTTCCTGATCTGGGTAGTTTTACAAGGCTGCGGGTAAGAATATTGTATTAGTCCATTTCCACACTGCTGATAGAGATGTGGCGGCAGCGAGAGAGGCTTGTACAGGGAAATGGCCCCTTGTAAAATCATCAGATCTCATGAAAGTCTCACTATTACAAGAACAGCACGGAAAAGATCCGCCCCCATGAGTCAGTTACCTCCCACTGGGTCCCTCCCACAGTAAGTGGGACTTGTGGGAGTTATAATTCAAGATGAGATTTGGGTGGGAACACAGCCAAACCGTATCAAATGTCATAGTTTATAGGAAGTCCATACTGAAGTATGGCAAGTAACATGTTAGCAACTCACTCTCAAATGGCTCAAAGGAGAAAAAACTCTTGTACTGTGCTTGTAACTTCTCTGTGAATATGAGATTGTCTAAAAATAAAAGCATATTGCTTTAAATTATTGAACTTTATGTTATTAAGACATTGTGGCCTTAAAATACATGAAATTAGACAGAGACATTATTCATCAAGAAATTTGAGAAGGTCTGAAGGAAAAAAATCATTTAAAATACATTATCCTAAAATAAATAAAATACTTCAGCCTGATCATGATAATCTTGAGACAATTTAGGTTTAAGGTGTAGTTTAAAAATAATAGTAGTCCAGGTGCAGTAGCTCATGCCTATATTCCCAGCACATTTGGGAGGCCAAGGCAGGAGGATTGCTTAAGTCCAGGAGTTTGAGACCAGCCTGGGCAATGTGGCAAAACCTTATCTCTACAAAAAATACAAAAATTAGCTGGGCATGATGGTGCTTACCTATAGTCCCAGCTACTTAGGAGGCTGAGGCGGGCAGATTGCTTGAGTCCAGAAGGTTGAGGCTGCAGTGAGTAGTGATTGCACCATTGCACTCCAGCCTGGTCAACAGAACGAGACCTTGTGTCAAAATAATAATAAACACATTAAACTCATCAATGTTTGCCTCCCTGGAGTTACTAATCAGGCCTTTGTTCTTCAAGAAATCCTCTTCACTTCCCATTATATTTGCCTTTTAACAGCATAAAATATTTGGAAAAATTAAATAAAAAATCTTGCTTTTTTAGGGATATATTCTTTTGCTACAAATTTGGGATAATTTTTTTTTACTTTTAATGTATGCAATGACACATACAAATGCTTGTAGTTTATTTAAAAATTAGTTACTTACTTTTAACCTATCTCAGCGGAAATAGGAGATTACGATGAAACGCTGGACCGAGAGCACCTCAAAGTGAACGAGTATTTGCCTGGCCAGCAGCACTGCCTTGAGAAGATACTAGAATTCCATCAGAAGCACGTGTAAGTCATCACAATTGTCTGTCAACACATTGTCACCACAGTAATGACTAAAGAGTGTGTAACGAGAAAGGACTGTTGTCGTGACTTCTGCAAGATTCTAACATAAGGACCATTGCTCCTGGCCTCAGGATGTGCAGCTGCTGCCAGAGGCAGCTTGGCAGACACACAGACACACAGGTGCCCTGGCCTGAAGCACCTTCACACCTGCACGATGTGCTGCTTTAGAAGGTGCTGGAAGAAGCCAGGCACGGTGGCTCATGCCTGTTATCCCAGCACCCTGGGAGGCTGAGGCAGGTGGATTGCCTGAGGTCAGGAGTTTGAGACCAGCCTGGCCAACATAGTGAGACCCCATCTCTACTAAAAATACAAAAAATTAGCTGGGCTAATGGCAGGCACCTGTAGTCCCAGCTACTCAGGAGGTGAGGCAGGAGAATCGCTTGAACCCAGGAGGTGGAGGTTACAGTGAGACAAGATCGTGCCACTACACTCCAGCCTGGCACCAGAGTGAAACTCCGTCTCAAAAAAAAAAAAAAAGGTGCTGGAAAAGACATCAGGGTCTGGGGGAGGAGGATGCTACTGAGCAGGATGGGGTGGCTATTGGGGGGGTGTCAGCTGCTGCAGTGTCTCTGCAGTGTGGCAGAAAGAGTCCTCTACGGGGAAGACACTGTGCTGTGGTAGAGGAGGAGGGGACTGTGTGAGGCTAACAGTGTCTGCCTGTGTCAGGGCATTGGGAATCGCCTGGCACCCATGGCCTTCATCTCATCTTGTTTTGATTTCTCTAAGACTTGACACTGGTGGGTTTTTCTGGATGGAAGTGATAGAGACCTAGAGAAGGAGTGCTAGCTAAGGGGAAAAGGATTGAAGAACGGTATGGGAAAGGGCTCTGGGCTCTGGCCCAGGTGGCTGGGAGCTTTAGTCACCAAAGGGGAGCACTCAGCTGGTGAAAGTGAGTCAGGAGGACTTAGCCTTGCCTTTGTGACACATCCTGTTGAGATGCAGGTTTGTTTGTCAGATCATGTATGTTCATGTGTGTCGTTAAGGCTCTACCGGGACCTGCTGGCAGCTGCCCTTTCACACCTTCAAAGTATGAGTGCCAGCTATGCATCCACCACTGCTGTCAGCACTGGGGAGCTGGTTTGAACGGCACAGACTGAGGTGCCTACCCATACAGATCTTACCTTACCCCGTAAGATTGTGTGGATTTCGTGCACCTCACCACTCCCAGTGTGGGGGATCTCTTGTGTTTGCAGGGGAGTGCCTTTTGTGTGCCCGACAGCATGGCAGTCATGAGATATACAGATGCGTTTCTACAGATGAGAATGTGTGCAGTGTAGCGGGAGCATAGCTCATACGCTGTGAGCTGAAAGAAGGCCGAGGGCAGGCTCAAGGAGGCTCGTGGGAGGACCTAGGCGGACAAAGCCAGGGAGGAAGCATTCCAGGCAAAGCACCAGCCTGGGAAGGGAGGGAGAAGGAAGCAGAGAGGAGAGGGAGGTTCCAGCATGGCTTGGGCAGTTTGGGTTCAAGGGCTGGAGGTAGAAGTGCCAACTGATACTGGAGAGGCTGTAGTGGCAATTACGGACAGCTCTTACGAGCATTTTTGTGTAATCCTCAAACCCACATCATGGCATGCACTGTTTTACTCCATTGTACATACGGTCAGACCATGCGTGCAGAGCTCCATCTCGGACATGACGGTGTGGGGCATCTTGTGTGTGTAAGTCGGTGCTTCTCATCCATTTGCCTGACCTGACCTTGAGGAGGCCTCCATGCAGGGCAGTACAGGTAGAGCTCCTGCTCTATTCTCCCAGGTACCCTTGGCTTTGCCTCTTTCAAGTGTTGCCATTATTCTAGCTGGTAGTGAGGAAGGTACAGCTGTTCTGAGTGTCACATCCAGACCTTGACCCATGGAGCCAAGGGCCCTCTGCTAGTGTTGTGTGCCATCCCAGCAGGAAACGGTCACTGGTTCAGTCTGCATTCCTAGGGTTGGGGATAGTCTCTCCCTGCTGAGACACACAGCAGGGGCTGGACATGAGGAAGGGAGAATTGGGCATTGTGCTGCGAACTGTCCAACCTGAAGGACAGTCCCTAGTGGATGGGTGGGTTTGGGATGCTGGGGAGAGTGTTGTCAGCACGTAGGCTGGGCTAACCTGTGCAGTGGGTGAAATCAGCTAGGCAGAGGGCAGATACAGGTCAGGAAGGGAGAAGAGCCCAGGATGAACCCCTGAAGAACTGACATTTGAGAGGCTGAGTGCAGGAGGAGGCACCCACAAGAGCCTTTAGCAGCCAGAAGCATGGAAGGGCACAGGTGCCAAGAGAGCATGTTTTAGGATAGTGGCCACAGCCTCTTGTGTGGAGACTACAGGCCTGGGGAGGTAGGCACAGGAGCAGGTTTCTGAGCTTGGCAGTGTGGCAGTGTATCGCCTTCAGCAGCTTCAGTGAGTGGTGAGGGTGAATTCTAGATTCAAGTACACTGAAAGTGCAGTGAGGAGGCAGTGACAACATCTTTGGGCACTTATGTCGAGAAGCCTGCCTGTGGAAGAACAAAGAACTGGACCCTCAGGGTAGTTCTGTGTGTGTGTGTGTGTGTGTGTGTGTGTGTGTGTGTGTGTGTGTCTGGGTGTGTTCTGTGTATACATGTGTGGCTGTGTGGTCGTGTGTGCATGTATATGTGTTCCTATGCATGCATTGTGTGTGTTTCTGTGTGTGGCTCATATGTTCATGTGTGTTGATGTGTGTTCCTGTGTACATTGTATACTGTGGTTATGTGTACTTGCACATGTTCTTGTGCCTGTGTCTCTGCATGTGTGTGTCCTTACATGTGCACATGTATCCGCTAAAAACCCTAGAAAGCCGGTACGAGAAGGGTGAGCCATGTGGTCTGCTTCATACGGGAATACAGTTGAACTCTTGCCGAATAAGCCCGGAAGCAGGAAGCTCTGCTCTACGTTGTAGGCCTTCACTGTGTTAATTTGAGACTGTGTCTGTCACAGTCACCACAGCTTCGTTGCACATCTTATTTCTTTTGATAATCCTTCAGGTTTTTTTTTAAAGACAATATTGTACCTTTATTTTAATTATTATACATTTCTTACATTGTCTTATGATTCTGATGGTTCTTCAGTGATCCACTGAAAACACCTTTATAATCACTGAATAGGATATTAAAGAAGTGTTTTTCTTGACTTTATCACATTGCTTTTGGATCTTTGAAACTGGAGAGAAAAGTCGGGCACAGTGGCTCATGCCTGTAATCCCAACACTTTGAGAGGCCAACAAGTTTGAGTCCAGGAGTTCAAGACACCCTGGGCAACATGACAAAACCCTGTCTCTACAAACAATTAGCCAAGTGTGGTGGTGCGTGCCTGTGGTCTCAGCTACTCAGGAGACTGAGGCGAAAGGATCGCTTGAGCCTGGGAGGCAGAGCTTGCAGTGAGCCAAGATTATGCCACTACACTCCAGCCTGGGCGACAGAGTGAGACCCTGTCTCTAAACGAATGAGCGAGTGAGTGGGTGAGTGAGTGAGTGAGTGAGAAAACGGGTTTATAAGACACAAGTGTTTCAGATAGTAAAAAATATTTTTTAAGATGAAAAGGAGATGGCCGGGCGCAGTGGCTCTCGCCTGTAATCCCAGCACTTTGAGAAGCCAAGGTGGGCGGATCACCTGAGGTCAGGAGTTTGAGACCAGCCCGGCCAACATGGCAAACCCCGTCTCTACTAAAAATACAAAAAGCTGGGCATGGTAGCGTGCACCTGTCGTCCCAGCTACTCAGGAGGCTGAGGCAGGAGAATCCGCTTGAACCTGGGAGGCAGAGGTTGCAGTGAGCCAAGATTGCACCATTTCACTCCAGCCTGAGCAGCAGAGTGAGACTCCATCAAAAAAAAAAAAAGAAAAGAAAAGAAATACCATAGATAACACTACTATCCCGTCACACTCATTTTCTTTCTTTTTCATTTCATTTTATTATTAGTATTATTATTGTTAGAGATGGAGTCTCGCTCTGTCACCCAGGCTGAAGTGCAGTGGCATGATCTCAGCTCACTGCAACCTCCGCCACCACGCCTGGCTAATTTTTGTATTTTTAGCAGAGACAGGGTTTCGCCATGTTGTCCAGGCTGGTCTCAAACTCTTGACCTCAGGTGATCCACCCGCCTCTGCCTCCCAAGGTGCTGGGATTACAGGCGTCAGCCACTGTGCCCGGCCCTCTGTGGTGTTTCTTCTGATTAAAATTTGTCTCTGCCAGTAGTATTTGTGTATAACCTTGTCACTATGGAGCAGATGTAAGGCTGAGTAGCTAGTGTATGCAAAGAAAGTGTTCTACCCGTTACAAAGTAGTTACAGAATAGAAGAAAACTGAGGATGTCTTTGGCCTGCACGTGTGGTATGCTGTTTTTGTAGTGGGTAAACACAGACAGTGAACCATCTGCCCTCTAAACACACAAAGCCTTCATTGTTGGTTTTCCTGATCGCTTCTATAATGCATTTTGGCTCTTTCAGAAATCAAGTGTTTGTAGTGTATGATTCTACCATTTTTTATTACAGGGGCCAGACACCTGCTGAGTCGGATTTCCAGGTGCTCGAAATTGCTCGAAAGTTGGAAATGTACGGCATCAGATTTCACATGGCTTCTGACAGGGAAGGAACCAAGATTCAACTGGCAGTTTCCCACATGGGTGTACTCGTGTTCCAGGTAGGCCAGTGGGGAAGGGAGGGGTGAGAACAGGGCAGGGGAGGTTTTCTGCAACCTGGTGGGGTTTGTTCTTATAGATGTTAGTAAATATTTGTCCTGATGAGTACGGGCCTCGATTTGGAAGAGGGGCTTTGCATATCATCCAATCCAACCTCTTACTCAGTGGGAAAATTAATCTTTTGTCCTTCTCTGACACACGTGTGACTGTCCTCCATGTCATGGAGCCCACTGCTTCCTGGGACTGCCTCCCGCCTCCTTGGATTCCCCACTGCCTCCTGCCCCCCAGGGCTGCCCACTGCCTCTGGGACTTCGCATTCCCTCCTGGGATTCGGCCTACCCCCTTAGGATCCTAAACCACAACCCTGTTTTTTTTCCAGTGGAGCAGTCTCTGTGCTGTGGATGTGATCTGGGCTGGACTGTGAGCGCTTTAGAGTGGGTTACAGTAATCATTTCAGTAAACAAACTAGAATAGAATAGAAAATATCAGAGGGATTGCTTGTGATAAGAGTCAGTGTTGTCTTCTGAAGTGTTTGTATTAGTTGTGATGCATAGGTAAATAATTACATAAATGGTGGGCATGGCCTGCTCACTTCCATTTGTGGTTATGTGTGTGTATGCTGGGGTTTGTGATGTCCAAGAAGCTTAAGTGTGACTGCTAGTGCCGACTAGAAGGAGCTTTTCTCCTTATTCAGGCCCTTTGCATATCTGAAGAAAGCTCTTGCGGGGGCTCCCCAAGTCCCCTCGCACCCAGGCTAAATATGTCCAACTTGTCTGGGCCCCTCCTTTTGGGAGCACTCCAGTCACTGGCCCTTGTAAAATTTTGCACCTCTGATAGACTACGGTAATCCTGAAAAGGTCTCCTCAATGCTGAATATTGTGGGAATTGTCACTATTGCAGTCTGGGAGCCCATTGCCTGCATGAGCTGCTGTTTCTTTGTGGGCTCTTTTAACCTGTGACTATCAAAAAGAGCTTGGTCTGATTCAGGCCTCCCTCATCAAGCCATGTTTATTATTGTTTTCTTTTCCTTATTTTTCTTAACCTAGCCATCAAGTTTCAATTTCCTGTCAGAAAAAAAATTAATTTTGAATTTAGAGTATTATGTTACATTTCATACTAAATGTGATTAGAGAGCAATAAAAATCCATGATAGAGACCAGCCTTAGCAATCCATGCCTTCAGGTGGAGGGTCTGAGCATCCCCTGCCTACACCTGCTGATGAGTGTTCCCCCATTGCACAGAGATGAAAACCTCATATCCAAACTGAGCCATTGCCACATTTCCAGAAAAAAACAAATAATACAACCTAAAGAAGTTGTAAAAGCAAGGGATTAGAAACTTCAGTTTGAAGATAGCAGACTGAATATATGTATTTATTTTTATTCCCTCAAAACCCTGAACACAATGACAGTTGAAGGAATTTTTTAAACATTTAAATCCGTAAGAACAAAGAATGGGAAAACAGCCCACGAAAGATGAGGATAGCAGCAATGTTTGGAAGCTGGGAAATGAAACAGGGAGTGGGACCTGACTTTGCAGAGTAGGGAAGGCTGGAATCTCACAGCCTTCAGCGGCAAAGTCACAGTGCAAGCCAACATGTTCCCAGGAGCCCCAGAAAGGGCTCACAGTTCATGCTTATGAGAAATAGGAATACTTCTTTATCAGAAATGTAAAATTTTATCTTGTAATTTTTTTATTTTTATCAGCCTTGTTTGTGATAGTAAAATTCTGGGAATTAACCGTTAGAAAGCCAGTTAAATAGCCTGGCACAGTGGTTCACACCTGTAATCTCAGCACTTTGGGAGGCTAAGGTGGGCAGATTGCTTGAGTCCAGGAGTTTGAGACCAGCTGGAGCAACATGGAGAAACCTCATCTCTACTAAAAATACCAAAAATTCATTGGGTGTAGTGGCATGTACCTGTAGTCCCAGCTACTCAGGAGGCTGAGGTGGGAGAATCACCTGAGCCCAGGAGGTCGAGGCTACAGTGAGCCGAGATCGTGCCACTGCACTGCAGCCTGGGCACCTTGAGTGAGACCCTGTCTCTAAATAAGTACATAAATAAAAGCCAGCTAAATAAATGGTGGTGCATCCATGTGAACAGAATATTGGGCAACTGTACAAACAAGGAAGCAGCTCTTTATGTCCCAATAATGAGACATCCTTCAAGATGCATCATTACATGGAGAAAAGATTGAAAACTCTGTATAGTAGCTACTGCTTGTGGGGAAAAGAGAGAAAATTATATGTGCACTATATTCCACACTATTAAATGAACTGGTGACATTAATGGCCCCAGGGAAGAGTGGCCAAGCTGGCAGGCTTTGGAACAGTGCTGAGAGGGAGACTTGCACTGTGGACTCATTTTTGAACCTTCAGAATTTGAGCCTTGTGAATGTATCACTGTATTACATTTTCACAAAACCTTCACAGGAATAAAACACTGCATCTCTGAAATGAGCAGGATACCATGATAGAAACAAATGGAGAACATAAAAACATTTGCAAATTAAAATACAGGCTGCCCCAGTCCATCCCCACCCCATGTCTCCTACCTGGTCTGCACGCCAGGCAGGGGTCATCAGCCTCTTTGTCCTGCAGAGTTGTGCTGGCACATGCTCTGCTACTTTTTAGCAGGTTTACTGCCTGGCCCCACATGCAACAATAGGAACCCAACCCCAGCAGACCCTGGGCTCCACAATTTCATCTCCATCATCCACAGAGTTATGACAGCCTCAGTTCTAAGCACAGATATTTAAAATTATAATATAGGAGGATCCAAGATGGCTGATTAGAAGCAACTGAGGTTCACACCACTCACGAAGAGGAAAGAAAAGGGGTGAGTGGATTCACCTTCAACTGAAATATTCAGGTTCTTGCACTGAAACTAACTAGGCGAACAACTCAACCCACAGAGGATGAAGAAAAGCGAGGGTGGGGGTTGATGGCCCACCCAAGAGCAGCATGGAGCCAAAGGAACCCCCATCCCCAGCCAAGAGAAATGGTGAGTGACTGTGCAACCTCACCCAGGAAACTACACCTCTCCCACAGATGTTTGCAACCCACAGATCAGGAGATCTCCTCATGAGCCCATGCCACTAGGACCTTGGGTCCAATACACAGAGTTGTGTTCAGTCTCAGCAGAGCAGCCACTGAGGCACACACAGAGACCTAGGAGTTTCACATACTTCAGCCTCAGGACCCCCAGCAAGGTGGGAAATCTGTTTGTACAAATCCCTAAGAAGGAGGCTGAATCCAAGGAGCCAAGCAGTATCATTCTGTGAGGCCCACTTCCACAGCACCTCACAAGTTAAGACCCACTGGCTTGGAATTCTAGCCAGCCAACAGCAGCAGGCTGGAAATCTGCCTGAGATGGATCCAAGTTCCTGCGGGGGCGGGGTGGCCACCATCTCTAGTTTGGTTGACTCAGCCATTTTAGCCTGCTGGCTTTGGAGTCTGGATAAGGAAGAGTTCCCCCACATGCAGCATACGTACTCTGCAAAAAGCAGCCAGGCTGCTGCTTTAAGTGGGCCCCTGACCCTGTTCCTCCTGACTGGGTGAGCCACCCCCTACAGGTGCATTTGGGCCAGCAACAAGTCAGTACCCTCCTGGGATATAAAGCTTTTAGAGGAGAAAGCTGCCTGCTATCTTTTCTGTTTCACAGGCTTTGCTGGTGATACCTCCAGGTACAGAAAAACCTAGGCAACTAGGGTCTGGAGCAACTCCCAGCAAACTGCAGCAGCCCTAAAAACAACAGGCCAGGCGTAGTGGCTCACACCTGTAATCCCAGCACTTTGGGAGGCTGAGGTGGGCAGATCACTTGAGGTCAGGAGTTCAAGACCAGCCTGGACAACATGTTGAAACACCATCTCTACTAAAAATACGAAAATTAGCTGGGTGTAGTGGTGGGCACCTGTAGTCCCAGCTATTTAGGAGGCTGAGACAGGAGAATCACTTGAACACGGGGAGGCAGAGGTTGCAGTGAGCTGAGATCACACCACTGCACTCCACCCTGGGCAACAGAGCGAGACTGTCTCAAAAAACAAACACCTGTAATCCCAGCACTGTGGGAGGCTGAAACAAGCAGATCACCTAAGGTCAGAAGTTCAAGACCAGCCTGGCCAAGTGGTGAAACCCCATCTCTACTAAAAATACAAAAAAAAAAAAAAAAAAAATTAACCACGCACAGCGGTAGGCTGAGGAGGGAGAACTGCTTGAATCTGTGAGGCAGAGGTTGCAGTGAGCCAAGATCGTGCCACTGCACTCCACCCTGGGTGACAAAGTGAGACCCTGTATCAAAAAAAAAAACAGAAAACAACAACAACATGAACCAAAAAACCCATAAAAGCCCCATTCAAAGGTCAGCAACCTCAAAGATCAAAGTTTGATAAACCCACAGAGATGAGAAAATCAACACAAAAATGCTGAACACTCAAAAAGTCAGAGTGCCTCTTCTCCTCCAAATGACCACAATACCTCTCTGGCAAGGGCATAGAAATGGGCTGGGGCTGAGGCTGAGATAGCATTATTGACAGAAGCAGGCTTTGGAAGGTGGGTAATAATGAACTTTGCTGAGCTAAAGGAGCATGTTGTAACCCAATGCAAAGAAGCTAAGGACCATGATAAAACAACACAGGAGCTTATAGCCGGTTTTGAGAGAAACATAACCTACCTGATGTAGCTGAAAAACACAACACGAGAACCTCACATTGCAATCACAAGTATCAATAGCAGAATAGGCCAAGCAGAGGAAAGAATCTCAGAGCATTGAAGACTATCTTTCTGAAATAGGCAGACAAGAATAGAGAGAAAAGAATGAAAAGGAATGACAGAACCTCCAAGAAATATGGGATTATGTGAAGAGACCAAACCTATAACTGATTGGGTTACCCAAAAGAGACAGGGAGAATGGAATCAAGTTGGAAAACATACTTTGGGATATCATCCAGGAGAATTTCCCCAACCTAACGAGACAGGCTAATATTCAAATTCAGGAAATGCAGAGAACCCCAGTAAGATACTCCACAAGAAGATCTGCCCCAAGACATATAATCATCAGATTCTCCAAGGTTGAAATAAAAGAAAAAATATTAAAGGCAGCCAGAGAGAAAGGCCAGGTCATCTACAAAGGGAATCCCTTCAGACTAACAGGGGACCTCTCAGCAGAAACCCTACAAGCCAGAAGAGATTGGGGGCCAATATTCAACATTCTTAGGAAAAAATTTCCAACCCAGAATTTCATATCTGGCCAAACTAAACTTCATAAGCAAAACAGAAATAAGATTCTTTTCAGACAAGCAAGTGCTTAGGGAATTCATCACCACCAGGCCTGCTTTGCAAGAGCTCCTGAAGGAAGCACTAAATACAGAAAGGAAAAACTGTTAACAGCCACTGCAAAAACACACTGAAATACATAGACCAGTGACACTATAAAGCAACCACAAAAACAAGTCTGCAAAATAACCAGCTAGGACCATGATGACAGGATGAAATTCACATATAACAATATTAACCTTAAATGTAAATGGGCTAAATGCCCCCAATTAAAAGACACAGAATGGCAAGCTGGATAAAGAGCCAAGACCTATGGGTATGCTGTCTTCAAGAGACCTGTCTCACGTGCAAAGACACACATAGACTCAAAATGAAGGGATGGAATAAAATTTACCAAGCAAATGGAAAACAGAAAAAAACAAGGCTTGCAATCCTAGTTTCTGACAGAACAGACTTTAAAGCAACAAAGATTAAAAAAGACAAAGATGGGCATTATATAATGGTAAAGGGTTCAACAAGAAGAGCTAATTATCCTAAATATATATGCACCCAATACAGGAGCCCCCAGATTCATAAAGCAAGTTCTTAAAGATCTAAAAAACGACTTAGACTCCCACACAATAATAATAGGAGACTTTAACACCCCACTGACAATATTAGACAGATCATCAAGACAGAAAGTTAACTTTCTGAAAATATTCAGGACCTGAACTCAGCCCTGGATAAAGTGACCTTATAGATAGCTACAGAACTGTCCCCCCAAAAACAAAAGAATATAAATTCTTCTCATCACCACATGGCACTTTGTCTAAAACTGATCACATAATCGGAAGCAAAACACTCCTCAGCAAATGCATAAGAACTGAAATCATAACAAACAGTCTCTTACACCACAGCACAATCAAATTAGAACTCAAGATTTAAACATTCACTGAAAACCACACAACTATATGGAAATTGAACAACCTGCTCCTGAATGACTCTTGGGTAAATAATGAAATTAAGGTAGAAATCAAGAATTATTTGAAACTAATGAGAACTAAGAGATAACATATCAGAATCTGGGATGCAGCTAAAGCATTGTTAAGAGGGAAATTTATAGTACTAAATGCCCACATCAAAAAGCTAGAAAGATCTCAGGTTAACAACCTAACATCTCAACTAAAAGAACTAAAAAATCAAGAGCAAACAAACCTCAAAGCTAGCAGAAGACAAGAAATAGCCAAGATCAGAGCTGAACTGAAGAGATAGAGACACAAAAACCCCTTCAAAAAATCAAATCCAGGAGCTGGTTTTTTGAAAAAATTAATAAAATAGACTGCTAGCTAGACTAGTAAAGAAGATAATAGAGAATAATCAAATGAACAATCTGAAATGATAGGGGAATATCACCACTGAACCCACGGAAATATAAACGATCATCAGAGAATGCTATAAACACCTCTATGCACATAAAGTGGAAAATCTAAAAGAAACTGATAAATTCCTGGACACATACGCTCTCCCAAGACTGAACCAGAAAGAAACTTATAAAAACCCTAGATGAGGGCTAGACACAGTGGCTCACGTCTGAATCCCAGCACTTTCGGAGGCCAATGGGGGCAGATCACTTGATGTCAGGAGTTCAAGACCAGCCTGGGGCCAACATGGTAAAACCCTGTCTCTACTAATATAATAATTAGCCAGGCATGATAGTGGGTGCCTATAACCCCAGCTACTTGAGAGACTGAGGAAGGAGAACCGCTTGAGCCTGGGAGGCGGAGGTTGCAGTGAGCCAAAATCAAGCCACTATACTCCAGTCTGGGCGATGAAGTGCGACCCTGTCTCAAAAACAAAAACAAAAAAAACCCTGGAAGAAAATCTAGGCAATGCCATTCAGGACACAGGCACAGGAAGGATTTCATGACGAAAATGCCAAAAGCAATTGCAACAAAAGCAAAAATTGATAAATGAGATTTAATTAAACTGAAAAGCTTATGCACAGCAAAAGAAACTATCATCAGAGTGAACAGACAACCCTACAGAATGGGAGAAAAATTTTGCAGTCTATCCATCCAACAAAGGATAATAGTGGAGAAGACCCAAGAACTCCCAGGAAGAAGAGAGAAAGAAGTGTGATTTAAAATGGCCTGGAACTATTCCGTAGCAGTACTGGAAGCTAGAAAGCAACGGGGCTTTCCGAGCCAGGGGGAAATTGAATCCCTGAATAGACTAGAAATGTGTTGTGAAATTGAGGCAATAATATCCTACCAAGTAAAAAAAAAAAAAAAAAAAAAAAAAAAAGTAGCCCAGGACCAGATGGATTCACAGCTGAATTCAACCAGAGGTACAAAGAAGAGCTGGTACAATTTCTCTCTCTCTCTTTTTTTTTTTTTTTTTTTTGAGACAGAGTTTCATTCTTGTTGCCCAGGCTGGAGTGCAATGTCACTGCAATGGCAGCATCTCAAACATTAAAAGGAAATTATTTCCAAACTAATTCTTTTGTTTTTTTTTTTTTGAGACTACAGTTTTATTATTACTCAAATCAGTTTCCCCGAGCATTTGGCGATTTTTTTTTTAAATTTGGTGTGTGTGGGGCTCTAGACTAGAATTCTGTGCTCTGTTCCACATGACTTCTGTACAGAGAAAACCTTTTTTCACACATGTAGATTTTTAAAAAATTTAACTACTACTCTCCCTTTGTAAGGAAAAACTAGAGGAGAGAATGAACTAAAAGTGAGAAAGAAGGAAATAGGGTGCTCCACATCCGAGACAGGCAGAGGAAGACACAGGTTCTGCCTGCCAAGAGAGCATCCACCAATACCAGAGCAGAGGGCAGGGCCCCGGGAGAGAGGGTAGACCAGGGACTCATTTCTTTTGCTGGACGGTGTGGAAGAGTGTTAACTAGGGATAGGTACATGCCGGTGAAGCAAATGAAACGAGGCAATTAGGATTCTCAAGGAAATTTTGAAGAAGGAAGCTTTACTTTATAATATAAAAAAAGTAGTTAAATTCACTATAGCTCAGCTTGTGAGCAATGCTTACATGACCATTAATATAAATACTGAATTTAAAATTTACCAACAATTAGGAGAGTGTGGGGAGGGGTAGGTGTGAGGTATTGGCAGTGACAGATGTTGAGGAGGCAAGATTTCAAAGTGGAGAATGTGCTAGCTGTCATAAATGTGCTTTTCAGAAATACGGGTGAATGAATGGATGCATGAGAGTAAATCCCAGAAAGGCAGCCAAGAGAGGTGAAGCTGGTTCTGTCTGAGGAAGAGGACTTGATGTGGAGTGGGTGACCCTGACCTGGCAGTTTGTTTCCAGTCGTGTAGTCTATATGGCATTTTCAGATATGCCCTGGATTATTGGATGAATATGAAAATGAAAACAGTAGATTTTAGCATTCCACAGCTAACTGTGCAGGTTTAAAAGTGTTGTCTTAAAGTCTGTCAAGTCAGGGTGCAGTAGATGAAAGCTGTGATTGTCCTTGGATTTTCTATTTATTTCTCCTTTTATCATGGTGGTCAAGACCCTGGGATATACAGTTGGCCCTCCATATCCGCAGGAAAATAAACGATAAAAAACAATACAGGCTGGGCGCGGTGGCTCACACCTGTAATCCCAGAACTTTGGGAGGCCAAGGCTGGTAGATCACCTGAGGTCACAAGTTCGAGACCAGCCTGGCCAACATGGTGAAACCCCATCTCTACTAAAAATACAAAAATTAGCCAGGTGTGGTGGCAGGTGCCTGTAATGCCAGCTACTCAGGAGGCTGAGGTAGGAGAATCGCTTGAATCCAGGAGGCCGAGGTTACAGTGAGCCAAGATCGCACCATTGCACTCCAGCCTGGGCAACAAGAGCGAAACTCTGTCTCAAAACACACACACACACATATATGTGTCTGTGTAATTTTTTAAAAAATACAAATTTAACACAGTACAGTAAAACTATGTGACGTTTACATTGTATTAGGTACATAAGTAATCTAGAAATGATTTTATTAAAGTATACAGGAAGCCCAGCGTGGTAGCTCAAGCCTGTAATCCCAGCACTTTGGAAGGTCAAGGCAAGAGAATCACCAGAGCTCGGGAGACCAGCCTTAGCAGCAAAGCAAGACCTCATCTCTACAAAAATTGTAGGTTTTTTTGTAGAGATGGTGTGTGTAGGTTATATGCAAATACTACACCATTTTCTATCAGAGCCTCAAGATTTATAGATTGGGGTACTGGGGTAGAGGGTCCTGGAACCAATCCCCTACAGATACCAAGAGACAGCTGTAGAAATTTCTTATTTTGACCAGAAGGGATTGAACAAGCAGCTGGAGCAGTTATTTGGGGGCCTCTGAGCTATTGTTGGCCCACTTCTTGGGAGGGCTTCATCTCTTACCTCCGTGGCAGGCCCTCGGTTTTTTGTTTTGTTTTTGAGATGGAGTCTCACTCTGTCGCCCAGGTGGGAGTACAGTGGCGCGATCTCAGCTCACTGCAACCTCCGCCTCCCAGCTTCAAGCGATTCTCCTGCCTCAGCCTCCCGAGTAGCTGGGACTTAGAGGCGCCTGCCACCACGTCTGGCTAATTTTTTGTATTTTTAGTAGAGGCGGGGTTTCACTGTGTTAGCCAGGATGGTCTCGATCTCCTGACCTCGTGATCCGCCCGCCTTGGCCTCCCAAAGTGCTGGGATTACAGGCATGAGCCACCACGCCCAGCCTAGGCCCTCGGTTTTTTAAGACTCTGTCCTGGATATATAAATAATATCTAGAACTGGGGCTATGGGGATTTTGTTTCCTTTTGTTGATGTTTTGTTTTGCTTTGTTTTTGAGAATACAATTTAGGACAGAAATTTTGAGAATGTAGTTGAAAATCCTCCAATATTTTACTTTTTTTTTTTTTTTTTTGAGACGGAGTCTCCCTTTGTCGTCCAGGCTGGAGTACAGTGGCGCAGTCTCTGCTCACTGCAACCTGCGCCTCCTGGGTTCAAATGATTTTCCTGCCTCAGCCTGCTGAGTAGCTAGGATTACAGGCACTGGCCACCATGTCCAGCTAATTTTTTTTTTTTTTTAATTCCTGACCTCAGGTGATCTGCTCACCTCAGCCTCCCAAAGTGCTGGGATCACAGGCGTCAGCCACAGCACCTGGCCTTCAATATTTTACTTTCAGTAGAAATTAGAACGACTTAGTGTTGGGGCAATATTTTGGGAACTAGGAAGCTTAAGTCCTCATTTAGACCCTAATGTTTGTATCTTGGCTTTGAGAACATCTAACTCAGGATTTTTTTTTTTTTAATTGAGATAAAATGTGTATGCCATAAAATTCACCATGTTGAAGTATACAATTCAGTTGTTTTAGGATACTTACACAGTTGTATGACCGTCACTACTATCTAATTTCAGAACGTTTTCATCATCCCAAAAAGAGACCCTCATACTCTTTAGCAGTTACTCCGCCAGCCCCCAGCAACCACTGGTATCCAGAACAGGCACCCATCAGGATATTCCCTCTCTATGGATTTCCCTATTTTAGATATTTCATATAAGTGGGATCATACAAACATGCGGTCTGTTGTGTGTAGTGTTTCCTTGTTTCCAGGTTCACTCATGTGGTAGCATGTATCAGTGTTTTACTCCTTATGGCTAAAGGGGTTTGTTTTTTCCTTTGGAGCTGTCTCTGAGGGGACTGTGTCCCTAACCTTGCTGCCTCTTACACTGAGTTTGCAGGTAAGAGTAAATGTTGGTAACATCAAACGTATAGTCGCTGAAATGCCCAAGCAGTGTCTCAGACGTTTTTAAAATTTTATTTTGAAACCATTTCAAGCTTATAGAAAAGCTACACAAACAGCACAGAAAGGTCCTGCTGGCCTTTACCTGAGATGCCCGTCTGCCTTTAACTGGTTGTCTCAGTGTTGTTTACTACAGAAGGTCCAATCTAGGAGCAAATGCTGTACCCAGGCATTATGTCTCTCTGGTCTCTGCAATCTGGAACATTCTTCCTCCTTTCCTTGGTTTTCATGACCTTGACATTTTGGAAGATTACAGGGCAGTCATTTTGTAGAATGTTTATGATATGGGATTGTGCAGTGCTTCCCCAGGATCAGACCCTGGGCTCACTGCCTAGGTGAGAAACTCCCAGAGTGATGATGCGTCCTGATTCATGTGGCACATAGGGTCCATCTGTCCCATTGGTGGTGGTGGTGGTAACATTGATCACTTGGTCAAGATGATGTTTGCCAGCTTTTCTGTATACAAAGTTGTTTTTGACTAGGTAGTGGCTCATGCCTATAGTCCCAACAGAGGCTGAAGCAGGAGGATCACTTGAGGCCAGGTGTTTGAGACCAGCCTGGGCAACATAGCAAGACCCCATCTCTACAAAAGGTCCTGCTGGCCTTTACCTGAGATGCCCATCTGCCTTTAACTCGTTAAACAAGAAAAAATTAAAAATAGAAAATTAGCCAGGATTGGTATCAGGTGCCTGTATTCCCAGCTGCTCCAGAGGCTGAGACAGGATGATTGCTTAAGCCCAGGAGTTTGAGACTCCTTATCTCTTAAGGAAAGAAAGGTTACTTTTTGTCCTTTGTTACTAAGTATTTTGTGGAGCGATACTTTGAGACTAAGTAAATATCTTGTACCTCATCACACTCATCTTCTAGTTAGATCACTATGATGGTTGCCCAATGATGACTCTTTAAATCCCATTCTTCCTACTACTGGAAGGAAGAGTTTTCTCTCCATTTATTTAGTTTATGTCACTGTGGATTCATAGATTCAAATCTGATACTTGATAATCTGTTGGTTTCATTATTTATTTTTATCTTTAACTTTCCCACATTTGGCCCAAGGGAGACTCTTCAAGCTGCCTCTTGTGTCCTTCTCACATGTCCTTTCATTTTATGAACACTTCTTTGCTTTCTTACAGAATAAGACATGCCAGGCTTGTTTTGTACTTTGCCTGCTTCACTGTGGAGTCAGCCATTTCCCCACAGAGCCCAGCCGTTTTAGTGAAGACTGGTATTTAGAGACCAAGATCCATGCACTCAGTGTGCCCATTGCTTTGTGGGGTATCACCACTTCTGGCCCTCTCAACAGACAATGCTACACACATGTACATATACCCACTCACCTCATATATCTATATTTACCTCTATATCTGTGTCTGTATCTGCTGAAACCAGGAATTCCCATCATTCGCTCCTGTTACACTCTAGCACTGTGTTCTAGCTTCAGTGAGAAACCTGACTCTACTCCCTGCCCTGCCTGGCCACTATCACTGCCCCTTCCAGACCACCCTCCTTGCAGGAGTGAACTTCAAAAAATGTATATTAACATTGATTTTAAAATTTTGCAATAAAACCTTATCAAAGAAATTAAAATTAGCCAGGCACAGTGGGTCATGCCTGTAATCCCAGCACTTTGGGAGGCAAGGTGGACTAATCACCTGAGGTCAGGAGTTCAAGAGCAGCCTGGCCAACATGGTGAAACCCCATCTCTACTAAAAATACAAAAATTAGGTGTGGTGGCACACACCTGTAGTCCCAGCTACTCAGGAGGCTGAGGCAGGAGAACTGCTTGAACCCAGGAGGCGGAGGTTACAGCGAATGGAGATTGTACCACTGCACTCCAGCCTAGGTGATAGAGTGAGACTCTGTCTCAAAAAAAAAAAAGAAAAAAAGTGCAAATCTTTCCACTTCTAATTTTCCATTTCCTATAAATATTTGAAACAATATGAGGAGAGATACAAGTCCCAGTGTATCTTCCTGGTGAATTGCTTTTAGATGATGTAAGCCCTCTTTCTCATGCACTGTGTCTGATGATAATATTGCTCCAGCAGCTTTCTTTTGGTCAGTTGTTAAGTACATCTTTTTCCATCTCTTTGAACCTTTCAGTGTCCTTGTGTTCCAGATGTGCCTCGAGTTTGAGACCAGCCTGGGCAACAGAGCAAGACCTCATCTCTACAAAAAAAATTAAAAATAGAAAATTAGGCAAGAGTGGTGTCTGGTGTCTGTAGTCCCAGCTGCTCCAGAGGCTGAGGCAGGATGATTGCTTGAGCCCAGGAGTTTGAGGCTGCAGTGAGCGGAGATTGGTACCACTGCACTCTAGCCTGGGCAACAGAGCAAGACTCCATCTCAAAAAAAAATTAAATTATCTTTCTAGAACAGATAGATTAATATGTTTAGTTATTGACATTTTAAGTCAGCTATCTCAGATATAATGGTAAAATGCCAAGTAGAGTGCTGTGTTGGCAAGGATGTAATTTAAGCATTCCCTATTTCATGAGAAAGGGGTTATGTGCCAGATACAAATGTAATCTGTCTGTCTCTTGCATTTCAGGGCACCACCAAAATCAACACTTTCAACTGGTCCAAGGTCCGTAAACTAAGCTTCAAGAGGAAAAGATTTCTTATCAAACTTCATCCAGAGGTTCATGTAAGTATTATTTTCAACTTTTTATTTTTATTTTATTTTATTTATTTATTTATTTATTTTTTTGAGACGGAGTTTCGCTCTTGTTGCCCAGGCTGGAGTGCAATGGCATGATCTCGGCTCACCGCAACCCTCTGCCTCCCGGGTTCAAGCGATTCTCCTGCCTCAGCCTCCCAAGTAGCTGGGATTACAGGCATGCGCCACCACACCTGGCTAATTTTGTATTTTTGTAGAGACAGGGTTTCTCCATGTTGTTCAGGCTGGTCTCGAACTCCTGACCTTAGGTGATCCACCCGCCTTGGCCTCCCAAAGTGCTGGGATTACAGGCTCACAAAGTGCTGGGATTACAGGCGTGAGCCACCATGCCCAGCCTATTTTGACCATTTTTTAACTCATAATTTATTCTGCTAAAACATAATTACTTTGTAAATCATTTCAGCATAATGCACACAAGAACTCAAGGACAGGATTCGGGACTTAGGTCTGGAGGGGCTGAGGGCAGTCTGCCTAGCTGGTCTCACACTTACCTCCCCCAGGAACTTTGTCACTCACGTGTTGCTGGCTCAAAACCCCAGGGTTTCAGCTTCAGCGGGTCTGGGATGAACCCAAGAAGGTGCACATCTGACAAGCTCCTAGGGGTTGCTAAGAACCATGGTTATTGCAGCCTCTTTGTTCTCTAGGTAAGGAAGCTGAAGAACAAAGTGCTCAAAATGATCTGAAGCCCTACAGCAGCTGAGAGCTTCAGAATGAACTGAGGAGTATCCCCAGTGTTCTCTTGTGTCCTTCATTCAGAAATTGATCTTTGAATAGCTCTAATTGAAGAAGCCTTGATTATCAGGGAGTAAATATTCCCTTCTTTACTGACTGCTCATTAATAAAATAATAATTACATATGAATTTACTGAAATGAGTAAAAATGGAAAAAATAAATGCCTGTGCAGTGTATTTGGTAAAATCCAGTACTTCCAGTTATTCAAAGATGTTCCAGTTGCTGCATTTCCGTTGTACAAAAGGAGTTAGAAAATAAAAAGTAGATTTGCCAAGCTACCATGGGGTTTGAAGCTTAAGAGATGGCCATGCCTGTGTCAGCCCAGACACATTTTGGGTTATGGGAGATTTAGAGCCTTTGGGCCAGTCAGAAGAAAAGCTTTGCCTACGCCTTTAAAAGGCACTTGAGTAGTAGGGCTTTTGGTACACACTGGGTTCACGTGCTTTGTGTAAGTGTGTTTGCTTTTGGTAGAAGGCTTGAAAGTGGCTTTAATTGTTGTACAAATATCTGTCCTGTGGATGAAGGGGAAGTAGAAGGAATGCCAAACACACATACGAAACACAAGTAAAAGCTGTTTTACTCTGTAAGTAAAAAAAAAAAAAGTTTCCTGCAGTTATTCGAGATGATAGGGAAAGTTCACCAAAGCAGCTATTAACTTGAATAGGGCGATAAGTCAAAGCCCAGAACTGTTTGCATCTGCACTTAGCAAAGTTACATTTTACTTACCTAAGCACGTTTTAAAGACTAAATGTTAGATTCAAAGTATTACAGTCTTTGTGGAAGGTAATTGGGTAACATACATCAGCAGGTTCAAAAATGTGCAGTCTTTGAGCTCAGATTTCCATTTCTAGGAATTTATCCTAAGGAATAACTGAGAGTGAATGCAGTTCCTTCAGGGCAATATTTGTAGGCCTGAAAACTGCATGTCCTGGACATCTAAAATATCCTAGATTTTAAAAATATATACCATGTAGAAACAATTCAGTAATAACATGTAAATATGTCAGTTGGCATGAAAAATGCCAAGGCTAGGTAGAAAAAGTGTTTACAAAGATAGAATTCAGAATGTTGATAGTTGTGTGATTGTGGGTGACTTCATTTTTCTGCTAGTTCTACTATGAATATATATACTGTCTATCTTTTCTTAATTAAGCAGATGGAACCAGAAGACTTTGTATACAACTTTTAGAAAAACCCTTCCTGGGCTGGGTGCAGTGGTGCACACCTGTAATCCCAGTACCTTGGGAGGCTGAGATGGGCAGATCACTTGGGCTCAGGAGTTCAAGACCAGCCTGGCCAACATGGCAAAACCCTTTTTCTACAAAAAATACAAAAATCAGCTGGGCTTGGTGTTGTGAGCCTGTAGTCCCTACTGAGCAGTAGGAGGGGAGCGGCTGAGGTGGGAGGATTGTTTGAGCCTGGGAGGTTGAAGTTGCAGTGAGCCAAGATCACGCCATTGCACTCCAGCCTGGGCACAGAGCAAGATCCTGTCTCAAAAAAAAACCTTACTGATTTTTAATTTTGGAATTCCCTATCGTGTGATCTGCTTCCTAAATGTACTTTCTCTTGTCCAATACTTCATTCTTGAATTAATTAACCTTTGTGTTTTGTTTCTAGGGACCTTACCAGGACACATTAGAATTTTTGTTGGGTAGTAGAGATGAATGTAAGAACTTCTGGAAGATTTGTGTGGAGTATCACACCTTTTTTAGACTTTTGGACCAACCTAAGCCAAAAGCAAAAGCCGTCTTCTTCAGCCGGGGCTCCTCCTTCAGATACAGGTAGGGGCCATGCCGTGGCTTGCATGGGCCCCTCACTGGTTTGTAAAGCTGAGAAAATAGGTAATTCCTAGTCAAGAAAGAAGTGTTATAAAATATTTCAGAGAATTACACACAAAGTGGAGGTATTGTGAAAGAATAACTAGAGGAAGCATATGAAATAAAATAACGGAAAAAATACGCTTAATAAAAACTTTGCTTACAAATTCAGTTACGCTTACTACAAAGTATAACTTTAAAATATGTATGTGGGCCGAGCCCGGTGGCTCACACCTGTAATCCCAGCACTTTGGAAGGCCAAGGCGGGTGGATCATTTGAGGTCAGGAATTCGATATCAGCCTGGCCAACATGGTGAAACCCCATCTCTACTAAAAATACAAAAATTAGCTGGGCGTGTTAGCGGGCACCTGTAATCCCAGCTACTCGGGAGGCTGAGGCATGAGAATCGCTTAAACCCATGAGGCAGAGATCACGCCACTGCACTCCACCCTGGGCAATAGAGCGAGACTCAGTCTCAAAAAATAAAATATATGTGTGTATATTTATGAGAGAGGATGGGTAAATCTTTTCTTTTGTCTTTTACTCTGAAAAATTAATGCTGACTTACTGTTCTTTATTAAAAATCTGAATCTTTATTCACAGTGGAAGAACTCAGAAACAACTAGTAGATTATTTCAAAGACAGTGGAATGAAGAGAATTCCATATGAAAGGTAAGCTCTGGCCTTTATGATGTAAAGTGTGTGCTTTTAAAATTAAAATTTAAATATATATATGGAGAGAGAGCGAAAAGAGAGACTGAGTCTTGCTCCGTCACCTAAGCTGGAATACAGTGGCATGATCACGGCTCACTGCAGCTTCAGACTCCTGGGCTCAAGCAATCCTCCCACCTCAGCCTCCCGAGTAGCTGGGAATATAGGCGCACACCACTATCCCCTGGCTAGTTTTTTTTGTTTTTTTTTTTTTTCTGTAGAGACAAGGTCTTGCTATGTTGCCCAGGCTGGTCTCAAACATGTGGGCTCAAGTAATCCTCCAACCTCAGCCTCCCAAAGTGCTGCGATTATAGGTGTGAGCCACCATGCCCAGCCTATTTTAAATATTAATCTTTACTTGACTGAAAGTCACTTCAAATACATGAATGTGTATTTTTACAGGAGTTCAGTTTCAATGTTTTAAAGAAAGTGGATTTGTAATTTTTTTTTTTTTTTTTTTGAGACGGAGTCTCGCTCTGTCGCCCAAGCTGGAGTGCAGTGGTGCGATCTCGGCTCACTGCAAGCTCCGCCTCCCGGGTTCACACCATTCTTCTGCCTCAGCCTCCCGAGTAGCTGGGACTGCAGGCGCCTGCCACCACGCCTGGCAAATCTTTTGTATTTTTAGTAGAGATGGGGTTTCACTGTGTTAGCCAGGGTGGTCTCGACCTCCTGACCTCATGATCCACCCGCCTCGGCCTCCCAAAGTGCTGGGATTACAGGTGTGAGCCACTGCCCCCGGCCTGTAATATTTTTATATAGACATTGTATACACATAGAGATATTTTTAGTTTCTCTTCTGTATAGCTTAGCTTATATATATTTTTACATAGTATAGTAAATTTTTTTTTTTTTTTTTTTTTTGAGATGGAGTCTTGCTCTGTCGTCCAGGCTGGAGTGCAGTAGTGTGATCTCGGCTCACTGCAAGCTCCACCTCCTGGGTTCACGCCATTCTCTTGCCTCAGCCTCCCAAGTAGCTGGGACTACAGGCACCCACCACCACACCCAGCTAATTTTTTGTATTTTTAATAGAGACGGGGTTTCATAATGTTAGCCAGGATGGTCTTGATCTGACCTCGTGATCCACCCGCCTCGGCCTCCCAAAGTGCTGGGATTACAGGTGTGAGCCACTGCGCCCGGCCTATAGTAAACATTTAATCTGAAAATTCTTGTTGTTTCTCCGCACGTGGAATTTTTTCCTTTAGTGTGGGTGTGTAATCTTACCTCTCTTGGGACCTCTGTTTTTTATTTGAATTCTTGTTTTCCATTCTCCTGCCCCTTTCAAGTTAGATACCTCTTAGCTACATTTTCTTGTGAGGTTTTCTTCATGGATACAGTACATGCTTGCTGCTTTAAAAACAGGCGCTGAGAAGGGGAGGGCTTGGTTTCTCACAGCTCGTCCTCTGTTTTGCAGAAGGCACAGCAAGACCCACACGTCCGTTCGAGCTCTGACTGCAGACCTACCAAAACAGGTTAGTCTCTTCCGGTTCAACATGGGGGCAGTAGGAGTTCCCTGTACTCTTTTGGAAAATAGTCTGTCAGTATTGTAACAAGAGTCTTAAAATTAATCATATTATTTAATGCAGCAATTGTAATCCTGGGACTCTGTTTTCAGAAAGGGGTCCTGAATAGAAAGCCAGCAGGGCAGTGGCCCATGCCTGTAATCCCAGCTCCTTGGGAGGCCAGGGCAGGAGGGTTGCTTCAGTCCAGGAATTCGAGACCAGCCTGGGCAACATGGCAAAATCTTGTCTCTACAAAAAATACAAAAATTAGCCGAGCATGATGGTGGCGCACGGGTAGTCTCAGCTACTCAGGGAGCTGAGGTGGAAGAATGTCTTGAGCCCAGGAAGTTGGGGCTACAGTGAGCCAAGATAGTGGCACTACACTCCAGCCTGGATGACAGAACAAGATCCTGTCTCAAAAAAAAGAGAGAAAGCCTGTATGTTGAGATGTGCATCATAGTGTTGTGTGTAATACACCACAAAATCCTGACAACTCTCATCTGTGCCAGATGACTTACTAACTATGTTTTTAGCTGTATTCACTTAGTAGGATTTTTTGTTAACTGCTGAAAGCATGGCTTAAAAAGAGTATGTGGTAACATGGAGAAATTCTTGCTGTTATGTTACAAATGAAAAGCAGGAAACAAATTTGTATCTCTATGTCTTTGGCATGATTGCAACTATATCAAAACAAAGATACACCAACTCACACAGACACTTCATACAAAAACATTTGACAAGAATGTCCCAGAATGTGACAACAGCTGTTCCGTGCCACTGTGATGGGACATCAGCGACCTTCTCATGTTTCAGGTCTACTTCACTACAGTCCCTTCCCATTTTTATGCTGGCATGTTAACTTCCATATGCAAGCATATTTTTACATTGAATCTTGCATGTTTTGTTTTGTTTTACCAGAGAGAGTCTTACTCTCTTGCCCAGGCTGGAGTGCAGTGGCATGATCTAGGCTCACTGCAACCTCTGCTTCCTGGGTTCAAGTGATTCTCATTCCTCAGCCTCCCAAGTAGCTGTGATTACAGGCACATACCATCATGCCTCGCTGACATATACATATATATATATTTATTTATTTATTTATTTATTTTTTTTTTTTGAGACGGAGTCTTGCTCTGTCGCCCAGGCTGGAGTATAGTGGCGCGATCTCGGCTCACTGCAAGCTCCACCTCCCGTGTTCACACCATTCACCTGCCTCAGCCTCCCGAGTAGCTGGGACTGCAGGTGCCCGCCACCACGCCTGGCTAATTTGTTTGTATTTTTAGTAGAGACGGGGTTTCACTGTGTCAGCCAGGATGGTCTTGATCTCCTGACCTCATGATCTGCCCGCCTCGGCCTCCCAAAGTGCTGGGAATACAGGCATGAGCCACCACGCCCAGCCGCCTGGCTGATTTTTGTGTTTTTTAGTAGAGACATGGTTTCACCATGTTGGCCAGGCTGGTCTCGAACTCCTGGCCTCAAGTGATACGCCTGCCTTGGCCTCCCAAAGTGCTTGGATTATAGGCATGAGCCACCATGCCTAGTCAGAATCTTGCTATTTTTATGTAACATATCATAACTCTTTCTTCATGGTGCTACAGTTTCAACTTTTATCTCTGTACAGTGTCAATTTTTTTAATGGTTTGTCATTTATACTGTCATAGCACTTCAGAAGCTACACTTGCACCTCATTATATTAAAGGTCATGTGAACTGGGCACAATGGCTCACACCCTTAATCCCAACTACTCAAGAGGCTAAGGCTGGAGGATTGCTTGAAGCCAGGAGTTTGAGACCAGCCTGGACAACATAGTGAGACCTATCTATCTGAAGATTTTTTTTTAAATTAGCCAGGTGTGGTGGCACTGAACTATAGTCCCAGCTACTTGGGAGGCTGAGGTATGAGGATCACTTGAGCCCAGGAGTTCAAGACTGCAGTGAGCCACAATTGTACCACTGCACCCCAGACTAGACAACAGGGTAAGAATGTCTCAAAAAGTAAAGCTCATGGTATCCCAGGTTTTTTCATGGGTACATGAAAACCTTCTTAAACTCTCTGGTTTTTTTTTTTTGTTTTTTTTTTTTTGAGACAGAGTCTCGCTCTGTCGCCCAGGCTGGAGTGCAGTGGCGCGATCTTGGCTCACTGCAAGCTCCGCCTCCCGGGTTCACGCCATTCTCCTGCCTCAGCCTCCTGAGTAGCTGGGACTACAGGTGCCCGCCACCATGCCTGGTAATTTTTTTTTATTTTTCAGTGGAGACGGGGTTTCACTGTGTTAGCCAGGATGGTCTCAATCTCCTGACCCCATGATCCACCTGCTCAGCCTCCCAAAGTGCTGGGATTACAGGCGTGAGCCACCGCGCCCGGCCAACTCTTTTAGATATGTTTCCTCTTTAGAAATTTCTTGTTAATTCAATTGAAATTAAAGGGAAATGTATTTTTAATTGTTCCTTTACACAGTTTGATTTTTTTTTCTTTTTTTTTGGAGACAGGGTCTCACTCTATCATCTCGGCTGCATGATCACAGCTCGTTGCAGCCTCAACCTCCCAGGCTCCGGTGATCCTTCCACCTCAGCCTCCCAAGTAGCTGAGACTACAGGTGCATGCCACCGCACCCAGCTAATTTTGTATTTTTTTTTGTAGAGACAGAGTCTCACCATGTTGCCCAGGCTGGTCTCAAACTCCTGGGCTCAAGTGATCCTTCTGCCTCAGCCTCCCAAAATGTTGGGATTACAGGCATGAGCCAGCATACCCAACCACAAAGTTAGAATTTTTTTTTCTTTTTTTTGAGACAGAGTCTCGCTCTGTTGCCCAGGCTGGAGTGCAGTGGTGCGATCTTGGTTCATTGCAACCTCCACCTCCCGGGTTCAAGTGATTCTCCTGCCTCAGCCTCCCAGGTGGCTGGGACTACAGGTGCATGCCACAATGCCTGGCTGATTTTTTGTATTTTTTGGAGAGACAGGGTTTCACCGTGTTAGCCAGGATGGTCTTGATCTCCTGAACTCATGATCCGCCCGACTCGGCCTCCCAAAGTGCTGGGATTACAGGCGTGAGCCACCATGCCCGGCCTTCAAAAGAATTTAATGTCAAAATAAGAATCATCTAAAAGTTACCTTTAAGGACAGGCACAGTGACTCAACAGCTGTAATACCAGCACTTTGGGAGGTCAAGGCGGGCAGATCTCCTGAGGTCAAGAGTTCGAGACCAGCTTGGCCAACATGGTGAAACCCCAGGTTTAATAAAATACAAAAATTAGTGAGGCATGGTAGGCGCGTATAATCCCAGCTACTCGGGAGGCTGAGACCGGAGAATTGCTTGAACCTGGGAGGTGGAGGTTGCAGTGAGCCGAGATGGCACATTGCACTCCAGCCTGAGTGACAAGAGTGAAACTTCATCTCAAAAATAAATAAATAAATAAATAAAACCTTTACGCTTTCAATTTTCTTCCATTCCATTTTAAAAGCCACATGAGAATATTGAATATGGTTGAATAATTGAGACATGATAAGATCAGCATTTGAAAATAGGTTAATCTTATGGACTGTGGCCTACTATTTTGTTTCTGAAAGCCTAGTAACTAAGCCTTGTGCAGTTACATTTGCACTTTTTACATATGGTAACACGTGCATGTGTATATTGCCTGTGTACATATTGCACAAAAAGTTATTCAGTTGTGTTTGGTTATATTTTGGTCTGACCACACTCTTAACGATGTGGCGTGTGTATATATAGTAAGGGATGTCCCCAAAGCGTGACTGCATCCCGTGATAGCGCGCGAGGAGTGACGCTTAGTGAGTAGAGGGGGCTCAGCCGTGTCCTTGTGTGTGGAACCATGAGGGGAGGATGTGTTAGGGCACCTATGGAGTAGCAGGTGATGCAGCATAGCCACTGGACATCTGGTCCTGGCCCCTCAGTATTTCCTCATCCTGCTTGGGAGCTGCTTCTCCCTCAGACTTGTGGCCACTCCTGTGCTTTTGGAAGGCCCCAGGTCTCTTGTGCCACTCCCATTGGCAAAGGGCATCCTAGGCAGTGACCCTCAACCTTCCCTTACATGTATGAGTGGATTGGTGTGTGTCCTAACTCCCTCGCGACGATACATCTCTGACAGATGAGTGCGCATTACTGTAGAACTTGGACTTGTTACTCACCTGTCAGTACTGTGGTTTAGGGTTCTATTGGCTGAGTGGAATGGTTCACTCCCTCTCCAGCTGTATTTTACCCCTCAACAAAACTATGAATCTCCTGGTAACGGGATTCCAGGAAGACGTGGACCACGTGTCATTAGGTTCTGCAAGATGGAGGTTTTCTTGGCCAGGCATGGTGGCATGTACCTGTAATCCCAGCATGTTGGAAGGCGAAGATGGGTGGATCACTTGAGGCCAGGAGTTTGAGCTATGATGGCACCACTGTACTCCACCCTGGGCAACAGAGCAATACCCTGTCTCTAAAAAAATTAAAAATTGTAATTTAATTTTAAAAACTTTTCTTTATTGTGGATATTTCATGTCATAAGAGAAAAAAATGGAATTGTAAGGGTTTGTAAACAGACGATCCTGGGTTGATTTGCAATGCTACTTTTACAAATCTTCAGTTCTACAAGGGAAAGTCTAGTGAATTGCCCATTTTCATGAAAGCTGTGATAGAAATGTGTGGATGCCCTAAGTTAGGCCAGGTGGCTTTGCAACTTCTAGTGGTAATTTGTAATTTTATATCCTTTTTTTCTTTTCTTAACTTTGGTTCCCAGAGCATCTCATTCCCCGAGGGATTGAGGACTCCTGCCTCCCCATCTTCAGCGAATGCCTTTTACTCGCTCTCTCCCTCCACTCTGGTCCCCTCTGGCCTGCCAGAGTTTAAGGACAGCAGCAGCTCCCTCACAGATCCCCAGGTTTCCTACGTCAAGAGTCCAGCTGCAGAGAGGCGCAGTGGAGCAGTGGCTGGAGGCCCCGACACACCATCGGCCCAGCCCCTCGGGCCCCCCGCACTCCAGCCTGGTCCAGGTGTCGGGTTTTGTCATGTCGTGAGCAGCTGTGGTTCTGTCTGTGCTGGGGGGCAGAGTTTCAGTGCCTTAGACCTAGACACAGGGAGGGCCGGTAGGGAGCTCAGCGCTGCTTGTAAAAATGACAATGGTGGGGATGACTTTACCACAGGCTCATTTCCTTCCGGTGGGGAGCACCGGTGTGACCGGCAGTGTCGTGGGGGGGCCCCTGCTTTCACATTGACAAATGCCCAGCTGCAGGTATCTGAGGAGTTCATAGACGATGACCCAGCAGACATCTCCTTCTTTGCTGGAGGCTCTGAGGCGTTTTCTTTTCCTTATGGCTCTGTAGTCCCACAGGAATCTCAGGCCTCTGCCCAGCCTCTGGTGGCCCCTCCTTTGTGTGAGCTTCCAGGGTCTGCTCGGTCCAGCCCAGACAGGTACTCCATGGAGGCAGTAGATATGAACACAGAAGACGGTTTTGCATTTGAGGAGGAAAGTGACTTCAATGGGAACGCACACCCCTCAGACACCTCGGAGCTATTTGAGGTGAAGGCGCAGGCCAGCCGGATGCAGCGCCTGCTGGGTCCTTCTGAGACCAGCTCACTGAGAAACAGCCAGTCTGAAAACAGCTCCCTCAATAACATGCCACTACGTGGTGGGCTGTCTGTGCACACATGCAGCTCAGCCAGTCAATCTGAGGCCAGCTCCATGGTCAACTTCCCAGCCTACTCAGTCCGCTCTGAGTCCAGCTCGGCCTTCCAGTTCTCTGACATCATCGACCAGTTAGAGCAGCTCAGCTACCCACCCACGACGGCCGAGGACTCCAGCAGCACAGAGTCAGACTCATGGGACTCTGAAACCGAGGCCCCCCTAGACATAAGCCTTTTCTTCAGCAACCCTTTTGCACACACAAGTGGAGAAAGAGTCCCTTTTGATTTACAGAACAATTTAAAGAATTTGACTCCAGGAGAGCAAATAGATAAAAACCCATCTTGACCACTCTGGGTTCCTTTACAAGGCAACCCACTCACCCACGCTGTGTGGTTTAGAGCTCAGAATTGTTTGGTTTAAACACAGAAAGTGACTTTCATTTCATGGATAGATATTCAATTTTTTTTTAATTTCCTGATTTATTATACTTTTTTGAATGTCAAAAAATTTGACCTTTCACTTGGAATGACGTAAAAGCTATGCCTCCGGTCTTAGACCTGAGTACTCCAGCCAGTCCTCCTAGAGGACCGATAAATTAGTCTTTGTAGTTTATGTTTTTTGCCATATGCTTTGATTCAAGTAAGAACTGGTGCTATACATTCTGAATGTTACACAATTCTGTTCATGTTGATCTTCAATAGAATATGTGTATTACACTATTGATGCTGCTTTTCAAGATGAGCCCTGTTGCCTATAATTAACTAGGACACAGGTTTTGTCTCACTTGTCCAGCCACTGCGCTACACAAAACCTTGAGTATGCCTCTACAGCCCTAACCCTGGGAAAGATGGCCATAGGCCATGGCCTCCTGTGTGCTGTGGTCAAACTCGTGGGACTCTGAGACCCTAAGGCCCCCGTAGACATTAGCCTTTTCTTCAGCAACCCTTTTGCACAGACAAGTGGAGAAAGAGTCCCACTGGGACTCTGGGGGGACAGTCATCCATTGCACTGGGGTTGGGGGTGAGGGGATGCCTGGAACTGTCCCAGTGCCAAAGGCACCATGTCATTTTTTTTTTTAAAGGTGTCAAAGGGCCACTGCCTCATTATTGACTTGAGACCCAGAAATAGTGCTGTGTGTAGATAGTGGTCTTGGAGAGGCGTTGGTTTAAAATGCACTTATGTAAGTTTGAGCTGTTTTCTTTTCTTCAGCTTAATTGGGAACTAGAAGATACGTGGTTGCAAAAAAAGCAGAACCAGACACACCATGGGCATCATTCTGTCCCAGGACAATGGGAAGGGTCCCAGGGGCAGGTGTGCCAAGGTGGCCCTGCCCACCCATCCAGCGTACCCGTAAACACATACCAGGTGCCATGGGCCCTGCTGGGTACCACATGGAGAGCTTCTCAGTCTAAACCACCATAAAAGTCAAGGCTGATGTTTGTGGCACAGAGTGGGTAGGTCCATCCAGGGACGTCATGGGGAAACCACTGCCATGCAGCTCAGCACCCACAAGTGCCGGTCTCAGGCCAGCCCTAGATGACACTGTTCAATTTGTCAAGTCCACAGATAGGGTTGGGGTTTTTGTTGTTTTTCTTTTCTGATCTTACCTAGTAGTGCAATACCACATTTAAAGTTTAATTCTCTTCCCAGAATGTCTTGTGGAAACTTTACATTTCATTCCTGTTCACATTGTAAGATCTCTGATGTTTTGCCTGGATGGATTTACTGTGATTGCACAGGGACCACGTGGCTCAGGTGTCTGAGCCATTGAGGGCATCTTGCAAGGGCTGGTTTTCCTTTTCTCATCAGTGTTGGCTGGATGCCAGCAGGGGTTTTGTGGCTAACCACATCAGGCAGTTTCCCATTTTTGTAGCTTTGTTATACCTAAACCGCAGTCTCATCATTTTGCTTATGCAGCTAGAAGTTTCAGTCTGTATAGTTGTTATTCATTCTGTCCCTGGTAATTTAGACCTGCCTTCTTGATGCTTTAGGGGCCATTGGGCACAGCTTTCTACATTGGCTAACAAATACCTGTGAAAATGTTAACAGACAGAAGCGCAGCAGTGAACCTGAGGTCAGGACAGGACTGTTTGGGAGGTTCTTCTTTTCTTACTGTCACTCCAAAAATAAACCTTGGATTTGTGTGCTGGGGAGAAATGAGTATAGATAACATTTAAAACGTTTTCCTAAACCTTAGTATTCATATGGTAGCTGATGGTTCCTCTCCCCTTCATTACTGTTGCCTGACGACGGTCCTTGCTGATGCTGTGAACTAACAAAGTTGTCTTTTTGTTTTTAAGGGAACCCACCCTGGCGTCTGGACAGCAGGTTAGGTTTGGGTGGTTTTGAGCTAGCACTGCTGTGGGGCAGGGGTGGCCGCTCCCTGGTGAAGCTAATGCTGTGGAAGCTGGAATGTTCCTTCCTAAGGAGTGGGATCATGCCCCTACCCCAGCAGAGGTATCTCATCACTCGCTCATGTGCGAGATTCTAAATAAATTTTGTTCTTGGGCATCTTCTACTAGGCCTCCTATAAAATAGATCTTGCTGTTTTTGGTTTGTGTTAATGGAACCTCACTTTCTAGAGATAATTCTTTAGTTTTTTATTTAGGAAGTTTTCAAAATATACAAAGCAGGAATGTAAGGAACCCGCATCACCTCAAATTCAGTGTTACCCACACTTGACCATGCTTGCCCCAGCTGTGCCTTTTTTCTTTCCTTGGGTATTTTGTTGCTAAAGTATTTTATTATTACTGTTTTAGAGACAGGGCCTCACTCCTGTCACCCAGGCTGGAGTATGGTGGCACAGTCACATCTCACTGCAGCCTCAACCTCCTGGGCTCAAGCCATCCCCCCACCCCAGCCTCCTGAGTAGCTGGGACTACAGGCACACATCACTGCGCCCAGCTAATTTTTAAAAAATTTTTGTGGAGACAGGTTCTCTTCATGTTGCCCAGGATGGTCTTGAATTCCTGGGCTCCAGCAGTCCTCCTGTCTCAGCCTCCCAAAGTGCCAGAATTGCAGGCATGAGCCTGGGTGCTAGAGCGAGGCCCTGTCTCAAAAAAAAAAAAAAAAAAAATCAATCAAGGCTTTCTTCCGAGTTACTGCTCACAGCCCTCTTACCCCTTTCTCTTGTGAGTGGGTTGTAATGTCCACCCAGAGGGGATTTAGACACGGAAGGGAAGGCAAGCGTGGGCACCATGGCTTTAGAACCATAAGGAAGACATTTCCCTCTACAGATTCTGTCTTTCCACTTGTAACAGTTAATGAGGCACTGACGTTGCTCTTTTCCACCTTAACAAGACAGTTTACAGTGGTTAAATAGCAAAACTCCAGGAGCAATTCAGCCTGAGGCCATAGTGCCCTGCAGCAGCATTGGGCTCTGCTTTTGTTTCTGCTTTGTGCTTTGTGGCTCTTCTTCAAGCCAGTGTTGGGTAGTGCACAGCCTGAGAGGTGTGGCCTGATAAACCCTGAAATTGAAAGAAGTATGCAGATTTGACTCAGCACTCCTGGAAGTGTCTGGATACAGCTCACTGAGAGTGTGGAGGTGAAAGTGCCTGCAAAATATTAACAGTTCTCTCTCAATCTATTGATCTCCTCAGTTACATCCAGAACCTTAAAGCCGCACAGTTGTCATCCTCCGCCCGCAGTCTCAGGCAGGGCGCATCAGGGGCTGCACTGGTAGCTCCCAGGAGGACTTACCCATGGGTCACCGTCATAGCCAGGTGTGTCTACTCAGAGGGGACGCAATCCTGCAGCAGTCCCCGTCAATGAGAGGCCACCAGCAGACAGTGCCTGTTGGACCCATGAAGTCCACCACTAATTATATACTCTGCTTTAGGTAGAATATTTTTATTAGCTGTCAAACTGTTTTTGTATTTAAGTTTCCAAAAGTCCAGGTACTTTATGTAGGCCAATGTATAAATATTTCAAGTCTAACAGTAGCACAGTTATATGTTAATACAACTGACTACACGAAAAATATGTAATAGCATATGCTATGTAATTTTTCAAATCACTAGGTATTGATATGTGCCTTTTTTATATTACCAAGAGATTCTCTAAATATGGAATTAGATTAGGATTCTCTGCTCCACTTAACACACATTTTTAAATTAGTACTGATGATTGAGGGATGGACAATAGCACACCAAAAAAAAAAGAGTTTAGTATGAAAAATTTAAACCTGTTGGTTAAGTCATTCCCATTAATGTCATTTTGCTGAGGGTGACTTGGTCCTTTTGAATTGCTTTGGTGTACGGGTATGTTCTGATTTTTCATGCAAGCTCCTCTGCCATTCCACCGCTCTGAGGAGTAATTGTAGCACTTCACATGTGCTGTGGTTGTGATCACATGGTGACATACATAGCATGTGTGTTCCCAGCTGTTGTGTGTTTATGTGACATTTGATGCCAATACATATGTCTTCAAGGTATGCTTGTTCCCTCCCAGCTCGTGGAATATCAAAAAAATTCATTGCTGGAAAAATTATTTCATAGACAAAAATGTTAATGTTCTCTTGGGGACTTAGAGTTGAAAATATTTGTATAGATTTGGTTCTCAAGTCCACAGAATCGTATCTGCTGTGGTCTCCCTTTGGTGCTCATCTGGGAGCCATGTGTATGGAAGATTCTGTCACAGGCGGCTGGGATGTGGGCAGATGCTGTTAGCCTCCCTCTCCACGTGGTGGTCCATGCCTGACGTGTCCCCTAGTTCAAGGAAGCGCCATCTTTAGCATGAAAACAATTGCGTTCCCCTAGGAAATGAAGAAAAAATGAGCTGAAATTTCCTTATACATTTGAATTTGTTCATTTTTTAAAGAGACATTTTTGTTGTCTGCTTTGTGGTACTTATAAAATTTGTTTTCCATTGAAATTGCCATTTATAAATTTGCAGATATGTACTAATTTAGATTTTTTTAAGTGTTCAATAAAATAAGGATATATTTACTGTGAATTTTTAAATGGGCTTTTTAGCTTTCTTTCCCTCTACTTTTAGTTTTGATTTATATAAGTTAAAGATTCTTTTGCATATTAATCCCTGAAGCAGCTGCATATTTTTTATAACAGTGTCACTGACATCTTCATAGGCTTCTGAGCAAGAAACAGGGAACAGGCACCATGACTCTTGTGCAGATTGTCTTGTTTTAATATGGGTGATGATGTCTGTGGAAGGCCAGTGGGGAAAGGTGCCTTGCTTCTTCTTGGTCTTAGCTCTGTCAGTGCTTCCTGCTCTCGCCTGGTGTGGCCTGCACGGCAGAGCTGGGTGTCGGGGAGGACGTGCCGTGCAGGCCCCCACCACACCCCACGGGGCGGGCCTTGTGTCCTTGCACTTTTACCGTGCACAGAACAGATGCTGTTGGCTTAAAATTCTGAAAATGAGGTTATTATTGCCTGTTTTTTCCACAGTCAGCCAAAACCACCCTGTAAATTACAGGGGAGGACGTGAACAAGAGACCCCTGCCCCAGAGTGCAACAGCTCTGCAGGTTCTGGGCAAGGCTTTATTCCACTCTGAGCTTGAGTTTCCCATTTGGCCAACACGAGTTTCTGCTGCCTCCGTGGAATGTCCATGCCTCTCTAGCCCCACACACGCCTGCGGGGGTGGGGGCAGGGCTTTGGACACTGCCTCCTGCTTTTGAGCCCTGTGAGGATAGGCTCCTCACCTTGCCCTTTTCGGACCTTGGAGCAGCACAGAGCTGCAGCCACTGATGTCAGGCGCCTCTGGGAAGGTGGTGGTGCCTCCCCGGGGCTCTAAAGCACCTGCTGCCCAGTGGGCAGGGTGCTCAGTGAGCACCTGAGGCCAGGGTGGGAGGCACCTGGCAGTAAGCCCTTCCTGGAGCTCAGCAATTGTACCTGCCACACCAGAGCAGAGGGGCTGTGGCAGCAGCATGTTCTAGAAAGGCACTTGTCAGAACAAACTCATGGGTCTCCTCAGAGCCCATGGATGGGTAGTTACTTCCCACTTAGAGGAGAGGGAAAAGAGTCCCAGGGGCCTCACTTACCCCCCCTACATCATGCCAGCCCTGCTCCCTGACCATCACCCTCCTGGTCCTGGGGCCACCCCTGCCCAGCATCCGCTGCCTAAGGATGAAGTGGGAGGCACCTGGGTGCCTAAATCCTGATTTCAAGAAACTGCTCAAAAGCATTTCTGTATGAGGTCTATAAGTTGACTGATTTAGATGGTAAAAACCATGTGGCCTTTATGTTCTTCAAATATGTCAGTTCAGATTATATTTCTTTCCTAATCCTAATAACTATCACCCTTTATTTAGTTTACTTTAATAGTTTGTTTTCGGGACCTTGCCTCCATTGTTCCAATAGAAAGATTAATAAGTCAGAGCATGCTTCTCAAAGTTTTGGACACAATGTATTAGAACAAAAACATAGAGGCTGTGGAGCACCTTCACTTATTCAAGAGGAGACCGTACACCTGGCAGATAGCAGATCTGGACAAATGGCCCAAAGCACAACTTGCTGTTATAGGTTAGAACACCTGTTTTTCTTAGGAAGGAAAAGGTCTCGTTTATTTAGCGCAAAACAGGAAAGAAACAAAGATTATTGGGAGCACTTCGTGTGTTGATACAGTTGTCTGAACCATGGGAGAGCAGCAGCGGTGGCTCCACCGTGTGCTGCCTACCAAGCCGTGGTCCAAGGCTTCGTGTGTCAGCTCGTTAAAACCCCAAATGGCCCTTGGGAAAGCTGTGCCATGCATCACACCTTCACGTCCTGTCCTGTGGGCAGTGATGCCGGGTAGGGAGGTGAGCTGAATGCACAGTAAGAGATGAACCAATACCTGGACCCCTTGCCATTAACCATTTTTCTATCTCCCGCTTGTATTCTTTGAGCCAGATTTTGTGTAAGATCCACTCATGACATCCTCTTCCAGTAGAGAAGCCAGAAATAATTTTCGGCTAACTCATCAGGTTCACATTTACTTGGATCCCTTGGATAGTTCCACATTTTCCTTTTCTTCTGGAATTAACAATTCATTTGGCCGGGCGCGGTGGCTCACGCCTGTAATCCCAGCTCTCAGGGAGGCAAGAGGCGGGAGGATAGCTTGAGCCCAGGACTTCGAGACCTGCCTGGGCAATATAGCGAGACCCGGTTCTCCAGAAAAAGGAAAAAAAAAAAAGAAAGACAAAAAAAATAAGCGTAACAATTCATTCATTGAGCCTCAGTTTCCTGTACCGCCTCTGAAGTCAACCTTCAACTTGACCTTGAATTTTGCCAAGCAGGAGCTGATTCTTCCTCCACTAATAGGCAAATATTTTCAAGAATCATTTGTTAGAGTTTTAAAGAGGAGAATTTAAAAGTATGAAATAAAAATAACTTTACCTTTTTCTCTAAATGTGATATTTCTCTTTCATCATCTAGTTAGATGAATAAAAACAGTGTCTTGAAGGGAAAAGTGAAGGTAAGCACAAAAGTTTAATTAACATTGTGATTTTTAAATGGCATTTCAGAAATCATATGATGAATATTGAGAAAATTCTGGAAGTAAAGAGACTGCCACAAAGAAAATCACCTGCCAGACCGGGCGCAGTGGCTCCCGCCTGTAATCCCAGCACTTTGGGAGGCGAAGGAGGGTGGATCACAAGGTCAGGAGTTCGAGACTAGCCTGGCCAACACAGTGAAACCCCATCTCTACTAAAAATACACACACACACAAAAATTAGCTAGGCATGGTGGCGGGTGCCTGTAATCCCAGCTATTCAGGAGGCTGAGGCAGGAGAATCACTTGAACCCGGGAGGCAGAGGTTGGAGTGAGCTGAGATCGCTCCATTGCACTCCAGCCTGGGTGACAGTGCAAGACTCCATCTCAAAAAAAAAAAAAAGAAAATCATCTGCCAGAGATGCCCACTGCCGACAGTCTGAAATAACAGTTTTAAATTTTATGTCTTTTGGCCAGGAATCAGAGCACTTTGGGAAGCCAAGGTGGGAGGATCATTTTAGCCCAGGGAGGGAGTGAGAAGTTCAAGACCAGCCTGAGCAACATAGCAAGACCCCATCTCTACAAAAAACTAAAACATAGCTGGGCACAGTGACATGTGCCTGTGATTCCAGCTACTCGGAAGGCTGAGGTGGGAGGATCGAGCCTGGAGGTCAAGGCAAAGCTGCAGTGAGCCATGATTGTGGCACTCCACTCCAGCCTGGGCAACAGTGCAAGACCCTGTCTCAACCAAAAAAACAAAACAAAAAAGGCCAGGCGCGGTGGCTCACGCCTGTAGTCCCAGCACTTTGGGAGGCTGAGGTGGGCGGATCACGAGGTCAGGAGTTCAAGACCAGCCTGGCCAACATGGTGAAACCCCGTCTCTACTAAAAATACGAAAATTAGCTGGGTATGGTGGTGTGTGCCTGTAATCCCAGCTACTCAGGAGGCTGAGGCAGGAGAATTGCTTGAACCCAGGAGGTAGAGGCTGCAGTGAGCTGAGATTGAGCCACTGCAATTGCACTCCAGCCTGGGAGACAGAGCGAGACTCAGTCTCAAAAAAGGCTGGGCATGGTGGCTCACACCTGTAATCCCAGCAATTCGGGAGGCTGAGGTGGGCCAATCACTTGAGGCTAGGAATTTGAGACCAACATGGCAAAAACTGTCTCTACTAAAAATACAAAACAATTAGCCAGGCACAGTGGCACATGCCTGTAATCCCCGCTACTTGGGAGGCTAAGGCCTGAGAATCGTTTGAATCCAGGAAGCGGAGGTTGTAGTGAGCTGAGATTGCGCCACTGCACTCCAGCCTGGGCAACAGAGCAAGACTGTCTAAAGAAAAATAAATATATATATTTTGAAGATGATCAAATCTTGTTATTTGCTGGAGTGTGGTGGCCTGATCATGGCTCACTGCAGCCTTGACTTCCCAGGCTCAGGCATTTCTTCCACCTCCACCTCCTGAGTAGCTGGGACTACAGGCAAGCACACCACCACACCTGGCTAAATTTTTGATAATTTTATTAATTTTTTTGTTTTTGTAGAGACAGGGTTTCACTGTGTTGCCAAGGCTGGTCTCAAACTCCTGGGCTCAAGTAATCCACCCACTTCGACCTTCCAAAGTGCTGAGATTACAGGCATGAGCCACCACTCCTGGCCAATTTGCCGCTTTGAGAGTATTTCAGATGTTATTCTTTTCCCAAAGTGCAGTCTATGCAATGAAGCCCATTGGTGAACAGCCAGTGGACAGTTTGTGATCCATCCCAGCAAAAGTGCAGAGCTCAGTAAAACATAACTACTGTTTGTATCTCTCAATTTCAAGTCTTTTAATGTTGGCAATTGAAGTCTTGTCTATGGGTAAAGAAATCAGTCCTTGAGGATATAGTGAGATAGCTGGGCCTCATCTTTGTGTGTGGTCGGTGTGTCCTCCTATGAGTTGTATATGATACGAATTTTATAAAAGGGACTCTCGAAACTCAGAGCAAGACTGATTCTTACTGGCTGTTTCTCAGTAGATGACCTCGGATTTAGAGTTTATTTTTTACAGATACCTAAGATTAATTATTTACCATGTCAAGTAAAGCTAAACATATTCTGTGGCACCTAAAACTTGATATTTAGCATTTTAAAACTTCTCTGCCTTTTTTTTTCTTTTTTTGAGACACAGTCTCACTCTGTTCCCCAGGCTGGAGTGCAGTGGTACGATCTTGGCTCACTGCACCCTCCACCTCCCGGGTTCAAGCGATTCTCCTACCTCAGCCTCCCGAGTAGCTAGAATTACAGGCATGCACAACCACACCCGGCAAATTTTTGTATTTTTAGTAGAGATGGGGTTTCACCATGCTGGCCAGGCTTCTCTCAAACTCCTGACCTCATGTGATTCACCTGCTTGAGCTTCCCAAAGTGCTGGGATTACAGGCGTAAGCCCGGCCAACATCTGCTTTTAACCATGCATTCTGATATGCATTATCAGTGTCAAAAAGATTTTCTAAGACAGAGGAGCACTACGGCCAAGTGTCCTTTTATGATATCCACAGAATTCAAAATTGCAGAGCCTAAAAGGCACTAACTTTATCCTGTCGTATGTCACTGTGGAAAGCACTCTTCAGAGCCATGTTCCCACACTTGTTTTCTCACTGTGGAGTACATCTGTGTTGGTGACTTCAGCTAAACCTGTTCCCCAGGGATAAATGCAACAGCCCATACAAAATCAGGCATGAGGACACAGTCCAACAACTTCGTGTATAAATAAAGTTACACATTCATCGCCAGTTGCTTGTTTTAAAAATAAAAAAAAAAAGTCTCCCCACAGATTTACTGACTTTCATGTAGGATCTGTGTTTGTGTAATTTGAAGTAGGCTTGATTTATAAGGTTTGCTATAGCTAACATTTAAAGAAATGTTTAAATTAGGCACAGTGGTGCATGCCTGTAGTCCTAGCTACACAGAAGGCTAAGGCAAGAGGACTGTTTGAGGCCAGGAGTTCAAGTTCAGATTGGACTTCATAAGATCCCATCCATTAAAAAAAAAAAGAAAGAAAAAGAGTCTGGGCACAGTGGCTCACATCTGTAATCCCAGCACTTTGGGAGGCCAAGGCAAGTGGAGCACCTGAAGTCATGAGTTCGAGACCAGCCTGGCCAACATGGTGAAACCACATCTCTACTAAAAATACAAAAATTAGCTGGGCATGGTGGCGGGCATGTGTAGTCCCAGCTACTCGGGAGGCTGAGGCACGAGAATCGCTTGAACCCAGGAGGCAGAGATTGCAGTGAGCCGAGATCATGCCATTGCACTCCAGCCTGGGCGACAGAGTGAGAGACTCGGTCTCAAAAAAAAAAAAGAAAAATGTTTAACGGTAATTTGTGGTACTTTTTAATGTATCCACTAAGTTGTGAGTTGACCATTTTTTGTTAAATAGAAATTATTTATAATAGGGCCGGAGCGGTGGCTCACACCTGTAATCCCAGCACTCTGGGAGGCCAAGGCGGGCGGATCACTTGAGGTCAGGAGTTTGAGACCAACCTGGCCAACATGGTGAAACCCTGTCTGTACTAAAAATACAAAAATTAGCCGGGCATGGTGGCGTGCATCTCTAGTCCCAGCTACTCAGGAGGCTGAGGCACAAGAATGGCATGAACCCAGGAAGCAGAGGTTGAAGTGAGCCGAGATCGTGCTACTGCACTCCAACCTGGGCGACAGAGACTTTGTCTCAAAAAATGTATTTGTGGCTGGGCGCGGTGGCTCATGCCTGTAATCCCAGCACTTTGGGAGGCCAAGGCGGGCAGATCACAAGGTCAGGAGATCGAGACCATCCTGGCTAACATGGTGAAACCCCGTCTCTACTAAAAATACAAAAAATTAGCCAGGCATGGTGGTGGGAGCCTGTAGTCCCAGCTACTCGGGAGGCTGAGGCAGGAGAATGGCATGAACCTGGGAGGCGGAGCTTGCAGTGAGCCGAGATCGTGTCACTGCACTCCAGCCTGGGTGAAAGAGCGAGACTCTGTCTCAAAAAAAAAAAAAGTATTTATAATATTATCAAATGATGACTTTTAACCTCCGTAGGACCAAAAATGTTTATTCCAAATGAGCAGTGTATCCTAAAGTGGAGTGTCCTTCCTTTATGAGGGGTTGTTTACTGGGAGTGGCACTTACTGGTTTTTTTTTTTTTTTTTTTTTTTTTTTTTTTTGAGATGGGGCCTTCCTCTGTTGCCCAGGCTGGAGTGCAGTGGTGCAATCGTGGCTCACTGCAACCTCCACCTCCCGGGTTCAAGCAATTCTCCTGCCTCAGCCTCCTGAGTAGGTGGTATTACGGGCACATGCCACCACACCTGGCTAATTTTTGTATTTTTTTAGTAGAGACAGGGTTTCACCATCTTGGCCAAGCTGGTCTCGAACTCCTGACCTCGTGATCCACCCACCTCGGCCTCCCAAAGTGTTGGGATTATAGCCATGAGTCACCGCACCCGGCCAGGAGTGGCCCTTTCTAATTTACAGCCCTATTACCCCACCCTAGCCATGGCCTGTTTGCAACCCCAGCAGCGTCATAGCAGCACACATTATGATGGGCCTCGTGAGTATGCCGTTTCCTCAAGTTTTACCTCCTGCAACTTAAAGGCAGATTTTGCAGCAACTTTTTGGTAAACTGTCAACTAGTGGCTTGCTGTTGGACTGTACTTCTCTGAGTGAGGTGCTGTGAGGACCCCTGGAAGGACACAAGGGCAGAATAGTGAAGGCCGACGCTGACTTCCAGAAGCAATGAGTGGGAGACATCTTCCTGCCACACCCTGAGCAACACAGTTGTGAAGAGTAAATAGACACTAGTAGCTTCTAGACTTTTTCCGAATTCTCATCACATAAAATATCTCCTTGTGAAATTCTGGCTTATTGAGGACAAAGAAGATTCTGGAACACAAACCCCAAACAGCGCATCTTCGGAAACATGCCTGTTTTCAACATAAGAAGTAATCCACGCTTCAGGGGCTAGCACAAAGCCACAGTTCCACTTTGAGTCCTTCAGAAGTGACAAAGACCAAATGTGGCCCAGTATGTGAGGCAAGGCGGAAGTAGGAATTTCATGCTGTTTTAAGGTTGCTTAGTGTACTTTAACTGAAGGTGTAATAAAAGCAAATTCTAATAAATTTGTTGTTAATAATTTCCTATAGTGATGTTACCTAGGTTTTCTATAGCAATGAATGTTTCCTTGTGTTTTCAATGTATCTTGTGAAAAATTCCAGAGGAAAGCTCTGCTATCATGAGCACTGATATTTCATCTTAAGAATCCTAATAACTAGAATTCCTAGCAGCAGGCAAGATCTTTCCAGGGCTCCTGATTTGTCAATGTGAAAATAAGGACTCCCTCCCCTCCATCTCCCATGTCCCACTGGAGGGTTAACCTGTTGAGTTGCTTATGCCAACCCAGCAAACAGGGAATCATGATGTCAGCTGCTCTCAAGAAGCTGCTCTATACTAATCTGCCTGTACACTTACATGTTTTAGGTTAAGTGAACCAAGTTTGGGTTCTATAAACTGGTCACTATAAGCAACTGCATCTGAAGGTGCCAACAGTAGTGTGAGAGAATCTTGCTTTAAAACCAGTTGTGGGTGGAGTAAGGAGTCACCATGGTGTGGCATTTATGCGACCAGGGGTTCAAATTGAGTTACTTCTGTTGCAACATTTGGTAAGCTGACTCAGCAATCATCGTTAGAAATCATGATAGTTTCAGTGTTCAAACACTGTACACTTGGAAACATAAATTTACATCTTTGATAGTTTTGTTTGTTTTGAGATGGAGTCTCACTCTTGTTGCCCAGGCTGGAGGGCAATGGTACAACCTCAGCTCACTGCAACCTCTGCCTCCTAGGTTCAAGCGATTCTCCTGCCTCAGCCTCCCAAGTATCTGGGATTACAGGCACCCGCCGCCATGCCCGGCTAATTTTTTGTATTTTTAGTAGGGATGGAGTTTCACCATGTTGGCCAGGCTGGTCTCTAACTCCTGACGTCAGGTGGTCCACCCCCCTCAGCCTCCCAAAGTGCTGGGATTACAGGTATGAGCCACCATGCCTGGCCTTTGGTGATTTTTAAACAGCAGTTAAATTCCTTCTCTAAAACTCTAAAGTTTTCTTTTTTTTTTTTTTTTTTTTTTGAGATGGAGTCTTGCTCTGTCATCCAGGCTGGAGTGCAGTGGTGCGATCTCGGCTCACTGCAAGCTCTGCCTCCTGGGTTCATGCCATTCTCCTGCCTCAGCCTCCCGAGTAGCTGGGACTACAAGCACCTGCCACCATGCCCGGCTAATTTTTTGTATTTTTAGTAGAGATGGGGTTTCACCGTGTTAGCGAGGTAAAGTTATCTTTAAAATTTGGCACTTAATAGTTACTGGTTTCCCATAGAAAAACATTAGAAATTAACCTTTGAGAATTTTTTTAAATAGAAAAGGATTTTTTTATTATAAAATACACAATGAAATATATTTCATCATCTTTAGAATTGGGCTGCAAATTTGGCACCTATTTATTCGAAAACAAACATGGTTTTAAGAAGGGGAAAATTATTACTGTGTTTTAGAAAACCAAAATAAAATCCCCATTAATGAAAAACTCAAGGAACTGGAAAACAGTATCATGAATTGAGCAGTTTTATATGATCCGTTTTTTAATGAATAATAAGTTTGGCCTTAAAATAGACATTGTCTTTTCAGATGTTAGCCCTGGTTTGACATCTTAAGTCTCTAACCTCTAGCAATGCACATAGAAAGTGTTCCCCCGTCCTGGTGGTGCCTTTTGCTTTACACACTTTGTGGTGCTTAGTTTTATCATAGTTACATATTCTGCAGAGCCCAAAAGAAGCCCCTAGAAACACAAGGTTGGTATCCAGGCCCCCCTAGAGTCCGGGGAGGATCCACACTGTCTGTGGATTGCTCTCTGAAATTGGGTAGATGAACCATCAACCCTCATTTTCATTTTATGTCATGTTTAGAATTGTGTGTGATAGAGGCTGTACATACACATTTTACAGGAAGCGCCTGGCACTGTGTGAGGCTGGCGGTTGAATGGTCAGGAGAGTAGTAGCGGCTCTAAGCCAGCCTCACAGCCCTTTCTCATTTCTCGCTCCATCCCCCTCCCCGTTCATTTCCAGGCCTTTCCACGAAGAGTCCTCAGCCTTCTCCCTCCAGCCGGAAGAGCCCCCTGAGTCTGAGCCCTGCATTTCAGGTGCCTTTGGGCCCAGCTGAACAGGGCTCATCCCCACTCCTGAGCCCTGTCCTCAGTGATGCTGGCGGAGCCGGGATGGACTGCGAGGAGCCCAGACACAAGGTGGGCCCCTCGAGGCTGAGAAGCTAGCAGAGGGTTGCAGGGTGGGCCTGTTTTCACTGTTCCTTCGGGTGGTGCTGGTGGGGACCCTGGGGCGGGGCAGGGAAGGGCTCTGCACTCACAGCCGCCTTACCAGCCTCCTGAGCAGAGAGGAGGTACTGGGCCGCCTTCCCTAGCAAAACCTTCCTGAGACTTTCCTCTTATCTCTGGGACTCCAGGTTCCTTCGTACAAAAACGAGTTTCCTTATTCATTTAGCAAACGGTCCCTGGAACCCACAGGCTCCATGTGTCAGGCTGGATCTTCCAGCCTCCCCCACTCTTCCTTCCTTCCTTCCCACCTTCCTCATTTCTCCCTCCCGTCCTCCCTCCTTTGCTCCTTTCTTCTCTCCCTGCTTGGTCAAGCTTCTACTTTGACAATTGAGTAACTGGGAGGAAAGATCTGGGTGCTAAGGGAGGGTGCACTAGGGACTGCTTTGGGTTCCGGAGAGGCTCTTGGGCAGGAGGCCCAGTGTAGAAAGATCTGGGTGCTAAGGGAGGGTACACTAGGGACCGCTTTGGGTTCCGGAGAGGCTCTTGGGCGGGAGACCCAGTGTAGAAAGATCTGGGTGCTAAGGGAGGGTGCACTAGGGACCGCTTTGGGTTCCGGAGAGGCTCTTGGGCGGGAGACCCAGTGTAGAAAGATCTGGGTGCTAAGGGAGGGTACACTAGGGACCGCTTTGGGTTCCGGAGAGGCTCTTGGGCGGGAGACCCAGTGTAGAAAGATCTGGGTGCTAAGGGAGGGTGCACTAAGGACCGCTTTGGGTTCTGGAGAGGCTCTTGGGCGGGAGACCCAGTGTAGAAACATCTGGGTGCTAAGGGAGGGTGCACTAGGGACCGCTTTGGGTTCTGGAGAGGCTCTTGGGCGGGAGACCCCGTGTCGATGTTGGAGACAGTGGAGGAGCCACCTGGGGCGAGGGGGCGGTTCTCTGCTGTTGTGGCACGGGGAGGGGGGCACATGGGCCACAGACAGGGGTGAGGCTTTATGACAAAGTTGAGGCAGTGTCCCCTATGGGTCTCTTTTTATCAGAGATGATAGGAATAAGGGCACAAACTGAGAGTCTGCAGGGAGAAAGTGACCGAGCAGAGAAGCTCACTGCTGGCAGGCACAGGGCAACCAGGGGCAGGGATGCTGTGGCCTCAGGGTGGCCTCCACTCTCCTAGCCCAGGGGAGTCTGCCTACAGCTACGGTTTTGCAGATGGACCCTAAAAGAAAAGACTCAGGGTCCAGGGAGTTTGTAGACTATATTGGGCCTGGAGTCCACAGAGAAGGGAGACATGGGGTCCCTGAGTGGCAGCTGGATGGGAAGAGGCCATGGGGCCTCTAGGAGGGAGGGAGTCAGTGCTGGTACAGGGGGAGGTATGTCATTGTGACACCTCAGCACTCCTGCTTTGGCCCGAATTGGCCAGAGGATATTCTGTCCAAGGCCTGCCTTCCAGATGCCAGGGCTACCCGTGGGATGCTGGGACTCTCAGCAGGTAGGATGGCACAGGCAGGGCAGTCTCCTCCTTCCTGGTGCCCTGAGGGTCCCCCTGGATCCCACTGGAGTGGAAGGAGCCCCCTGGTCTGGAGGCAGCAAAGGATATTAAACGTACTGCTGCACGAGGCCTGCAAGTGAGGGCTAGTTCTGGGCCCTGGCAGCAAGACTGTTTCCAAAAAAGATGTCTTTTTATTTTATTTTGGAAACCTAATGACAATCTCTTTAGTTCACTGTTTCTTTGGTACAAAAAAAAAAATGGCTACCAAGCAGTCTGTTATTAAGACTAAATTTTAATTTGTAACTTTTTATATTACAAAAATCAGTTGATTCTTTAGATGGTTCTATAGGATGACAGCTTGTCACATCTGAGGATAATTGGGCTGGTGGCAAGTGGCCCTGGGAGAAGCCTGTGAGTCATGACGTGGCATGGGGCCAGCAGCATGGCAAGGCCCTCTGGGATGGGGGCACCTCAGGGTCCTCACCGAGCCATGCCCTTGAGGAGTTGGTGGCTGGGTCACTGCAGAGAAAGATTCGGCAGCCCTTGGGCCCAGCCCCTGCGTGTGGGCACCCTCAGCCCTGACGTGGTGTCTCCTGTTGCCTCTCCTCAACACCTGGGCTCTGGAGGGAGGGCTCTGGGCTCTGCTTCAATTCTGTGTGTGTGAGTTGAGATAGCAAGGCTGTTGCCCAGCACAGGTGGGCTCCGAGATGGCAAGGATGGCCCTTTCATCACCATGCAGGGGCTGCTGGTTTGACCCAGAGGTAGGTTCCCACCAGAGTACCCCTCTGTGCTGACCTCATGAACCAGTGTGCCCAGCCAGGCTGCAACAGGTTCTGGGGAGACCCCGGCCCCACATTCACTGACGGTTCTGCTGGCAAGGCCTGGCAGACCACTCTCCTGGGGAGCCAGGGTGACAGGGGTCTGAGAAGCACGTGCTGCCACTGAGGCCACCCGTCAAGCTTTTGCACTTGCACCCAGTTGCTGGGCTGTGCGGGGAGGGGCAAAGAGCTGCCCACCCTCCAGCCCACCCTCGCCAGCTGGTGCCCTCCTCCCCAGTGTCTCCCACTTGATGCACTGTTTGTCCCCTTTTTAATAGAGATTTGTGAGGATCGGCCACAGTCGAAAGGTAGGAAAGCCAAAGGTGGCAGAAGCCTCTTCCACGCTCTGCATGGGCACATAGACCCTTCATGTGGGGACAGGTGGCGAAGCTCACAGGAATTGCATGCTCCTCTGGGCCTATCCCTGGCCGCCGTCTCATCCCTGGCCTGCAGCCCAGCTTGCTGGGGGTCAGGTTTGACATTGATCTAGAGGTGGGGGCAGCGTGGCAGCTGCTGTATTTTCTGTCCCTGAGAGTCTTCTCACGGTATTCCTTGGGCTGATTGGGCGGGGCGGGGCGGGGGCAGGGGCGGGACGGAAGACCCTTCTCTTGGCCAGTCTGCTCCCCTGACTCCCCTGTGACCCACTGGTGGCACCTGTGATGAGAAGTCTCATCAGCGACTGCTGTGGCTCTCTGATGGCGTATGTGTCTCTATGTGCCTCGCCCCTGGAGGAGTGGAGCTGCTCCGGGACTCGAGCATCCTGTTTCTTTCTATAGAACAACATTCAGAGTTAGGACATTGCCTTTGGACTCCATGCCACGGTGACTGTGGCTAGGAAGTTGTCCTCCCTCTACCAGACTCTCCCCCAGGGCCCAAGGCCAACAGTTTGTGGGGCATTAACATGTAACATCCCTGTCCCTCAGCTGTGTGGGGAAGGCTGGGGCCTCCCAGACCATAAACATGGGCCTCTGGGGACGGGACCAGCTCTGCCCCCAGAGAATTCACTGGGCATATCAAGCTCAGGTGGAGAAATGACTTCTTTTTTTAGAGATGGGGTCCGTCTCTGTTGCCCAGGCTGGAGTGCAGTGGTGCAGCCACAGCTCACTGCAGCCTTGTACTTCTGTGCCCAAGTGATCCTCCCAACTCAGGCTCCCAGGAGCTGGGATTACAGGTGTGACCACCTGCTTGGCTAACCTTTTTTTTTTTTAAGAGACAGGGTCTCACTATGTTGCCCAGGCTGGTCTCAAACTCCTGGCCTCGAGTGATCCTCCCATATCAGCCTCCCAAAGTGCTGGAATTAGAGTCATGAGCCACCACATCCAGCCAAGAAAAGACTTTGTAAAGAGATTTTACTGAATTTGGATTTGAAAGATGGGCTCAACCTTTCATTTGAAAGATAAAAAAGTCATTTTTAATATCATGAAGCTCAAAAAGAAAAAATAGAAAAAGCCTAAAGGCTGGAAAGGTGGTTCAGCTTCTCTGTGGGGAGGAGGCCAGTGCACCAAGAGGTGGGGGCTGAGCTGGTGGCAGAGCCACATGGTGGCAGGGCTGTGGGAGCCAGGCAGGCTGCCAGCCATGGGGAAGAGCTGAGAGAACAGCAGTGGACGTGTGCAGGACTCTGGCGGGGGAGGCACAGCACCTGGGCACTGGAGGGCTCTAGGCAGCAGCATCTCAGTAGACTGTAGGGTGCTATCCCTTCACAGCTGGCTATATCCATGGGCTCAGGACTCACAGGATAAATGTGCCTCTGTTGTCCTCTCATCCACGAGGGTAGACAACCCTGCAGGCTCTGCTAAACTTCACAGCAGTACAAGGAAGAAGACATGGCTCCACATGCCACCTCAGCTACTTGCTCACTTGCAAACCCAGCTCCTGATACTCCTCCCAAACCTCCAGTCATGGCAGCTGGTCTTTCCCTTGGCTTAGGCCAAAAACTGCGGCAGTCACCCCTCCTGCCTCCAACCCTCACACCTTACCTCCACACCGGACCTTCAGAATGTGTCCAGGATCTCACCCCTCACCCCTCCGCGCCCCCCAAGCCAGTGCTGTCTCGCCGGGTGGTGCTGAGGTCCACCGGCAGCCTCTCTGCCCTCCTGGTCTGCTCTCATCCTGGGGCCCAAGTGTGTCACAGCACATTCAGGTAGACCCCAAAGGGTCCAGAAGGCCCACGTGGCCTGCTTCCCCACCAATAGCCTGTCTATTCCCTCTGACCTCCCCACATTGCTCCAGCCCCTTGACCTCTGACCTGTCCCACAGGCTGCCCGGTCTGCTCTGAGTGAGGCTGCGGCCTACTGTGTCCCCCAGCCTCCAGCCCCTCCTCTGCTCTGCGTTATGTCTTGTACAGCCCTCTGTGCTTCTTGCCTGTCTTCTCCTGGTAGGACACCCTCACAGGGGCAGGGGGCAGTGTCCAGGCGCCTATTCGGAGCTGACACCTGCTCCATGGATATTTGCACGGCCCACCTACCCTGAAGCTGGCCACAGTCTGGAGGTGGGGCAGGCGAGCTGCCAGGGCAGAGCAGGATCATGGTTTCTGGGCAGGGAGAGGACGGAGAAGAGGCTGTTAAGTTTTACCTCAACAGAGGGTGGCTCTTGGAGGGTTCAGGGTGGGGAGAGGCCCTGCAGGGACAGGACCCAGTGCCTGCCAAGGCCATCATGAGGCATGTGCTTTGCCAGGAACACTGTGTTGGGTGAGGTGTAGAGGGTCCCCTATGGCCAGCTTGCCTGCTTGGCACCAGCACCTTGGGCAGAGATAGCCCTGCCAGCTATAGGATCGCTCAGGGCTGGGCTGTCTCTAGCAGGGCACGGAAAACTGGGCCCGGGGTATGTTCCACGTCTGCATCAGGAAGTGCACCAGCAAGTCTGGCGCTCTGATGCAGGCACACTTAGAATGCGCACTGTTTGCTCATTTTAATGACTTTTGTATGGGTTAGGTTTAATAATTTATAAGCACACACACACTCATGGACCTGTGTCTGCTAACCAGCTATGCCACTGGCAGTGATATATAAAAAATGATTTTATCACAAAACCAATAATAAACTTCAACCCTGTTTACATATGGTGATATTTGAACAGCAATTCTTTTTTCCAAAAGAATAACAGGATTATGTTTTTACTCAGGGATAAATCTCTTCAGAAGTTGAAGGTGAAAACCCCATGACGATGTTACCTTGAGCAGAAGAAAGCAAACATTACCAACTTCAGGCTCCCTGAGCGTGGGAGGGTCCCATGTCCCAGGGACGCACACTTACAGCTCTCTGCTTCTTTCAGCGCGTGCCTGCAGACGAGGCCTACTTCATAGTCAAAGAGATTCTCGCTACAGAACGAACATACCTCAAGGATTTAGAAGTTATTACCGTGGTACGAAAGTCCTTGATTACTTTGATTTTTTTTTAAAATAAATCTCTCATCTGAACACAGAGAAATATCTCTTTTTTTTCTTTTTTTCTTTTTTTGAGATGGAGCCTCACTCTGTCACCCAGGCTGGAGTGCGGTGGCATGATCTCAGCTCACTGCAACCTCCGCCTTCTGGGTTCAAGTGATTCTTCTGCCTCAGCCTCCCTAGTAGCTAGGATTACAGGCGCCCACCACCACACCCAGCTAATTTTTGTATTTTTAGTAGAGGTGGGGTTTCACCATGTTGGCCAGGCTGGTCCCAAACTCCTGACCTCAAGTGACCTGCCCACCTTGGTCAGCCTCCCAAAGTGCTGGGATTACAGGTATGAGCCACCGCCCAGCCAAGAAATATCTCTTGATAATCATGAGACTTGCTTGTATATATTTTGTTAAATATATCTGTTTTAAAACTATTCTAAGTCAGGTCAGAACATTGGGTCCAAGTTTTTGTGAAGCTATAAAGCTGCAAAGTGTCCATTTGAAACTTTTGATGTAGGATAGTTTCATTATATTTGAAAACTGGATGGTCAACAAAGAGGATGGCTGTAGTGCTGATCTGAACCCTCTTTGTAGGCGGTGACTGGAGGGTCATCACTGGGTGACCTATGGCTACAGGCCCTCAGGGGCACAGTTTCTCAGTCCCCAACAAGAGCCACACCTCCCATCACACCACACTCTTCCCACAGTGGTTCCGCAGCGCAGTGGTGAAGGAGGACGCCATGCCTGCGACTCTGATGACGCTGCTCTTCTCCAACATCGATCCCATCTATGAGTTCCACAGAGGCTTCCTGCGCGAGGTGGAGCAGAGGCTGGCACTCTGGTAACACCCCTTCAGCCCCCACACGGGAGACTCCCACACCAACTCATCATCACCGCTCTTAGGAACTTCCCAGCTTCAGAAACTAATTCAGAAGAGCCATTTTTTCACTGGAGCATATTTTTAGGAGCCTGTGGGGAGAGGTACAGATGTAATAATACCCTTTATTCACCCTCTTCCAGAAAAGAGAGTGCAAGGAGCAAGTTAAAAATGGAAGATCCCTTTTTGCCTGGTTACTATCTGTTTTAGAGAATGGCCAGACACATAATAGCAGCTTCCATCCAGGGCAGGCCCTGCCCTGCGGCCTCTTCCACCTCAGAGCTTCACCACCTTCCTCCAGCTGGAACCAAGGCAGCTGTCACCCTGCGTCAGATTACAGTGCCTTCTGCAAGCTTTCACCATGTTTAGGATGACTTTGTTTCTTTTTACTCAGGGAAGGGCCCTCCAAAGCCCACACAAAAGGCAGTCATCAACGAATCGGGGACATCCTGCTCAGGAACATGCGCCAGTTAAAGGTAGGCTGCATGGTGACTACTGCCTACATGAATGCTGTTTATGGGAGCAAAACCATCTTCCCGAAGCTGAGGCCCGTCAGAACAGCGTCCCCTCAGAAAAGGGTCCCCTCAGAACAGGATCCCCCTCAGAGTAGGGTCTCCTTAGAACAGGGCCCCCTCAGAGCAGGATCCCTCCAGACCAGGGTCCCCCTCAGAACAGTCTCCTCAGAGCAGGGTCCCCTCAGAATAGGATCCCCCCCAGACCAGGGTCCCCCTCAGAGCAGGGTCTCCTCAAAACAAGGTTTCCTGAGAACAGGGTTCCCCTCAGAGTGGGGTTTCCTCAAAACAGGGTCCCCTCAGAGCAGGGTCCCCCCAGAGCAGGGTCCCCTAAGAGCGGGGTCTCCTCAGAACAGGGACCCCCTCAGAGCAGGGTCCCCTTAGTGCAGGGTACCCTCAGAACAGCATCCCCTCAGAGCAGGGGACCCCTCAAAACAGGGGCCCCCTCAGAAAAGGATTTTCTCAGAACAGAGTCCATCTCAGAACAGGTTCCTACTCAAAGCAGGGTTTCCCCAGAGCAGAGTCCCCCCTAAAGCAGGGTCCCTCCAGAGCAGGGTCCACCCAAAACAGGGTCCTCTCAGAACAGGGTCTTCTCAGAATAGCATCCCCCTCAGGCTCTCAGAACAGGATTCCCTCAGAATAAAGTTCCCTCAAAACAGAGTCCTTCTCAGAGCAGCAGCCCCCTCAGAACAGGGTCTCCCTTGAAGCATCATTCCCATTAGAACAAGGTTCCCCAGAACAGCATCACCCTCAGAACAGGGTCTCCTCAGAACTCTATCTTCCTCAAACAGGATCCTACTCTGGATGGGGTCTCCCTCAGAATCTTGTTTCCCTCAGAAAAGAGTCTGGCTCAGGGCAATGTCCAGGGCCCCATCAGGACACTGTTTCCCTCAGAACAAGTTCCCTCCTCACCGCATCCCTCAATAAGGGCTCTCCAAGAATAGGATGCCCCTGAAAACAGCATACCCCTCACAACAGGGTCCCCCAGAACATGGTCTCCCTCCAATCAGAACTACCCCCAGAACAGACTCCACCTTAAAACATTGTTTGCCTTAGATCAGGGCCCTTACCAGCCCCAGAACATTGTTCTCTTCAGAACCTTTTTCTCCACTGATAATAGCATTCCCTTGAGGACAGTGTCCCCATTTCCATCAGGACAGGACTCCCCCAGAACAGTGTTCACCTCAGAGCAGGATTCTCCCCCAGAACATTGTCCTCCTCAATGGGTCTGCCCAGAACAGCATCCTCTTCAGAACAGGGCCTCCCTCAGATCAGGGTTCCCCACAGAACAGAGTCTTCCTCAGAACATCATTCTCAGGACAGAGTCCCCCCTCCCCAGGGCAGGACCTGTTCAGGGCAGAGTCCCCATAGCTGCTGTGGGGAGGGCAGGGCCCTGGGACTTGTTTCCACCTTGGCTGCTAGGCTCATAGGTTTTTCTTTCAGGTGTTCCAGCTCCACGAAGGGCATGTAGCAGGGGTCACAAAAATGGAGTAGACTTTTGGATAGGCAGGGGCAGCACTGGGGGAAGTGAGATTTCTCTTCAATAGGAGCAACGGTACAGGTGTTCACATGTGGACAACAGTGCAGGTCGTGCATTGACTGTTCAGGGGTCTCACTCTTGCTTAACGTGCCTGGAACAGTTCTCCCTCCCTCTCAGGCTGCTCATGAGTTCACCACGTGACCGCCCAAGGTGTGGAGCTCTGCATAACACCATGAAGCTGAGCCACAGTGACGACGACGACTCAAGCTCCCCCTCCTCCATCCCTCGCCTGTCCCACCTTCTACCCAATCCTGCGAGACTCTGGCCACTCCTCACACCTAGAGTTCCCAAGGGACTATAGGTTTTGCTGTTCTGTGTTGAGATAGCCCCACTTGAAGAACTGCATTCAGCCTAGGTGCCCTTTTCCTGCCTCGACGGAAGCTGAGTCAGGTTGTTAATGAGAAAGTTCTACTTATCCCAAAGGCAGTTGCACTAATTTAAAATTGAAATATACACAAATCTGTTTGATCCAGATTATCATACTGTAGTCATCTTTAATGTTCATTAAAACAAAGGGATTTGATATTAAAACCCTTTAGCTCTGGGGAGGCAGCCAAGAGCTCTGTCCACAAAACCAAATCTGGGTGTCAGAGGCCAAGACCCCAGGTTGGGATCAGGGACCACCCCCTCACGGGGCATAAGGTCAGTTTTCCCCCAGAGCCCGGGCCCCTGTCCCCCTACAGTGCAAGTGTGGTCCCTGGAGCCCCGGTGTGGAGTGGTGAGTCCCGGAGTAGTGCTTGTCTTGGAAAGAGGGGCCCTTGGCCAGCCACCCCTCAGCGACACTATACAACTCCTGGAGCGCCTGCCAGGATTGAAGCCATGACCAGGTGCAGGTGGGTGCCAGGCCCGCTGTGGGTGGGCACTGGTCCTCAGCACCACTCACCACTGCCAGGCAGGCCGGGGACCAGCAGACTCCTCAGCCAACCCTGTCCCTTGGCCCGGCCCTGCCACAGAGAGGGACCCCAGCCCATCATGGGCATCGGCAGGGCTTGGCCACTTCCACCTCCCGCTAGAAGCCTAGCGAGTGTGGATGCATAGACATCTGAGCCCAGCTTCCTGCATCCCCACCTGGCCCTCACCACCCCTCACCCCCAGGCAGCGGGCCAGCCCCGCCTTCACTCCCCTTCCAACCACCCCCCCCCCCACCACCACCACCCGTACCCTCCTAGGGGCTTCCAGAGCTTTTACACCTGGAGAAACATTCCCCACTCCCCTTTGGCCTCCCTGTACCCTGAACTGTGAATATTTTTAACCCCTAAATATGTAAATACGGCCAGCTCTTGTGACACAGAAGCTGTTTTATCAACTGTCAGTCCCCATTCCTTTATGATAGGATTCTCCACAGTGGTTTCCGACTCAGGCTCCAGTGGACCAAATAAAAGTGTTTTGTTAAAAAAAAAAAAAATGTAACCCTTTAGCTGAGCGCAGTGGCTCATGCCTGTAATCCCAGCACTTTGGGAGGCTGAGGCAGGTGGATCGCTTGAGTCCAGGAGTTTGAAACCAGCCTGGCCAACATAGCAAAACCCCATCTCTACAAAAAATACAAAAATTAGCTGGGTGTGGTGGTGTGCGCCTGTGATCCCAGGTACTCAGGGGGCTGAAGCAGGAGAATTACCTGAGACCAGGGAGGTTGAGGCTGCAGTGAGCTATGATCGCACCACTGCACTCCAGCCTAGGTGACAGAGTGAGACCTTGTATCCAAACAAACAAAAAAACTTTAAGTTAGAGAATAGTTTAGTTTAATATGTCTGTGTAATACTCAGAATCCACATACATGTATACATGTGTTGTAAAATCATCAGATATGGGCCAGGCATAGTGGTTCAAACCTGTAATCCCAGCACTTTGGGAGGCTGAGATGGGTGGATTGCTTAAGCTCAGGAGTTCGAGACCAGCCTGGGCAACATGGTGAGACCCCCATCTCTATAAAAAATATTTAAAAAATGAGCCGGGCGTGGTGGCACATGCCTGTTCTTGCGGGGGGCTAAGGTGGGAGGATCACTTGAACCCGGGAGGCAGAGGTTGCAGTGAGCTAAGATCCCACCACTGTACGCCAGCCTGGGCGACAGAGCTAGATCCAGTCTCAAAAAAAAAAAAAAAAAGTCAGGTGTGGTTATTCCCTCTGTCCAGTAACTGTGCCAGCACAACCGCTTAGTTCCACTCTTGAGAGAAGTTTCTGGAGCGAGCCCTAAGACTGGGCAGGACTCGGGTGGGCTTTGTTTAACCCCTGCCCTGCACTCCCTTACTGTGTCCCACGCAGCCAGCTGCAGCCTTCCCATCCTCAATTCTTCATCTGTCCAGTGGGGAGGTGGCCCTGGTCCACTCAGTGCATGTGATATGGGGCCGGTTAGTGGTGCATGTAGCAGTGAATTGGTGGAATGAGGTGCAGGTCACATGGCATCTGAGACGGGTTGAGATGCATTCCGTGGAGGCTAGAAAGCCCCCGCTGGCGCACGCTGGGCCACTGGTCCATTTGCCCTGTGGGGATTTCCAGCCGGCACCTGCCATCAAGGAAAACAGGCCAGTCTCCCCCTGGACTCCTACATCTCCTCACCTAAAGGCCCCACTCTTGCGCCTCCACAGGAGTTTACCAGCTACTTCCAAAGACATGACGAGGTCCTAACAGAACTGGAAAAGGCTACCAAACGCTGTAAGAAGTTGGAGGCAGTGTACAAGGAGTTTGAGCTGCAGAAGGTCTGCTACTTGCCTCTCAACACGTTCCTGCTGAAGCCCATCCAGCGGCTGCTGCACTACCGCCTGCTGCTGCGCCGCCTATGCGGACATTACAGCCCCGGGCACCATGACTACGCTGACTGCCATGGTGAGTGTGGGTGCGGCCCTGCATCTCAAGGATCAGCGTGCGTGGCTGGGAGGCAGGGGCGGCTTTGCCAGACCTGAAGACTTCCTTCACTGGGAAGCGCAGGAGTCCACCCCATTAGGGCCTGGACCACAGTGGTCAGCATTGGCCCTGGCCTTCCTTCCCGTCTCCTCTGGCTGCTGGCAGAGGGCAGGTCCCAGGCTACACCAGGTCTCTGTCTATTCTGCTCCTCCACCCTCAGGCAAGGCCCTGCCCATCTCCACGTCTGAGCAGTGTAGGGGATGACTCTGATTGCCCTGCAGGAGTCACAGGGCATGCTCCTGCTGGGGACCCCACAGCCCCCACAAGTGCACTGGGGAATGGGGTGCAACCCCCAGAGCAACCTGCTGCCTATGGATGTTTCTGTCCTGGAGGCCTTGGCTCTAAAACGTACAAAAGATTGGGCCAAGGTGACCTGTTAGAAGTTTTTAACATAGGCAGCCTTTGTAATTTTTGATGTTTATTAAAGGGATAAAAGAGTAAACTCTGACCTTTTTAACCTAAAAATAGGATTTCTAATTTTATTGTAAATTTAGTCCCCTTTTCTGAGATGACTCAGGCATGAGGGGAACATTGCTCTAATGGGGACCTATTCTAATGGGGATGTGTTCTGATGGGAACTTTATGCTTATCAGGAGGTTTTTTGTTTTTGTTTTTGTTTATGTTTATGGTTTTGTGGTTTTTTTTTTTGAGACGGAGTTTCATTCTTGTCGCCCAGGCTGGAGTTCAGTGGTGTGATCTTGGCTTACTGCAATCTCCACTTCCCGGGTTCAAGTGATTCTCCTGCCTCAGCCTCCCAAGTAGCCGGTATTACAGGCGCCCGCCACCACACCCAGCTAATTTTTGTATTTTTAGTAGAGATAGGGTTTCACCGTGTTGGCCAGGCTAGTCTCGAACTCCTGACCTCGTGATCCGCCTGCCTCAACCTCCCAAAGTGCTGGGATTACAGGTGTGAGCCACCACATGAGGAGGTTTTTACAAGTAAATTTTATCATTGTCATTAAAAATAGATGAAAAAATACTTAGCATTTCCTCTAGCTGGTTTCCCATAGCCATGAATAGATATAAATAAGGATGCTTTCTGATTAGCAAGAAATAGAATGGATCATACAATGTTGACGATTCTCTTTCTTTTCATTCTAAAAGAAAATGTTTCATGTTTGTTAAAAAGGAGAAGGACAAAATTATAGAAAACATTTTCAAACATTTTAAGGAAAACATGACATAACCACACCATGTTTAAAATGTTTCTCATTGTCAGTCATTATACCACAGTAGTTAGGTAGGCAGAGTGCTGGAGCAGAGGTTGGCCTGGGCCCGGGCCACCAGGGAAGCCATGCCATGGAGAAGACTGGGGCCCAGGTTCTGGCCACATCTACCATGTGCTTGAGGTACATAGGACTTTGGAGGGATTCCTGTACCTCACAACATGACAGGTTTTTCATCAGTAAAATGTATAGACTGGTGCAAAACCTCTGTGAAGCTGTTTGTGAAAGTGCTTTGAAGTTGTCAACTCAACAGAACACTGATAACCATCAGCCTCCCTAGGTTTGCTTCAGACCTCAGCCATCTCTGAAGCGCAGTGAGAGCCCAGTCGATGAAACATTCTCAGCTGACACTATGGCAGGCTCCTTTCCCTCCATGACCCCACTCTCCAAATGTGGGACACAGGAATGCTTGTCAAGAAGGGCCTTCTTGGAAAATGGCCTTTGGTGTGCAAATGTTACCAGCCTCTTGGTCTTCCTGAGAACTTGAATAGAATTCTCTTGGACAAAAGGGAGTACATTTGTTGGGGCTGGCAGAAGCCAGCCTTGCAATTTTATTTATCCTTCATTTTGATGAGAGTTTCCAAGGGTGCTGGATGTTAAGTGTATGTTGTTGATCCATTCTATCATGCACCTGCTCTGCCTACTGCTGTGGGGGAACCTGTTCTGAGGGGGACCCTTTTCTGAGGGGACTCAGTTACGAGGGGACGTGGCTCTCAGGGGGTCCTGTTCTGATGGGGATGCGCTCTGAAGGGATCTTGGACGGAGGGGGACCCAATTCTGAGGGGACCCTGTTCTAAGAACACTGCTCTGAGGAGATTCTGTTCTAAGGGGACCATAGTTGGAGGAGGACTCTGTTCTAAAGGGGACAGTGTTCTGAGGGGGGACTCTGTTTTGAGGGAAACACTACTCTAAGAGAACCTTCTTCTGAGGGGGACCCTTTTTTGAGGGGGACACTGTTCTGAGGGGACTCAGTTATGAGGGAGATACTGCTCTCAGGGGGTCCTGTTCTGATGGGGATGCACTCTGAGGGGATCTTGGACTGAGGAGGACCCTGCTCTGAGGGAGGGGTCCATACTCTGAGGAGACTCTATTCTGTGGGGACCCTGTTCTTAGGAGGATACTGTGCTGTGGGGACTCTGCTCTCAGGTGGATGCTGCTCTCAGGGGACCCTGTTCTGAAGAGATGCTGTTCGCAGGGGGATGCTCTGAGAGGACCTTGTTTTGAGGAGACCCTATTCAGAGGGGGACCCTGTTCTGGGTGCTCACTACCCTGAGGGAACTCTTATGTGAGGGGAATGTTATTCTGGGGGGGACACTACCCTGAGCGGATCTCGTTCTAAGTGGGGAATAGTGTCATGGGGGAACATGTTCTGAGGAGGATGCTGTTCTGAAGGGGACCCTGTTCTGTGGGGGATTCTGCTCTGAGAAGGACCCTGTTCTGAGGAGGATTCTGTTCTGAGGGGTCTCTGTTCTGACGGGGGTCCTGTTCTGAGGGGGATGTTCTTCTGAGGGGACCCTGTTATAACGGGATACTGTTCTGAGGGGACCCTGTTCCGAGTGGGATGCCGTTCTGAGGGGACCCTGTTCTGCGGGGAATACTGTTCTGAGGGGGACGCTGTTGTGAGGGGACACTATTCTGAGGGGATGCTGATCTGAGGGGACCCTGTTTTGTGGGGATCCTGTTCTGTGGAAACCCTGTTCTGAGTGGGATGCTGTTCTAAGGGGACCCTGTTCTACAGGGGATTTGATTCTGTGAGGACCGTGTTCTGTGGGGACCCTGTTCTGAGGGGGTTGCTCTTCTTCTTTTTTTTTTTTTTTTTTTTTTTTGTGTGAGACGGAGTCTCGCTCTGTCACCCAGGCTGGAGTGCAGTGGCAGGATCTCGGCTCACTGCAAGCTCCGCCTCCTGGGTTCATGCCATTCTCCTGCCTCAGCCTCCCGAGTAGCTGGGACGACAGGCGCCCGACACCACGCCTGTCTAATTTTTTTTGTATTTTTAATAGAGACGGGGTTTCACCGTGTTAGCCAGGATGGTCTCGATCTCCTGACCTCGTGATCCGCCCGCCTCAGCCTCCCAAAGTGCTGGGATTACAGGCATGAGCCACCGCGCCCAGCCGGGGTTGCTGTTCTACGGAGACCCTATTTTGTGGGGCATCTTGTTCTTGTGAGGACGCTGTTCTGAAGGGAACCTGTTCTGTCAGGATCCTGTTCTGAGAGGACCATGTTCTGTGGGGACCCTGTTCTGAGGGGATTATGTTCTGTGGTGATCCTGTTCTGAAGGAATCCTGTTGTGAGCAGGAGGCTGTTTTGAGGAGAACCTGTTATGTGGGGAACCTGTTTTCTGGGAACACTGTTCTGAGAAGACCCTGTTTGGAGGGGGATGCCATTTTGAGGGGATCCTGTTCTGGGGGGGTTCTGTTCTGTGGAGACCCTATTCTGAGGGTAGTGCTGTTTTGAGGGGACCCTGTTCTGAGGGGACCCTGTTCTTAGGGGGATCCTGTTCTGAGGGGGATGCTGTTCCATGGGAACCCTGTTCTGAGGGGACCATGTTCTGTGGGGAACCTCTTCTGTGGGAACCCTGTTGTGAGGGGATTCTGTTCTGTGGTGATCCTGTTATGAAGGAATCCTGCTTGGATTCCTTGAGATGCTGTTCTCAGGGGACCCTGTTCTGTGGGGATTCTGTTATGTGGGGGATGCCATTCTGAGGGGGATCCTGTTCAGACGGGGATGCTGTTTTGAGGCGACCCTGTTCTGAGGGAGATTCTTTTCTGTGGGGACCCTGTTCTGAGGGGACCCTGTTTTATGGTGTTCTGTGGGGATTCTGATCTGAAGGGACCCTGTTCTGTGGGGCATCTCATTCTGTGAGGACCCTGTTCTGTGGGGAACCTGTTCTGAGAGGACCCTGTTCTGAAGGGAATGCTATTCTGAGGAGACCGTGTTCTGTAGGGATTTTGTTCTGTGTAGACGCTGTTCTGAAGGTGATGCTGTTTTGAGGGGACTCTGTTCTGAGGGGACTCTGTTCTGAGGATGCTGCTGCTCTGAGGAGACCCTATTCTGTGTGGATTCTGTTCTGAGGGGACCCTTTTATGTGGGAGATGCTGTTCTGAAGGGACTCAGTTCTGAGGGCACCCTGTTCTGAGGGGACGCTATTCTGAATGTGATGCTGTTCTGCGGGGACCCTGTTCTGAGAGGGATCCTGTTCTGAGGGGAACCTCTTTTGAGGGGGATGCTGTTCTGAGGGGACCCTATTCTGAGGGGGATGCTATTCTGAGAGGACCCTGTTCTGAAGGGATCCTTTTCTGTGGGGACCCTGTTCTGAGGGGGCTGCTGCTCTATGTGGCCTCTGTTCCAAGGGTGATGCAGTTCTGAGGGGACCCTGTTGTGAGGGCATTATGTTCTCTGGGGACCCTGTTCTGAGGTGGACGCTGTTCTGTGGGGATCCTGTTCTATGAGGACTCTTTTTCTGAGGGGACTCTGTTCTGTGGGGGATTCTGTTCTGTGGGCATCCTGTTCTGTGTGGATTCTGTTCTGTGAGGACCCTTTTCTAAGGGGACCCTGTTCTGTGGTGACCCTGCTCTATAGGGACCCTGTTCTGAGGGGACCCTTTTCTGAGTGAGATGCTGTTCTGAAGGTACCCTCTTCTGAGGGGACCATGTTCCAAGAGGACCCTGTTCTGTGGCAGATGCTATTCTGTGGGGGCCATGTTCTGAGAGGGACCCTTTTCTGAGGGACCCTGTTCTGCAGGGGGCACTACTCTGTGGAGACCCTGTTCTGTGGGTTCTGTGGAGAATGTCAAGGCAGGTCAGGTGATGTATAGGATCATTATCGTGCCATCAGGTCCAAAATGTGTCCTGAGCTTCCAGCAGCTGCCAGTCCCTACCGAGGTGCAGCACAGTGTCCATGTGGCAGTCAGGCTCCCAGCCCTGCAACTGTGTGGACTCAGCATTTGAGGGCAGGGTGGCACTGGTGCTCTTTGAGTGGATTCAAGCAGCCATGCAGCAAATGGACATGGCGTGATGAGTCTCTGCCTGACATGATGTCTGGAAGGAAGGGCTCAGACCCAAGTGCTTGAGGGATGGCCAGCCTGGGAGAGCCAGGGGATGGGGGCAGGAGCTTAGAAATCTGCACAGAGCAATAGGGTTGGTAGCTGCCAAGACCTATGCTGGCTTCACTGAAGTTCTTCCTCATTTTCAGTGTCATGCAGGTATCATTGACAGAAAGTGAATTTTGTCAGTCAATTTTCTTTGTCAATGATGATCTCTTCACCTACTTCATTCTTTTCTGACTTTATCCTCTGAAAGCTGTAAGGGGCTGTTGTCACCCCCACTGGAAAGGATAGAGCTGCAGGCCGGGCGCGGTGGCTCACGCCTGTAATCCTAGCACTTTGGGAGGCCGAGGCTGGCAGATCACGAGGTCAGGAGATCGAGACCATCCTGGCTAACACAGTGAAACCCCGTCTCTACTAAAAATACAAAAAATTAGCCGGGCGTGGTGGCGGGTGCCTGTAGTCCCAGCTACTCGGGAGGCTGAGGCAGGAGAATGGCATGAACCCGGGAGGCGGAGCTGAGCTTGCAGTGAGCCGAGATCGTGCCACTGCACTCCAGCCTGGGCGACAGAGCGCAGAGCGAGATTCCGTCTCAAAAAAAAAAAAAAAAAAAAAAAAAAAAAAAAAGATAGAGCTGGAACAGTCAGGTGACTTCATGCTAACAAATCTGCCCAGGGCTAGAGCTGAGCACTGGGCAGTGCTGGGTGAGGGGTGTGGACCTTGTCATGGAGAAGCTTTGTGGCCAGGAAATAAGAGGGAGTCATGATAGAAACAAGGGAGAAGGTGGCCGGGCATGGTGGGTCACGCTTATAATCCCAGCACTTTGGGAGGCCAAGGTGAGTAGATCATCTGACGTCAGGAGTGGGAGACCAGCCTGGCCAACATGGTGAAACCCTGTCTCTACTAAAAATACAAAAAATTAGCCAGGCGTTGTGGCGGGCATCTGTAGTCCCCGCTACTCGGGAGGCTGAGGCACAAGAGTTGCTTGAACTTGAGAGGCGGAGGTTTCAGTGAGCCAAGATCGTGCCACTGCACTCCAGCCTGGGAGACAGAGTGAGACCCTGTCTCTAATAATAATAATAAATAAATAAATAAATAAATAAATAAATAAATAAAAAGAAAGAAGGGGGAAAGTGGTCCCCATGAGTGATTCCAGCAAGGAGGATGCAGACCCTGTGCTCCAGGCATCATCAGAGTTGGGAGCAGGCTCAGCTATGCTACGCCACCACTCTCAGCATGGCCTCAGAGCTGGGCAGACCACTCTTAGTATAACTTTGTGTTTTAAGTTTCCTGTCCAGATTATAAACTTTCTCTTATCTTTGCTTGAACTATAAGATTAGCATCTGTTCCTGGTTAAAAGAGAAAGTTACAATTGCTTTGAAGGTGCAAATCATTTAGCCTTTAAAGTACAATAAATCATTTTCCTTTAAGAGCAAATACTGCCTTACCCATAACATTAAATGGTTATTTACAAAGCCTATCCTCTTTGCCAAACCAGAATATGGGCTGGCCAACAGTTTGGGTTGAACAACCTGAAGGCCTCAGGGGTATCTGCAGGAGCAGGCGCCTGGTGGCTGCACATAGTAGGCAGCAGTCCTATAAGTCCTATAAGGCAGGGGTCCCCAGTGCCCATGGCTATGGACTAGTACCAGTCCAGTCCATAGCCTGTTAGGAACCAGGCCACACGGCAGGAGGTGAGTGGCGGGCAAGTGAAGCTTCTCTGTATTTACAGCCACTCCCCATTGCTTGCATTACCACCTGAGCTCCTCCTCCTGTCAGATCAGCAGCAACATTAGATTCTCATGGGAGCACAAACCCTATTGTGAACTGCACATGTGGGGGATCTAGTTTGTATGCTCCTTGTGAGAATCTAACAAATGCCTGATGATCTGAGGTGGAACAGTTTCATCCCCAAACCATTCCTACCACCTCTGGTCTGTGGAAAAATTGTCTTCCATGAAACCCATCCCTGGTACCAAAAATGTTGGGGACCGCTGCTATAAGGAGTCGAGTAGGATGTACCTCTAATTAGAACTGCCTTTTAGAATGCTGGTTCCTGTCACAAGGTGGTGGGTGGAGGGTGCTGTGCACACCACTGCCTGTACACCTGTACTGAGGGGTCTCTCCACACAGACGCCCTGAAAGCCATCACAGAGGTGACCACCACACTACAGCACATTCTCATCCGGCTGGAGAACCTGCAGAAGCTAACGGAGCTGCAGCGGGACCTGGTGGGCATAGAGAACCTCATTGCTCCTGGCAGGGTGAGTGACCTTGCTCTGGGAATGTTTTTTGAGCTACTTTGGTTTTTCAATTGAGATATAATTTACATACCACAAAAGTCACCATTTTAAAATGTATAATTTTGGCCAGGCACAGTGGCTCATACCTGTAATCTGAATACTTTGGGAGGCTGAGGTGGGAGGATCGCTTGAGCCCAGGAGTTCAAGACCAGACTGAGCAACACAGGGAAACCCCATTTCTATGAATTAAAAAAAAAAAAAAAAAAAAAGAATTGCTGGGTGTGGTGGCGCACACCTGTGGTCCCAGCTACTCAGGAGACTGAGATGGGAGGATCGCTTGAGCCAAGGAGGTCGAGGCTGGAGTAAGCCCTGATCACAGCACTGCACTCCAGCCTGACAACAGAGCAAGACCCTGTCTCTGTTAAAAATGAGTAAATACAGCCAGGCACAGTGGCTCACGCCTGTAATCCCAGCACTTTGGGAGGCCAAGGCAGACAGATCACCTGAGGTTGGGAGTTCGAGACCAGCCAGACCAACATGGAGAAACCCTGTCTCTACTAAAAATACAAAAAATTAGCAGGGCATGGTGGCACATGCCTGTAATCCCAGCTACGCAGGAGGCTGAGGCAGGAGAATCGCTTGAACCCGGGAGGTGGAGGTTGCAGTGAACCAAGATCACGCCATTGCACTCTAGCCTGGGTAACATGAGCGAAACTCCGTCTCAAAATAAAATAAATAAAATAAAATAAAATAGGTACATATATACATACATACACACATACATACATACAAAAAATATATAATTGAGTGGGTTTTAGTATCTTCACAAGGTTATGTAGCCATCAATGTCGAATTCAGAACATTTTCATCACCCCAAAGTGAAACCCCCACAGCAATTAACAGTCACTTCCCATCACTATTTTGAAGGGAACCCTGTTCTCAGGAGACTCTGTTCTGAGGTAACCCTGTTCTGGGTGGGGATGCTGTTCTGTGGGGACCTCGTTCTGCTCCCTAACCCCTGGCAACCACTGATCTGCTTTCTGTCTCTAAGGAGTTACCTGTCTGGGCATTTCATAGAAATGGTATCACACATTAATGTGGCCTCTTGTGACTCTTCTTTCACTCAGAATAATCTTTTCAAGGTTCATTCATGTTCCTTTTTTTTTTTTTTTTTTTTTATTTGAGACAGAGTCTTGCTCTGTCACCAGGCTGGGGTGCAGTGCCGCGATCTTGGCTCACTGCAACCTCCGCCTCCCAGGTTCAAGTGATTCTCCTGCCTCAGCCTCCCAAGTAGCTGGGACTACAGGCACATACCACTATGCCCAGCTAATTTTTGTATTTTTAGCAGAGACAGGGTTTCACCATGTTGGCCAGGATGGTCTCAAGCTCTTGACCTTGTGATCCACCCACCTTGGCCTCCCAAAGTGCTGGGATTACACGCATGAGCCACCGTGCCCGGCCTCATGTTCCTTTTTGTGGCTGAATCATACTCCATCATGCATGTATCACACGTCTCTCCACTCATCTGATGGACACTGGGTTATTTCCACTTCTTGGCTGTTACGAATAGTGCTGCTGTGGACGTTCATGTACAAGTTTTGTGTGGACTTATGTTTTCAGTTTTGAGTATATACCATATACAGGTTCATATGGTAATTCCATGTTTAACATTTTGAGGAACTGCCAAACTGTTTTCCAAAGTGACTGAACCATTTTTCATTCCCACCAACTCGTATGAGACTTCCAGTTTCTCACATCATGTGTCACTTTTTGGTTCTAGCCATTTTAGTGAGTGTGTAATGCTGTCTTGTGTGGTTACAATTTGTATTTCCCTGATAGCTAATGATATTGAGCATCTTTTCATGTGCTTATTGGCCATTTGTAGGCCTTTTTTGGAGAAATGTCTATTCAAATCCTTTGCCCACCTTTTATTTTATTCAGAAATTGTAAAGAACTCTTAAAACCCAATAGTAAAAAGACAACCTGTTGAGTTTTAAGAGTTCTTTATATATTCTGAATGCTAGACCTTTATCAGACTATGATTTGCAAACATTTTCTCCCATTGTGTGGGTTGTCTTTTCACTGTCTTGATGTGGCCTTCATTTACAACATGAAAGCTTTTAATTTATCTATTTTTTTTCTTTAGTTGCTTGTGTCTTAGATGTTATATCTAAGAAACTATTGTCAGCCAAGTGTAGCGGTGCACACCTATAGACCCAGCTACTCGGGAGGCTAAGGTAGGAGCATTGCTTGAGCCCAGGAGTTCAACGTTGCAGTGAGCTATGATCCCACCACTGCACTTTAGCCTGGACAACAGAGTGAGACCCTGTCTCAGAAAAAAAGGAATTAATGCGAGCACTGCCACCTGCCTGGGGCAGCCTTAGGGCAGGGCTGGCGGGGGCGACCTGTGCTGCTGCAGTGCAAGACTCAGAGTGCCGTGGCCCAGCACCCGGTAGCTTGTCCAAATGGCTCTGGCTCAACATTGGTGGCACCTACTTTCTCACCACCCAGCAGATGCTGTGCCAGGACCTGAAATACTTCCTGTACTCCTTGTATCAGGCTAACCCCGACAAGGATGAAACTGTTGCCTATTTAATGGACAGAGACCCCACCTATTTTGGGCCTGTGTTGAACTACCTGAGACGTGGCAAGCTGGTGATTAACAAAGACCTTGTGGAGGAAGGAGTGTTGGAAAAAGCAGAATTTTACAGTATCACTTCATTAATAAAACTTGTAAAGGACAAAATTAGAGAACAAGAGAGCAAAACATCACAGGTGCCCATGAAGCATGTGTACCACGTGCTTCAGTGTCAGGAGGAGGAACTCACACAGGTGGTGTCCACCATGTCCGACAGCTGGAAGTTTGAACAACTGGTCAGCAATGGCTCTTCTTACAACTATGGGAATGAAGATCAGGCCAAGTTCCTCTATGTGGTGTCCAAGAAACTTCACAACACCCCATACAGTATGGCCAGTGAACCCAGAAAGAAGGCCAAGATTTTGCAAGAACAAGGTTCAAGGATGTGAGGGACACAGTATTGACAGCTGAAAAAATGATTTACTCTTTCCCAAGATGCAATGAACTACCATGTCCAGGAAGCTTGGCTGCGAGAAGGAACCTGCTTTTGATCATTTTTCTAGAGATCTGGGTGTGAATCCTTTTGTGCTTCTGAGGTGGGTGGTGAGAGACAGGTCCAGCTGTCCAAGGCCAGGTGTCCCCAAGGGGAGGAGCATTCTGGCCAGGTGGGTACTATCTCTTGAGGGGGGCCAGAGACTGAGGCAGATGCTCCCAGTCAGCCCACTCAATCCCCGAAGATCATGTAAAGGACAGAGTTCTTGGTACTACACATAGTCTGTAAAAGCAGCCTGCGCTTCACTGGCAGGAAGCGGCCACGGCCTCATCGGCATCCAGCACGCCGTGGCCTCGGGTCTGGCTGCCAGGCCTTAGGCTCAGTCAGGAGTCTGCTCTGCCTCCCAGGTGGGATCGCTGGTTGCTATCAGCCTCACAGAGCTCCTGACAAAGGTGGCTTCTGCATCATCACTACTTCTGAGTGCCGTTTCAAGGCCAGGCCTCTTTCCGACACAGGCTATGATCCTGCCTGACTCAGCCTGGGACAGTCAAGGCTTTTCAATTTGTATTTTCCAGGCGAGAGAACTTTGTACCCCTTTTCAGTGTGGATAGACTCCCCAGTGCTTATACTCTGGAAGTGCCCACAAGGATTGCTGCATTCAGACTGATCTGTTCAACCCGTTAGCGTGAGGTAGCAGTGTTGCCTTGTCCCCCACTCTGTGGGCTCACGGGGGAGCTGGTGCCTGTCAGTGCCATGTCGCTCCTGGCATAGAGGTTGGGCTGGAAGCCTGTCTGCTGGCTTCTGGAGCTGAAGGTCTGGATCACAGTGAAAATTCGAGATGTTTATGGAGCATCACAAATGCCTTTCTCTCACCACTCTCTCATTTTCTTTGTATAACTGTGCAGCCTTTCTGGGATGTTTGGGACTTCAGTCGACCTTCCTGGGCTCCACCCAACATGACATGGGAGCTGATAGGATTCTTTTAGAAACCACTGCCCACATGCTTTGAAAACAGACCTTTCTCAGCTGGTTGTAGGGACCTGTCAGAGTCTGGGGACCTGGGGTGCAGGGCATGCTCCAAGCTCTTTGTTTCTGGAACTCCAGCTTCCCAAGGGGCACTGTGCAGACTGACCACCAGCTGCCCATGTGCAGGTCAGAGGCTCTGACACTGTCTGGTTTCCAGTGCTTCTGGAGACTTCTTGCCTAGGCCTCATCTTCTTCTTTGCCAATAACCTGATTAACCAAGTTCTCCAGCATTAGGACTTACCACCTCCTCTTTGTAAGGTCTCTTGTATGCTGTTAAATGTTTGGCTTAGACAATTTATAAAAGCCTTTCTAGAGGGCAGACTTAGCCATGGGATGACCTGTCCTCCCCAGCAGAGCTCTGGAGGAAGGCAGCCACTGTGGGCCCTCAGGGTGTACTCTCTGGGGAGCTGCTGGCCCCTTAGCATTGTTTGATTTTTGACCTTGATACAATAGATAGGCTTGTGTTGTGTTTTTTTTTTTAAATTTAAAGATATTAAGACAATTCACTAAAATTTATTCTAAGGGGATATTTATACTTTTATACTTTTTTAGGTATGGTATTTTATCAGCTTATAGTTGAATGCCTAAGTTTCCCCTGAAAATAGCAAACAAAACTGTGTATTTATGAAAAAAAAGAAAGGAAGAAAGAAAGAAAGCCTAACCCAGGGTATGAAGATTTACCCTTCTGTTTCTTTTCTTCTAATAGTTTTATGTTTTACCTCTTCCATTTAAATCTTTGATCCATTTTGAGTTAGTTTTTGTGTATAGTGGAAGGTAGGAGTCCAACTTCATTCTTTTGCATGTGGAGGTCCAGTTTTCCCGGCAGCATTGATTGAACTGTCTGCCATGTAACCCTTGTAGAAGTTCAATGGGGGCTGGGCATAGTGGCTCAAGCCTATAGTCCCAGCACTTTGGGAGGCCACGGCAGAAGGATCACTTGAGGCCAGGAGATTGAGACTAGCCTGGGCAACATACTGATACCTTGTCTCTACCAAAAAAAAAAAAAAAAAAAAAAAAATTCCTGGCATGGTGGCACACACCTGTGGTCCCAGCTACCCAGGAGGCTGAGGCAAGTGGATCACTTGAGCCCAGGAGGTCAAGGCTAGAGTGAACCGTGATCGTACCACTGCACTCCAGCCTAGGCAACAGAGTGAAAACAAAAACAAAAAAATAAATGGACTGTAAACATATGGATTTATTTCTGGACTCTTGATTCTATCCCATGGTCTATATGTCCATTGGGCCAGTTACTTTCTGTCACTAGTACTTTTTGCTTTGAACTCAATACTCTCAACATAAAAAATTGTTTTAAAAATTACATGGAGATGTTTCCTGTCTCTGCACACACATGTTCATTGAAGCATGTGTATGAATCATGTTCTGTGTTAGCCTTGTTAGAAGAAGGTATTGAAAATGTGGAACTGCAAGCTTGGAGAAATGAATTAGCCTGTAATATACAGGAAACCTTCCCCACTTTGGGAGTCTGGGCTTTGATCAGGTGCTAGGACCACCACTCTTTCATTTCTCTCCTTGGCTGCATAGCTTTGAGCTGTTGCTGCTGGCTGGGAACTCCTGGAAGTAGGGCTCATGTTACATAGTGTTATTTCTCCTAGTAACCTCTGTGCAGGGTCTTATAGATGGTGGCCCAGGGAACTGTCACTGGGTCTTATAGATGGTGGCCCAGGGAACTGTCAATGAAAAGACAGTTGAGAGTAGCTACATAGGCAAAGGTGTAGGCTCTTGAGCCATGCATCAAACTCAGGCTCTCCACACTTCCCATGTGGCCTGGGCAGGCTGCGCCCCCTCTCTGAGGCAGGAGGTCTTGAGGATGAACAGGGAATCTATGTCAGCTGCTCAGCCCTGGGCCTTGCATGAAGTAGATGCTGTGCAAATTCAAATAATAATTTGTTATTATTAGTCAAAATCTCTAAAGTCATGTCTGGATAGCCCAGAATTTCTTGTCTTCCTGAGTTAAATATGTGTGTCAGTCAACAGACAGAAACCATGCCAGTTATTTGAGCAGAGGATGTAATAGCAAGGATTGTTAACCAGGTATAAAGTTGATGAGGTGCCAAAGGGTAAAAAGAACTGTGAAGTGTCAGGGAGGTGGCAGAACTGTGAGCCACAGTTACTACCCTAGGGCTGGGGAACAAATTTGACAGCTTGGTCAAAGGCCCACGGTGCTGAGCCTCACAGCTGGCAGCGGGGCCAGTGCATGGTGGAGAAGGCGCCCCGTGGGTCTGGGACGCACATCCTGTGAGGGAGCTCTGGAGAGGGGGCTGCTGCTTAGCCAGTGCTGGGGTCTCTGAGGGTGATGCTGCTACCTGTGGCTGGAAGGAACGGCCACTCCCAGGGCCAAGCAATTGCCAGCAGCTCACAGGGACCTCGGCGTGCGGTCTCCAGGGCTCCCTGTCACGCCCCTGTGGCCTCTCAGAGTAGGGCTAGGAGGCAGATGTGGAGTGAGAGCCACAAGCTTAGTTACCGGCCCCATCCAGTTAACGCAAATGCATCCATATGACCACCTTCTTCATTGTGTGGGGTGGACGTTTCTGTTTGGGCTGGTTTTTCATCCTGCGTTTCTGTGAGGATTATCTGTGTAGTGTGCTCCTCCTTCTGCCTTCACGCAGTATGTTGGGACTGCTCATACTAGGAGGCCCCTAGCACATTCTCCGGACACCTGCTGCTCCTCCTGTTTGTCTGAAAGGAACAGATGGTGGAAGGGCTCCAGAGCAGTCCAGGTTAGGAATCTGAGGGGCTCCCAGGACTCTCGCTTACCCTATCTGCGCAGGTGTCTGATACTGGCAGGATTCTTTTTTCTTATCTAACGCCCTGTGGTGGACGAGGTGGTGCTAATTTGAATACTTAGGAGAACCCTCCTTTCCTCCTCCCATTCTCGAACCTGCTCTTGGTGCTAATTTGAATACTCGGGAGAACCCTCCTTTCCTCCTCCCATTCTCGAACCTGCTCCTGGTGCTAATTTGAATACTTAGGAGAACCCTCCTTTCCTCCTCCCATTCTCGAACCTGCTCCTGTCCAATGTTTTCAAAGCTGATCTCAGATGACATCTTTGTGGCTGAACCTTCCAGAAGCTTCTCCTCAGCAAGAACAATACTCCGGGCTCTACCTCTTGGTTGTATCAGGGCTCCAGGGCTCCTAGCCCAGAGCAGGTGCTCAGTAGATGGTTTGAGGACTGAATTTGTTGGCACCAAGACAGGACCTGGTGACCAAGGGCACTGCTGAGGGTAGAGGAGCCCCATTGGGAGGCTCCACTAGAGGACCCTCATTGGGAGGAGCCAGAGGAGCACAAGCGGCCACAAGGCTATTCCTGACCCTCAGCCCGGCTAGTGCATCCGCCAGCTGCCCTCAGCCCGCTGAAAGGGGACTCTGTCTCTGTCTTTCAGGAGTTCATCCGTGAGGGCTGCCTTCACAAGCTCACCAAGAAGGGCCTGCAGCAGAGGATGTTTTTTCTGGTAGGTTCTCTCCCCACTCAAGCTGTGCTTCCCCCCGAGGGGGATGGGCAGCAGTTCTGTTAGGGACATCGCCTGCAGCGGCAGCCCATTGGCCTCTGGGTAGTTTAGCACTTGGAGGCTTTGGTCCAGGTGGGTAGCGTTGGAGTCAGACAGGGCCAGGGGAGGGTCACAGAGTGGGAAGAAGCAGAAAACAGCTTCCCCACCCACCCCAGGGCCAGCCTCCTTCTTCATTCCAGGTTCTGAGCACCTGACTATGGGACAAACAGAAGCCAAAAGATTGTAAAGTCCACATACATGTGGCTGCAAGAAGGTGCTACTGATGGCCCAATGGCCAGTCGGGACAGTTTCACTGTTGGCTCAGAAGCCCCTCCCAGCATGTCCTTGTTCCTACCAGTTAGTGGGTTCCAGCCTGAAACATGTGGATGAGGAGGTAACTGAGTCAGCACCAGCCAGAATTCCTTACTGCCTCCAGCTTCTCAGCCAAGCTAGCTGGGAGCTGACCCAGCAGATGCACTGGTTCCTGTGGCCCTTTCCTGCCTCTGGTCAAAAACGACCAAATGAATGAATAAAAGTCCCCTTTCTGCCAAAAATCTCCAGCAAGCTGCACAGATCTGATGTCCACATGATGAGCAGCCAGAGTCCAAGTTGGTCTGACTATTAAGACACTTGTTTGTGAAGTTCATGGATGTAAAGCTTGCTGCTTCTCAGTTCTCAGATATGTTGCTGTACACAAGCAAAGGAGTTGCAGGGACCAGCCACTTCCGGATCCGGGGCCTCCTTCCCCTCCAAGGCATGCTGGTGAGTGGTCTTGCACCCTGCCTGGGATTTCCACGTGGTGCTGGGCTGGGCCCCACCTACCTCTCTCCTGCAGAGGCGAATCCTTACCCAGCAACACTGAGAGCAGCACCTGCTGAGTATTTGGCCGCACTGGGAGCAGCACCTGCTGGGCATTTCTTGTTGGTTGTTTCTGACCCTCATGGTCATTGTTGTTATTGATGCTCAAACTGCCCTGTCTCTAGTCCATGGTTCCCTTCTAGGGAAACCTGGACTCAGCCTGTGGTCTCTGTCAGCACCTGGCAGGACAAGGCCTGCTCCCCGCAAGCTTAGAGTCAGCCTCTGCAGCAGCATCTTCCTCAGGCTGTGCCACCTGTGTGACATCCATGCCAGCCCTCTGTCCCATGTAGGCACATGCCTGGGATGGGAAGAGAAATTCCTCATTTTAGCATGATCCAGTTCATCAACTTTGTCCTTTGTGGTTAGTGCTTTTTGTGTTCAATAGAAATACTGTTCTCAGGTCATGGGGAGACTTTCATGCAGCTCTAGAGGCTATGTCCACTTGCCCTGAGCGTGTCCCTGCACTAGGCCTAGAACGGTACAGACAGGTAGCCAAGTCCAGGACTTGCCATAAGGATGTGCCATTCGTCCAGGACACCACGTCACAGTGACTGTCTCTCCCCATGGGCCTGCCAGGGCGCCAAGGACAGGGGCTCTAATCCCCAGCTCTGCCCTATCCCTCTTGGCTTATTTGCCTTGACTACAGTGCTACAGTGGTCCTCACTCCCTCCTTGTGGTCCTCCCTGTCAGTGATCTTCTCTCCTTGAGATCCTCCCTTCTTGTAATCTTCCCTCCCTGGGGTCCTCCCTCCCTCCCCAAGGTCCTTCCTCACTCCCTGTGGTCTTCCCTCTCTGGTGTCTTTCCTCCCTGTAGTCCTCCCTCCCTGGGATCCTCCTTTCCTAGGATCTTCCCTCCCTAGAGTCCTCCCTCCCTCCCTGGGATCTTCCCTTCCTGGGATCTTCCCTCATTCCCTGGGATCTTCCCTTCCTAGGATCTTCCCTCCCTCTCTGGCATCTTCCCTCCCTGTGGTCCTCCCTCCCTGGGATCCTCCTTTCCTAGGATCTTCCCTTCCTAGAGTCCTCCCTCCCTCCCTGGGATCTTCCCTCCATCGGCTTCTCCCTCCCTCCCTGAGGTCCTCCCTCACTCCCTGTGATCTCCCCTTCCTGGGATCTTCCCTCCCTGGGGTCCTCCTTCCCTAGGATCTTCCCTTCCTGGAGTCCTCCCTTGCTCCCTGTAGTCCTCTCTCCCTGGGATATTCCCTCCCTGGAGTCCTCCCTCCCTGAGGTCCTCCCTCACTCCCTGTGATCTTCCCTTCCTGGGATCTCCCTCCCTGGGGTCCTCCTTCCCTAGGATCTTCCCTTCCTGGGGTCCTCCTTTGCTCCCTGTGGTCCTCCCTCCCTGGGATTTTCCCTCCCCATGGTCTTCCTCCCCCAGGGCCCTCCCCCAGTAGGGTCCTCCTTCCCTGAGATCCTCTCTCCCTGGGGTCCTCCCTCCCTGGAGTCCTTCCTCCCCCAGTGGGGTCCTCCCTCCCTGGGGTCCTCTTTCCCTGTTCTTTCTTCAAGGGTCTTATCCCTCTGCACTGCCTCCTCCTGACAATGAGCGCCAAAACCCTCAGGCAGGTGTTTGTAAAATTTAATTCCACTTCTCAGGCCCTCAGCAAGAAGAGGTCAGTTTGAATTAGCTCATCTGCCACCACCGGAAGCAGACCCCATTTGTTTTAAAGTATACTTTTAAAAATTACACCTTTATTATAGAAAAAAATAATTGAAAGTATAAGACAGAAATCACTCATCACTGGCCAGTTGCTGTGGCTCACGCCTGTAATGCCAGCACTTTAGGAGGTCAAGATGGTAGGATCGCTTGAAGCTGAGAGTTTGAGACCTGCCTGGGGAACATGGCGAAGCCAAATCTCCAAAAATCTTTTTTTTTTTTTTTTTTTTTTAATTAGCTGAGCAAAAGTGGTGTGTGCCTGTAGTCCCAGCTACTTGGGAGGCTGAGATGGGAGAATCACTTAAGCCCAGGAGGTCAAGGCTGTAGTGAGCCGTGATCGTACCACTGCACTCCAGCCCCAGTGACAGAGTGAGACCTCGTCTCAAAAAAAAAAAAAAAAAAAAAAAAAACACAGAGAAAAGAAACAAGAAAAAGAACTCTATCATCGTACCCACTCAGCAGTGATGGCTGCAGGCATCTGCTGCATGGTTGCCATCACCCACGGGCTGTTTTGTCAGGACACTGGTTTTCCTTTCCTTTCATGGCAGCCCCAGTTCACTTAACTAGTCACCTGTCACTGGACGCTTGGCTGTGGCTGGTTGTTGAGGACTGTAACATTGTTGGATCTCTGTCTTTCTGCACATCCTTAATTATGTCCTTCAGATCAATTCCAAAATGTAGATTTGTCTGAGCAAAGGTGTTTACGGCCTTGGGCACTCCTGCTAAATTGCTGTTGGAGCACCTGCGCCAGCTGACCTTCCCACCTGCAGGAGCTAGGTCTAAACATGCATCTTTCCCTCCACCATGGAAAGTGCTAGGCACCTGTCTCTCTTACTCTTCCCAAGTGGGTAAGGTAAGCAGCCCCATCGAGCAGCCCCATCATTTCACTTTGCATCCCTGCGGACTGTCGGTGAGGCCAGCCTGGCCCCTGTGTCCTGGCATTCCATGCTTTTCCTCTCAGGAATCACTCAGCGTGCTGGTCACTCTGGTCTCCATTGGTCTGTGAGTTTTTTGTACACATTAGTGAAATGTTTATATGATAATGCTCACCAACACTATTAAGTCACAAATTATTTTCTCAGTAACTGCTTTTTACTTTGCCTACAATTTAGTTTTACCTTGTAGAATTTAAACTCCATCTTGATGGGTTCTGTTTCTCTTACTCTAGAATGGCATCTGGCACATATAGGGAACCCAGCAAATGCTTGTTGAAGGTGTGAATTGAAACAGACACTCCTCAACTTATGATGGGGCTATGCCCTGATAAACCCATTGTAAGAGGAAAATAGTATAGTCAAAAATGCATTTAACAGGGCACGGTGGCTCACGTCTGTAATCCCAGCACTTTGGGAGGCTGAGGTGGGTGAATCACCTAAGGTCAGGAGTTTAAGACCAGCCTGGCCAACAGGGCGAAACCCTGTCTCTACTAAAAATACAAAAATTAGCCAGGCGTGGTGGTGGGCACCTGTAGTCCCAACTACTCGGGAGGCTAAGCACAAGAATCACTTGAACCTGGGAGGCGGAGGTTGCACTGAGCCGAGATCACACCACTGCACTCCAGCCTGGGTGACAGAACAAGACTCCCTCTCAAAAAAAAAAAAAAGAAAGAAAAGAAAATGCATTTAATACACTTAACCTCTCTGATGTCATAGCTTAGCCTAGCCTACTCTTTTTTTTTTTTTTTTTTTTTGAGATGGAATCGCTCTGTCGCCCAGGCTGGAGTGCAGTGGTGCCATCTTGGCTCTCTGCAAGCTCCACCTCCCGGGTTCACGCCATTCTCCTACCTCAGCTTCCTGAGTAGCTGGGACTACAGGCGCCCGCCACCACGCCTGGCTAATTTTTTGTATTTTTTAGTAGAGACGGGGTTTCACCGTGTTAGGCAGGATGGTCTCGATCTCCTGACCTCGTGATCCACCCGCCTCGGCCTCCCAAAGTGCTGGGATTACAGGCGTGAGCCAGCCTAGCCTACTCTAAATGTGCTCAGAACATACATTAGCTTACAGTTGGGCAAAATCATCTAATATGAAGCCTATTTTATAACAAAGTGTTGAATATCTCACATAATTTGTTGAATACCAAACTGGAAGTGAAAAACAGAATGGTCGTATGGGCACTTGAAGTTCCGTTTCTACTGAATGCTTATCACTTTCACACCATCATAAAGTTGAAAAATCAGGGCCTATCAGGGTCAGCTCTGGCTGTCTTTTCCTTGAGGGTTTCTATCCTTAGTATGGGCTCAGGAAGTTCTTCCCCATGCCAATATTATATTGGCACCTTTTAATGGTTTCAGTTTTCTCATTTAATTAATCTCCCTAGAATTTGTTTTTTTACTTTTTTGGTTTTTTTTTTTTTTTTTTTAGATGGAGTCTTGCTCTGTGTCCCAGGCTGGAGTGCCCAGGCACGATCTCGGCTCACTGCAAACTCCGCCTCCTGGGTTCACACCATTCTCCTGCCTCAGCCTCCCAAGTAGCTGGGACTACAGGTGGCTAATTTTTTGTATTTTTAGTAGAGACGGGGTTTCACCGTGTTAGCCAGGATGGTCTCGATCTCCTGACCTTGTGATCCGCCCGCCTCGGCCTCCCAAAGTGCTGGGATTACAGGTGTGAGCCACCGTGCCTGGCCTAGAATTTGTTTTGATAGATATTAGATTGAGATGTAACATTTCTCCCCATTATTTGTTGAATCCTTCATTTTCTCACTGATCTCAGACTTTATCAAATGGAAGCCTGTGTCTTTGCACTCGAGTTCTTTCTGGGCATTCTGCTCCATTCCTGTCTGTCCAGCATCAGTCCACTCTCTCTCATTAGTGGTGTCATATGAGATAGTCACTGTTTGGTGAACACATTCCATCCCTTATTCTGCCTCCTTTTAAAAAAGATTCTTTGCTATTCTCAAGCATTTAATTCTTCCAAGTAATCTTCTAAGTCATTGGACAAATTCCTTACAAAAACACCATGGAGATTTCAGTTGAAATTGCATTAAATTTTTGTGTTAACTTACGGGAAGACTAACATCTGGACAATGTTTTGCCTGCCCTTGCTTATGTTGATTCAGATTTTTGATGTCCAGTGAGAGGCTTGGTTGGTGTATCAGGCTCTGCACAGGGAAGCTGTCCATTCTGTGGAGTTGTTGGTAACTGGCTGGTCCTGGGGACAGAGAACTGGCCCTCGTTCCTGACTGTTAAGGGAAGGATGATGGCTCTTGGCTTGAAAAGATCATCTTTATCATGTTAACACAGTTTCCTTCTGTTTCTAAGAGGTATTATCAGAAATAACACCTTGGATTTTGGCAAAGGCATTTTCAGCATGTAGAGAATGGATTTCCCTTTTTCTCTTTGACTTCTGATAGGATGAATGTTATCAATCAGCTTTCTAATGCCGAACGATCCTTGCATTCCCCAAACAACCTTACTTGATCGTGGGACAATTCCTTGTTACATGCTTTTAGATTAGATTTGGTAATATTTTATTTTGCAATTATTTCATCTAACTACTTAAAATTAAAATTAATCCACAGTGGGTTTTCTTTGAATCTAGCTCTGTTAGGTTTTGGTCTTTGGTTCATAAATGAATTGTCCAACTCCCTTTTGGATAATCAAAATGCTCAACATTTTTTCCTTTGCTTGATTTTCAGCTAATAGTGCTGGACCCCCCGGTGAGTATTTGGGTGCCCTCTGGCCCATGGCTCACCCCCTGGGGTGCAGCTGCCATGGCGCAGGGATACCAGTGTCCTCCTTGGCCTCTTGTAGAGTCTGTGTGCACTTGGACAGCACTGGGCTTCCAAGCCCCACCTAGCATTGCCAGCAGTCACCTTGTGTCCTGCTCAGGCTTAGGCTGTCAGTTCCTTCTTGGCCACAAGACTTGGACCGTTTCTCCCACCCACAGGTGGAAGAAAGTGATAACGAGTGGTCTGTTCCACACTGTTTCACCATCTACGCGGCTCAGAAAACAATCGTGGTGGCAGCCAGGTAAGGGTCTTCCATGTCTCCATCCTGAGCAGCCCTGGATGGAGGGGTGGGGACTTCCTCGCCATGAGCCTCTGAGTCCTCTGAGCTGTGAGGAGCCATGTAGCCTCATGGGGTTGTGCCCCCTTTGACTCTGAGCTCTGCTTCCAAGTCACACAACCAAAGGAGCAGCCTCGCCCTTGTCAGGGGCAGGGCTGCTTGCCAACCTGACAACACCCCACAAGTGGCAGGCCCCAGTGCTGTGGAGCCGCTCCCTCTGCCCTCCGGTTCACAGTGCCTCCAAAGACAGGACGGGTGAGTGGGCAGGCTCCTGTGGTCTCCCAGGGCACAGGCGCTTCCCCAACCCTCACGTCAAGAAGTGCCAGCAGCTAGTGGTCAAAGCCCCAACAGGGCAGCTTACACCCAGCCCAGCCAAACACTGCCTCCCAGTCCCAGTGTGGTATAGACTCACATGAGGCAGCCCAGGCTATGGCACAGAATCAAGTGGAAACAGCTCCCTCCTCCCCAGATAAGATCAACAGAAGGATGACACTGAGCTCATTTGGCGGCCAGGATGCAGGGGCCCCTGCATGGTCACCAGCACCACACTGTGCTCTGTGAGGAGTCTCAGCTCTGACTCTGCAGCGCCCTGGCCAGCATCAGAGCACAGGGCACTCAGTTCCCACCAGGAAATGCTCACTTAATCATGAACCAGGGCCAATCTTGCATTTCAGCATCACAGATGTAGAGAACATCATTTCAGGAACAAATACCCCTGCAGACCCCCTGTTCTAGGACCGGGGCCCTGCCCTGGCACCCACAACCCTGTCACAGCACCCTGGAGGTCAGGCTGATGCAGGTCCCTCCCAGCTCTCCTCCCTGCTATTCTCGCTGGAGGGGACACGTTTCCCAGTCCTCTCACCAGGCAGGACAAAGCAGAATGTGAGAGAACAGGTGCCCTGACGGCTCGCCCTCCCTTGAGGGCTGGGGCCCTACACAAGGAAGAGCAGAGCCACTGAGCCTTGCCCTTCTCCCTGCAGCACTCGGCTGGAGAAAGAGAAGTGGATGCTGGACCTGAACTCCGCGATCCAAGCAGCCAAGAGTGGCGGTGACACGGCCCCTGCACTGCCAGGCCGCACTGTGTGCACTCGTCCCCCCAGTGAGTGCTGGCCACAACCCCCCAGGAGACCTCCACTACACCTAAGGAGGCTTTTTTTGGAAACTGTTTTCCTTGGTCCCCATTGGCCCGCTAAGTTCCCACACAATCCCCTTCCACAAGGAATGTTCCAGGCTACGCCTCATGCCTGGGCGGGAAGAGGTGTCAATCAGCTGCTCTGGCAGAAGCACCTGTAGTTTTGCTCTCAGCCAGCAGCTGGCCTAGCACCAAGGGCTCCCCATTTCCCCAGGACCCCCGAGAGGAACCCAAGGGGTGGAAGTATTTGGCAAGCAGAGGCCACAGGGGGTTCCCCCTGAGACGCTGCTGACTTCTCCCCAGGATCCCCCAACGAGGTATCTCTGGAGCAGGAGTCAGAAGATGATGCTCGGGGTGTCCGCAGCTCCCTGGAGGGGCATGGCCAGCACCGGGCCAACACCACAATGCACGTGTGCTGGTACCGGAACACCAGCGTGTCCAGGGCAGACCACAGTGCAGCTGTCGAGGTACGACCGCATGAGCACCACCTCAGTGCATCTGGAATGTTCCCAGCTGTCTCTGCACTTGGCTGCTGAGGAGGGGACCTCAGGAGGGTACCAGCAGGCAGGCTTGGCCCCAGAGGACTGCCTCTTACTCTCCCCTTGGTAGAAGTTGGTATGGAAAGTGCCCCTCATCCAGTCAAGCCCTCTTTGAAAAGGGTGTTTCAGGTCTGGTGTCTGATGAAGTCCAGCAGGCGGGGCGTGTCCTCAGGGCCTGGAGCTGGTGTGTAGTGGAGCTGAGAAAAGCCTTCCCAGACACATCCCCTGCAGCCCCCCGTCCCAGTGCCTCCAAAACCCTTCACCTCGGGCTTGGAGCTCGAGGCTCTGCCCAGGCACCCTGCCATAGAAGGTTGTCAGCTCTATCTCACTGCATGGGCCCGGTCTGCCATTGTGGGTCACCAGGTTCCTCAGCCTGGTGCCCCCACACCCTTCCCCAAGCCTGCTGTCTTACTCCACCCAGAGCTCTTGTCTTTTTTGCTGTCTCCCCATAATTCACCCCAGCCACAATCGGCTGGGCAGGGGCTCAGGAGCTACCCCAGCACCCCCGTGAGGGGGCTGAGCCCGAGCCTCTCCCCTGATGACCCTGGGTAGGTCAGGGTGCAGCAGGTCCCTGACCTGGGCCCACCAGCTTATGGCCAGTCCAGGACACCTGAGATCTAAGCAGGGTCCTAGCTAGGCCCGCTCCGCCATCTTAGAGTGCAACCCCTGAATACCACCCTGAAGGCGGGAGGCTCATGTGAGCCCCATGAGCCCAGCCACTCCAGCGCCAAAGCCATGCCTAATCCTGGCAGAACAGATGCCACATGCTTAGGGACAGGGCTGCAGTGGGGCATCTTGTGTGTGCCTTTACTTGCCTCTCCCCCACCCATCATTTTAAAGAACCTTCCAGACTTGGCTCAATGTACTGTCTCTTAAGGTATCTTCTCTCTTCTGGCTGTTGGATGGGTTTGTGGATGGTTGGTTACTGAACACTGACTTTATTGTGCACAGGGAAAGGGAACTCACTTTACTTGGTGCCTGGAATGTCACTCTAGGTTTTTAACATGCTTCTGTTGGACTTAAGTACTGATAAAGCTGCTGTTCATAGCAGTCCAGAGGTAAAACCAAGGCCTCAGCTGGAGAAAGCATGCAGAGGCTTAGTCTTGGGGAGCAAACCCACTCCCACAAGGGGTCCTGGGTGCTGGTTAATGCACCTGCATTTTTCCTTTATTGACAGAACCAGCTTTCAGGATATCTGCTAAGAAAGTTCAAAAACAGTCATGGCTGGCAGAAGCTCTGGGTCGTCTTTACCAACTTCTGTTTGTTCTTCTACAAAACTCATCAGGTACTGGAGTTTCACTGGAGCCCAATGCAGGTGATGCTAGCAGACAGACACTTAACCCTGCTCACCTGTGTCCCTTTTGTATTTTGGTTCTGCCCTCCCATGCTTTGCCCACACACCCTGTGCTGTGTGAACAGGGAAACTGGCTCCCTTGGCCCGTGGGCATTTGTACGTGCCACCGTTGTGCAGGTAGCAGAGGAATGGGCATTCCCTGTGGCAACCCAGCCCCTGGAACCCGTGTCCCTATGCTGTCTTGCAGGATGACTACCCACTGGCCAGCCTCCCGCTGCTGGGCTACAGCGTGAGCATCCCCAGGGAGGCCGATGGCATACACAAAGACTATGTTTTCAAGCTCCAGTTCAAATCCCACGTCTACTTCTTCCGGGCTGAGAGCAAGTACACATTTGAAAGGTAATTTTGCAGGAGGCAGCCCTGGTCAGCTGCCCATTTCGATGTCCGCTCAGCTCCCATTTCTACTCATGGTGGTGGAGGCAAGTTTTCTGGGCCCTGGAAAGGAAGGGCTGAGCAATGCTTCCAGCATTTCCAAAAAACAGCAATGCTTTGTTTTTTTTTTTTTTGGAGATGGCGTCTCCCTCTGTCACTCAGGCTGGAGTGCAGTGATACAATCTTGGCTCACTATAACCTGCACCTCCAGGGTTCAAGCGATTCTTCTGCCTCAGCCTCCTGAGTAACTGAGATTACAGGCATGCACGCCACGCCGCCTGGCTAATTTTTGTATTTTTAGTAGAGACAGGGTTTCACCATGTTGGCCAGGCTGGTCTCGAACTCCTGACCTCAAGTGATCCATCTGCCTCAGCCTCCCAAAGTGCTGGGATTATAGGCATGAGCCACCGCACCCGGCCCCAGGTTTTTAACCCTTCTTTTGTCCTGCTTGTCCCATATCCTGGGTTGTTCTTGGGACAGTGTCTGAGCACAAGATGGCTCACTGGTCTGATGGCCGCCCTCTCCTCCAGGTGGATGGAGGTGATCCAGGGGGCCAGCAGCTCAGCCGGGAGGGCCCCAAGCATCGTGCAGGATGGCCCCCAACCCTCCTCAGGGCTGGAGGGGATGGTCAGGGGGAAGGAGGAATGACGCTCAACCTGCCCAGGTTTGGACACAACTACAAAGAACAGCAGGACACAGAGGTGACCTCTGTCCTGAGGCTTCTCAACAGATGGGAAGTGGCTGTGGTCTCACTGGATCCCCACTGGCACCAGCAGTGTGGGTGGGCCTCATGTAACATCTGGGAGGGGCTTCATCCCCCCACCCAGGACCTAGTGCATGCCAGCAGCTATCTGGGGCCCTGGGAAAAATGTGCGAGTCTTGAGCGCGGAGCCGCTCAAGCCACAGCTCCCAGGCCCCTGGCTCAAAGACGCAGACAAGGCCTGAGCAGTGCTCTCGGCATCGGACCAAAGCCTGGGCACACCCTGCCTCTCTCCCCAGAGCAGGGTCCCTGCCGAGGACTGGCCTAGAGCAAGCACTGGAAAAGAGGCCCTGCCATACACCCTGCGTACCCACTGCCAGGACCCTCTCAGACAAGCGTGGCACAGCCATGCTGACCTTCCATCTGGTGAACCAAGTGGCAGCCCCAGGGGCCTGCCCTGCAGGTCACAGCTAAACAAGTCTGGCAGAAGCCACGCTTGTTCCCCATGTACCTCTAGAGAAGCAGAAACCAAAGTCCCCCTGTGCCCTGGGAGGGTGGGGCCGTCTAATTTATTACTGCCCAGCATTCCTTCCAACGGGAAGTAGATGGGCGACTGCTTTGTTCACACACATTTGATTAAAAATAAACAAACAGCATCTCCCCACCTGCATTCTCCTCTGCCTGCTCTGTTCTTCCGGTGGGCCAAGCAGAGCCCAGGAATCCGTCACAGGGAAGTTTCGAAGGGGGGCTGGGCTGCCGTCTCTGCGTGCTGTGATGAGGACTCGGGACCAGGGACGCTGCAGCCCCGCATGGCCCGGGCCCCACCACACACACCTGCATGTCTCCAAGTCAGGTCTTTATTGAAAGTGGCAGGGGCCTCTCAATGTTCTATGAAAACTAACATATTAACCTCAGAATATTTCAGGAAACAAGTAATTCAATTTTCTTAAAAAACAAAACATTCTGGATGACACAAGTACTTATGAGCAGACACAGTACCTGATCCAACACCACAAGGCAAATCTATGGCCATCATGGGCCCCGGGAGGACAGCGGCCAGGACACTCCTCTGGGGGCTGCCCTGTTGCCTCTCCCCACCTCATGGGAGGAGGAGGCAGAGCTGCCCTGATAGTTGCTCTGCGCCTTGGTCTGAGCGGCCATAGGGCTGCATGAGTCTGCAGAAGACCCAGGCGTAGCTCATGAGGGCCACGCCGGCGGCTGGAGCCCCCGTGAGCAATACTGCTGGGCCAGGAGAGGGAGGAGGGCAGTGGGCATAGAGAACAGCGTCCCTGACGTGCACAACAGCACACTGCAGGGGTGGAAGGAGACGGTGACCTGGTGACCTGGCATGTGAGGCCCACGGGATCCGACGTGTCCCTGCAGGCACGACATAGCACAGGGCACCTTCCAAGTCAGCACAGTTCTTATGGAGCTCAGAACAAAAACAAACGACCTTCCGTCCCCTATCTGAACAGCAGTGCGCTTCAGCGGGTGGATGTCAGGTGGTTTCTGTTGTGTGAAAACCTGCAGAGAGAAGAGCCCACTGCTGCGTGCGTGCACCTCTGTGCCCAGGCTCCTGACGGCCTCTTGGGTGTGCAGTCTGCGGTGGCAGCCCTGACAAGCCACCGCACCACGTGGGTCTGAAGGTGTCCCCAATGCACAGGGTCTCAGGAGCAGCAATGACTGGCCCAGACCCCACCCCCAGAGCTGCTGCCCAGGGGCGCCGGGAAGGGGTCCCTGTGTGTGGACCAGGACTTGGCGCATCTGCCGGCGGCATGGCGGTTGGACCCTAAGTCCGTTGGGCGGTGGAGGGCCCAGCATCTGTCCTGCCCTGTCTCTTTGCTAAGGACTCGAGTCAGCACAGGGGCAGCTCTGACGTTTTGCCACCAGCGTGTCAGAGTAGCTCCCGGGAGCCACCAGGTGGAGGGGCAGAGGCCAGCTGAGGACAGCCATGTGGCCACTGAGGCCGGGACCCTGAGACACTGCCTCAGACCCTTAGACTGGAAAGGCCCTGCCCACTCTCTCCAGCCCCAAAGTCTCCATGGCCCTGTGAGCTGGGTCCAAACAAGGAAGAGGATGCCACGCCGCGCCTTCCCAGAGTGAAGCGAGCCCATGTAGTGCCAAATGCAGCCACACCCACGAGTGAGCACTGGACCTCACCCCACGTCCAGCTTCTTGGTGGGGGTGCTCTCCCCGACCCTATGGCACGGCCGCCCTCACCTCTGCACTCGCTCCACCAGGTGCACCATCAGCTTGTCTGAGATGCCGGGGCAGGACTCCTCGGCCAGGCTGAAGGCGTTCTCCAGCTCCTCCAGCGCACCCACGCTCCCGCCGCTCTGCTTGTGCTTCTCTTTGAGCTGTGAAAAGACCACCACGCCTGACCCTGGACCCCAGGACAGGCCTTCAGGGAGCCTGCTCCTTTGCTCGGCCACAGTGATGCCGGAGGCCTTCAGGGCTCTCGCCTAGGAGCCACACCCGGGAGCCCTTCAGCAAGCCGGGAAGTGAGGTGGCCCAAGGAAGCCTCTGCCCCTGCCCTGCCAACGGGGACCCTAGTGGTCCTTCCCCACAGCACCTACCTTCCCCCTACACTCCGGGGAATCTCGGACCTCGGTTCTCAGGAGGGGACCAGATGGCTTCCTCCCAGCCGAGGGTCATGGAAGCCACTCAATGGGTCTAATCAGACCCAAAAACACGAAGCCCAGAAACCCCCAAAGCACACGGCACCGCCAGGCCCAGATCTGACCTCCATCAGGACACCAGCATCTGAGCCTCCTGTCACCGGGTGTCACCCACCCTCGGGGGGCTGTGGCTGGATCAGCAGGCTGCCCAGGACCTGGACCCGAGTGGCTGCTTCCCGCTGGGGCCTCCACATGGGCTGGGGCCAACGTCCCTCGACCGTGCTCCTCCCTTTGCCGTCCTCAGGCAGGCCCTGCCTTCACCACCTCTCACCCACATCCTCCATCCTCCCTCCCCAGGCTCCAGGTGGGGCTCCTGGAGGGCACACCTGGGCCCAAGCCCGCTGGCCACGCCCTGGGCACACAGATCCTGGCTGTATCACATTTCTGAGGACGGTGCTGACTGCCCATCAGCAGGTGACGTTGATGCAGGGTCACGTGACTAACCAGGGCGGCACCTGCCCGGGGATGGACCCCGACTAAACCTTCTCTGCTTTCTCTATAGAAGGATCATCTGTGTTTGCACCTGAAGAAAAAAAAGTCACCCTAGGAACCCAGAGAACCTTGGCAGGTCTGGGAGTACAAAAGGAGTCATTGCAGCAGATTCTGCTCCTTCCACTCAGAAAACCCAGCCCACAATCAGCTGCAGGAAAGCTAGAAGCTGAAACCACCCCACAGTGCTGTGAGGGAGACATCTCCGTGCAACAGTGTCACAGCCTTGTCCTTGACGGGACTCCAGGCCCAGTCCCAGCCCCATCCTCACCTCTCCGAAGACGGGCCGGACCAGCGTGGACAGGCACTGGGACCTCGGCTGCCTCTTGACGGGCTCCGCAGGCTGCAAAGGAGTGGAGGCCCAGGGTGAGCAGGGCAGTGCAGGTGACAGGCAGGGCACTCCCATCCCTGCCCAGGCTCTAGCCTTGAAGAGACAGAGGCTGGGAGCAGCCTGTCGGGGCACATGTCCAGGGCCGGCCCCAAAACCATCAAGCCACCCGGATGGCCTGACTCTGAGGGCGACTCCCACCCTCTCCTGACTCTGAGGGCCTGTGACTCCCACCCTCTCCTGACTCTGAGGGCCTGTGACTCCCACCCTCTCCTGACTCTGAGGGCTTGTGACTCCCACCCTCTCCTGACTCTGAGGGCCTGTGACTCCCACCCTCTCCTCACAAATTTGGCTCCAAACAGGCCCTCATCTTCCCGGCACATGCTGGGGCTCGGGGTCTCCACACCAGGCCTAGTGCCACAGTGGGCTTCAGACCACCCCTGCCTTTCCCAAGCTCCTTGTCCAAGCTCCAGACACTGGGTGGACAAAGCTGGGTCCCGCATCCAGCCCATCCCACGGCCCCAGGGGTGCACAGAGGGCAAAGGCCAGGCCAGGAACAGACCTTCTGTGAACTGTGCAGGGCCGTCCCCTTGTGAAGCTTGCTGTGTGGACTCGGCCGGATGGTAGGGGGGAACGTCCAGATGGGGCCCTGCTCCCCGTCCTCCGCCTCGCCATCACTGAAGAGGATGAGGAGTTGCCAGGGCCAGTGGGGAGAGGGCCAGGAGGCATGAGGGCCTCAGGGCACACCTCACGGCCAAGGGAAACCCGAGGTACCAGACGGGGCTCTGCCAGGCCACGGGGTCCAGCTGATGCCTCAGCAGGCCCTGTCCTGCAGCCTTGAGGGGGTCCCTGCCCAACACTATATCTGGTCACCCTCACCCCCAGGGCCCACGCCCCTGCTTCTGGAGTGGGGACCACCCACGTCACAGCACCTAGGGTCACCATGAGGATAAACCAGGTCCCTACATGTCAGAGTCCTCAGAGCTGGACTCCTCGCCATGCCCCTCTGACTTCCAGCGCTTATAGCGGTCGATGAGCTCCGTGAGGAAGGAGGTCTTCTTGGTGTAGCGTGTGATGAACTTGTGCTTCAGGAGCTCCTTGGCCGTGGGCCGCTGCAGGGGGTCAGGGGAACACTAGTCACTGGGCCCAGCCAAGCTCTGCCTAAGGGAAGCAAACGTGAGGCAGCCTGGACCGGGGCGGGCCCTCACAGCTACAAGGCTGGTGGGCCTGGGCCTCCGGGCTGTGCCGCCCACCCCAAGCGAACGCCCTCCCTCCACGTCCTGTCTAGAAGGGACCGGGCCAGAGGCGGGCCTTACGAATCGGGGGTCTTTGTTGAGGCAGGCCTCCACGAACTCCTTGAAGGGCTTGCTGTGCTGGCCCTCCAGTGTGGGTGGGCTGTTCTTGGGAATCAGGAACAGGACGCGCATGGGGTGGAGGTCAGAGTTTGGAGGCTCCCCCTTGGCCAGCTCGATGGCTGTGATCCCCAGGGACCAGATGTCAGCCTGGACAGAACACAAGGACTGTTGCTGCCCTGAGCACCCGAGCCAGGCATGGTGCCCGCACCTGCCCGCCCGCTGCACCCACCTTGAAGTCGTAGGCCGACTGCTTGATGACCTCAGGTGCCATCCAGAAGGGGGTGCCCACGAATGTGTTCCTCTTAATCTGCGTGTCTGTGAGCTGCCCTGCTACCCCAAAGTCCGCCAGCTTCACGTCACCCTGCTCCGAGAGTAGCACGTTGGCAGCTGCTTGACACAGGACAGGCAGGCGTCATCCCAGGCTCCACGTGGCTCCACCCCGGGCCCCCTGAGAAGGGCCAGGGTACCATCCACCTGGCCTCCTAGGGCACAGCAGGGCTGTCCTCAGGACCTCAGCCCTCCTTGCCACTCTCAAACCCAGGGCCACCTAGGGCCACAGGGGCACTGCCAGCAGGAGCCCAACGGCTCCACTCCGAGCTCCAGGGCTCTTCCTGCATTTGGCTTTTACGACAAATCCCAACGACAAGCGACTTCGCCCACTGGGGGCTACCGCAGAGGTGACCCTGACCAAGGGTGTAGCCAACACGGGCCTGCCAGGAAGCCCCCTGCTCCACCAGAATCGTCCCCTACATGACAGAGATGGCTCGTTGCCAGTGGCAAGTCCCTCCCCATGGGCTGGCCCAGCCTCCCGTCTGCTCTCAGCAGGGCCAGACCACACGCTGGGGCTACTCAATTCTACACCTGCTGCTGTGCCGTGCACCACAGGGAACCAACAACTCCAGCCAAGTGTGGCCCTTTCCTACACTCAGTCCACAGCTGGTTTCCTCAGCGTACAAGGAAACCGTTACAAGTAGTATCTTCTGGAAAGGGAGCGAGACAGGACTGCTCAGTTTCAGGGTGGCCACAAGGTTCTCTATACTCCAGACCCTGGGCACCACTAGCCACTTGCCCCTCACAGGCCCCGGCCTCTCTAAGGTCAGTGGGGCTCAGGACGTTACAAGAGCCACATCCACCCCCAGCAGGACCTTTGATGTCTCGGTGGATCTTGCGTTCGGAGTGCAGATAATCCAGGCCCTTCAGAATCTCCCGCAGGATCGTGGCAATGTATGTCTCCTCCAGGGGACCTGGTTTAAGCTGGAGAGGAAGGTGCGACAGCAGGGCCTCAGCTCCTGTCCCAGGCCCAATGCCTGAGTTCTCTGCCTCTCTCACAGGGAAGGGCTGTCCCTGCAGATAGCTGGGGGCTTCGTGTTCCTTTACTTCCCAAACAGAACTAAGTTTCAGATGGGAGTGGGGTGGTGGAGGCTCTTTCTAAAGCATATAAACCAGCCTCACCTTACTGTCATGTAACAGAAAAATAGGCTCCCAGCCATCTCCCAGCAGGCCTGCCCCCGCCCACTCCCACAGGCCAGGACCCCTTTCAGCACCAACTGGGCAGACGTGCAGATGGCAGTTCATTTTTGCTTTAGACGATTCCTAATTAACACCTAACGTGCCATGACACCAAACGAGAGGTGGCCCCTGGAGCCCATGAGTCTGAGGGGCAGGGGACTCGGACACTGCATGACCCCCCACTGCCATGGCCTATGCCTCACCAAGTCCAGTGCTGAGCCGCCGCCCAGGTACTCCATGATGATCCATAGCTTGGTGCTCTGGGACCGGAGACAAACCCATCAGCATTTGGCAGCAAGAGGAAGGGCATGCTCCAGGGTGGGAGTCACAGGCCGGAGTCAGCCAGGGCCCAGGCCCCACCGGTCCCATCCCTGCCAAGAACCCTGAACAGGAAAGGGCTCTCTCGGCCTTGCCCATCTTCCCCTCCTGCCACACTACTGCTACAGATGCTCAGAGGACAGGTTGAGTACACACAGCAGTGGCTGACTCCACTTCACCAAGACCCCATCAAAAACCAGGCTGCTGATCCAGTCCTACAGGGCTGGGAAGAGGGCATGGCTGGCAAGCATGTGACCCGACACACCCATCACCCTCCTGGGCAGGATGGCCACAGCGTTCCCTACACCCCAGACACTGGCACCACCAGCCACCTGCTCCTCACAGGCCCACTCACCACTGCCAGTAGGGGCCCCCCAGAGTGCTCCTAGCAGCGCCCTCACTGCATTACCACAGGCAGGCAAGTGGGTCCCAATGGCCATTTAGAGCCAACTGACCCTCGTGGACGAGGGCTCACACCCTGCCTGCCCAGGGCAGTTTCCCGGAGGGCATGCACTGAACCGTCAAGACCGCCTTGCACCCTCTGGCATGTCACTCAGTCCCTCTGACATGGAAGAGAGCCGGGCACAGCACCAGCAGGGTCCCCGCCTCCCCACAACAGGCACCTTTAGGTAGGAGCCAAAGTAGCGGGTGATGTAGGGGCTGTCGCACTGACTGAGGACAGTGATCTCCTGCTGGATGTCCTCGATCTCATCCTCGGCCTCCTCCAGGTCGATGATCTTGATGGCCACCACCTCCTTTGTGTGGTTATCGATGCCCTTGTAGACCTCCCCAAACGAGCCCTTGCCAATGCGGTCGAGCTTGGTGAAGAGCTCCTCAGGGTCCACTCGAGAGTGCTGTGGGGCCAGGGCGGGGACAGAGGGCAGACAGCGCCGGTCACAAGAGGCGGGGGACAGGCAGAGGCTGCCCTGCTGGGGAGGAAGGGACCTGTAGGGAAGGGGGAGTCCAAGGGAGCGCACCTCAATTCTTCTCTGGTTTCTTCCTTTCTCCCTTTTTGTTCAAAAACTAAACTTGGCCGGGCGTGGTGGCTCACGCCTGTAATTCTAGCACTTTGGGAGGCCGAGGCAGGTGGATCACTTGAGGTCAGGAGTTCGAGACCAGCCTGGCCAGCATGGTGAAACCCCATCTCTAATACAAAAAAATTATCTGGGCGTGGCGGCTCATGCCTGTAATCCCAGCTACTCAGGAGGCTGAGGCAGGAGAATTGCTTGAACCCGGGAGGCGGAGGTTGCAGTGAGCCAAGACCGCACCATTGCACTCCAACCTGGGCAACAAGAATCAAACTCCATTAAAAAAACAAACAAACAAACAAATAACAACAACAAAAAAACCTAAACTGAACTTTCCATGCAAGGGAAAAAGTCCCCAGAAAGTATAAAGAGGCCAGGCCAACTCGATGAACCCTGCTGGAAACAGGAGCTTTAGGTGATGACACGGCATGAAGGTTGCCTCATCTAACCCGAACAACATGCCAGCCCCGTGACAGATGTTAATAGGTGAATGGCCCCTGGGGGTGAGGGGGGATTTGGGAGCTCTTACTTAATTTGTTATAAATCTGAAATTACTAAAAAATAAACTCATCAGGCCAGGCTTGGTGGTGCACACCTGAAATCCCAGCACTCTGGGAGGCCAAGGCGGGTTGATCACCTGAAGTCAGGAGTTCGCAACCAGCCTGACTAACATGGTAAAACCCCATCTCTACTGAATACAAAAAAAATTAGCCGGGCGAGGTTGCGTATGCCTGTGATCCGAGCTACTTGAGAGTCCAAGACAGAAGAATCACTTGAATCAGGGAAGCGGAGGTTGCGGTGAGCCGAGATCGCACCATCGCACTCCAGCCTGGGCAACAAGAGCGAAACTAGGTCTCAAAAAAATAAAAAATTTAAAAAAAAAAACCTCATCAAAAACAAAAAACCTCAGTATGTGTTAACCAAGTTCTCCTCCACTCCTGAAAGTCACGTATTTAGAAAGGGCTTCCCTCACCCCTCCATAAGTCCTCCTGACAGCTACACCAGCGCGGAGTTAGAAACTTGATGCTTTCTTGATGCAGAAAGCTGCCTCACACAGTCCTCAGATTTAAAGAAGCAATGCCTAAAAGTTTCTGAGCCAGTGGTGTGGAAGGTGCCTGGGGTCTGTGGCCCAGGCCCAGAGTCCAGGGGAAGCCAGCAGAGGTGTGTCCTCAAGCCTCGACCCTTTTTTAAATGTTTTTGAGATGGCTTCTCACTCTGTCACCCAGGCTGGAGTGTAGTGGTGCAATCTTGGCTCACTGCAACCTCTGCCTCCTGGGTTCAAGCGATTCTTCTGCCTCAGCCTCCCAAGTAGCTGGAATTACAGGCATGCACCACCACTCCCAGTTAATTTTTTGTATTTTTAGTAGAGATAAGGTTTCACCATGTTGGCCAGGCTGGTCTCGAACTCCTGACTTCAGGTGATCTGCCCATCTCAGCCTCCCAAAGTGCTGGGATTACAGGCGTGAGCCACCACGCACGGCCCCTCCCCTAACAACATCAAGGGTCTTGATGCCAATTTAGTGTGGCAGAGCATAAAAAGGCAAAACAGCCTGGGCGCGGTGGTTCACGCCTGTAATCCCAACACTTTGGGAGGCCGAGGCGGGCAGATCACGAGGTCAGGAGATCAAGACCACCCTGGCTAACATGGTGAAACCCCGTCTCTACTAAAAAATACAAAAAATTAGCCGGGTGTGGTGGTGGGCGCCTGCAGTCCCAGCTACTCGGGAGGCTGAGGCAGGATAATATCATGAACCCAGGAGGCGGAGATCGTGCCACTGCACTCCAGCCTGGGCGACAGAGCAAGACTCCGTCTCAAAAAAAAAAAAAAAAAAAAAGGCAAAACGACTAATTATGCCACAAAAAAAAACACTGAAGACAGGACAGGTCCTTGGGTGGGGGTGCCCTGCACGTTCCTGGGCCTGCGGAGACCGTGCCCACCAAGAAGGATGGGGTACACCACACACAGCCCTCACACTCACCCCCTGGACACCTGTGTGCTGGGTCCACCCCAGGCCTAAGCCCAGCGGAGGAGCTGGCTGAAGCCAACTGGACATCGCACCAGCCTGAGGCGACACTTCCGTGTGAAACTGCCAATTAGCTGACCTCCCAGGGTTCCTAACCAGGAGGGTGGAAGGGGCGGCACACAGGCCCCCACCTTGAAACATGCCGCTGCACATCCCTTTTTGAGTGCCAGACCTCGAGGTGACTGGAACTCTGGGGAAGGAAAGGCAGTTAGGGGAGGGCCAGAGGCCACCTAACCTTTCCCTGCAAGGCTGGCTTGTCAAGGCCCGGGGGTGTGCAGGTGGCCTCCATGCAGCAGCTAGAGCAGGCCAGCTGCAGTGTACACACAGACCCTTGCTTAGCCCAAAGGTCTGGCCAGTTGAGACAGCTGGTCGAGTCAAAAGTGACCTTTCTCATTCTCTCATCAGTACAGCAGCCCAGTCCTAAAGCCAGTACCCATGGAGGAAACAGCAGGGGGTGCCTTGAGCCCACCTGCTACCAGGAGTCCCCAAAGCCAAGGTCAAGAAACTCGGCAGGATAGAGAGAGCTGAGTACTGCCTGGGGTCATTCCGGTCAAGGTGAGCTGTGTCTGCCCCCAGCCCCATCACTGCTGCTGACCATGTGTTCTAAAGAGAAGCCAGGAAAAATTCAAAGCTGACAAGTCACAGGTGCTCAGCTGTCTCCGGGTTGAGGGTGGGTGGCACAGATGAGGTGAGAACCAGCCCCTATCTGAAAGGAAAGTCAACCCAGAACATGCAATCTTTTTTTGAGATGGGGGGTCTCGCTGTGTGCCCAGGCTGGTCTCCTCAGCCTCCTGAGTAGCTGGGCCCACAAGTGCATGTCAAAGCATAAGCTCATCAGCCCACTGGCTGTCATAGGTAAGCAGTCAGTGTTAAAATATCACCCTCCTGCCATAGAGAGCATCATCTCCGTTTCCTCCTCCCTGTTTGCTCCATTTCTGGTGGAGGACCACCCGTTCCTAGCCCAGTCCTGGATGCCAGGTGCAGGACAAGGTTAAGAAGCAGCCCCTCTTCTTTTTCTTTTTTTTTTTGAGATAGAGTCTCACTCTGTTGCCCAGGCTGGAGTGCAGTGGCGTGATCTCGGCTCACTGCAACCTCCGCCTCCCAGGTTCAAGCGATTCTTCCACCTCAGCCTCCCGAGTAGCCGGACTTACAGGCACCCGCCATCATGCCCCGTTAATTTTTTTTTTTTTTGAATTTTTGTAGAGACAGGGTTTCACCATGTTGGCCAGGCTAGTCTCGAACTCCTGACCTCAGGTGATCTGCAGAAGCAGCCCCTCTTCTGCCTGCTCCTCCTCCAGCAGGCCCAACGCCACCTTGTCAAATCCTCCCTGTTTGCTCAGCCCATCAACGCTTACTCGGGGCCCTGGGACGCTGCTCCACCGAGCCGTTAGCCTGTAGGCCTGGCCTCAGCCTCAACCCAACCCTGCCCAAGCACCCGGAAAGACCCCAAGGGAGTCCTCCTGGGGATTCCAGAGGTCTGTTGGTGCCCTGAGCTTGTGTCCTCCCATCTACTCCTGTCTAAGGTGGCCTGAGAGAGGGCCTGGAGAAAGCAGGGCCATGACCTGGCAGCATTACCCAGCACCACCACCCCTCCGACTCTTCAGGCCTCTCTGGATGACGCGTCCTCCCGCCCTGCTCTACTCCCTGCTCCCTGCTGAGGCCATGCTGCTCTCCACACAGGGCCTGGAGCTGAATCTGCTCCATCACAGCAGCCCCGGTAGGGAAACCCCTGGGTGGGCACTCAGACCTCTACTGCTTCACAGCAGGGGAGCACAGCGGACCCCTAAGCCAGAGCCAGGGCTCATCAGCCCAAGCAGAAACTGTGTGACAGGAACCCTCTTGGCTGTGATCCTGGCCCTACAATGACATCGCAGGCCAAGCCAAGGCAAGCCATCCCCACCCCCACCTGGAGAAGAAAGGGTAAGTGGGCCCCTGGCCTGGAGGCTGCGAATCCTCTTTTGGATGTAGCAGCAGCTGTGGCCTGGATGATCACTCGGGCCACTCAGCTGACTCGAGCGGTGGACACCTGTTCTCCACATTAGCCCTGGGGCTGCCAGGTCTGGGGCCTCCACTTGCCAATGTGTCTGCTGTCAGTGTTGCCCCACAAAACAAGGGGAATGACCCAGCACACATAGCTGAGTGGTGATACAGTGCTCTGGCACCCCACAGCCATTCGGGCCCTCCAGGGCCAGGCAGGAACTGGCCAGGTAGAGGGGAGAAGTCTAAGGCAGGAGCACAGGCTATGGGGGGAACGCGCCCCACTCTCCCACAAAGGGGCTGCCCCACAGGTCCACAGGACACCATGGCAACCATCTCAGGAGAAAACCACAGCCCCTCAGGTTTTCTGCCACTATATGAAGTCAAGTCTCTCATCATCCAGGCTGGGACAAAGGGATCCCTAAAAGGACAAAAGGAGCTTCCTACCTTTGGAATCCCTTCTCCAATGTGCCCGCACTCCCTTCCCTGTGTGCGATCGCACCAAGAACCAATAGCACACAGTTACAGGGCACCTCGGAGCTCCAATTTCTCATCCTGTGACCCAAAGGAGTTATTTCTGCAGTTCTTAAAAATAAACTGGTGGCCGAGCGCGGTGGCTCATGCCTGTAATCCCAGCACGTTGGGAGGCCAGGGCAAGCAGATCACCTGAGGTCAGGAGTTTGAGACCAGCCTGACCAACATGGTGAAACTCCGTCTCTACTAAAAATACAAAATTAGCTGGGCATGGTGGCGCATGCCTGTAATCCAAGCTACTTGGGAGGCCAAGACAGGAGAATCGCTTGTACTTGGGAGGCAGAGGGTGCAGTGAGCTGAGATTGCACCATTGCACTCCAACCTGGGCAACAAAAGCGAAACTCCGTCTCAAAAAAATAAAAATAAAGTAAAATAAACTGGTGGCAGATTTTTCTCCCAGCACCTTAGTCATGTAAGTTACCAGATACAGAATGCCAAAAGCAAACCAAAAATCTGTTAGCTTAATTCAGCAACAGTCAGCAAGCCCCAGTCTCATCTGTGACCACGCAGGTCCAGGTTGCCTGGCCCAACAGCTGCACATGGTGTTCCGGGTCTCTAGGCTGGTCCGGTTTCCTCCAAAGCAGCCCTGACTCCAGTTCCTGCCCCTACGCGAACAGACGCCCTTCCTGTTCCACTGCAGGCCCAACTCTCCATTCAGCACATAGGAGTGAACAAGGAGGGCCACACATTTTAGCGGCGATTCCAACGCCTTAGGTAGAGCCAAGGCATCAAGGAGAATAAAACCGAACAGCTAAGATGTAAGAAAACCCAGCGGCCAGAGTCAAAAAAGTGGGGAGGGGTAGAGAATGCAAGTCCCCAGGCCCCAGGTTGGCTGACCCCACCCTCCTTCCCCGGCAAGCCCTTTGGCACCAGCAGCTGGTCCTCATTCCAGGCTAAGGGCTCGCCGTAGTGGCTCCCTCCGAGGCTGTCCCACCAGACGCTTAAAGGTGGCTCCATAGTGGAAACGACTTCTTTAAAGAAGAAAGATGAGTCTCATGTTCGGGCAACCGCCCGTCGCAGGGGTTAAACGGTCCTGACAGAGCAGCCTTTTCACCCTCCCCTGGGCCAAAGCACACACGTGTTCTCTGCTTTCCCTGCACACCGGCCACTCAGATCTGCTTCTCCACAATCTCAGCCCCTCAGCGCCCGCCAGGGTCTCCCCTACAGCCCCTGCCCAGCCCAACACGGCCAGAATGACCCGCGGCCCAGGCCGAGGCCGCAGGGTGGCCCCCGACCTTCCACTGCCTTCGGATGCTGACATGAGGTTCCCGCCCCGCGCTGGGGGCAGCGCCCCGTCCCTGCGCCGGTGTCTCTTCACGCACCTCCACCGCCCTCGCACAGGCGGAGCCACCAGGGGCTCGGTTTCTAGAGGCCTGCGAGCTTCTGCCACGCAAAACGCCACAGGCACACGGCAGAGCCCCGGGGCCGCCCTGCGCCCACCTCAGGACGGCTCCGCTGGTCGCACGACGCGCGCTCCTTCCCTCACCCCACTGCCCGCTCCGGCGTGGCGCTCCCCTCTGAACCCCCAGGAGACTCTGGAGCCCCTCGGTGAGAGGCCGCTAGTCTTCCTGACCTGCACCCTTCTCACCTGGTTGGCAAATCCCCGGAGGTGAGCCATGGCCGCGCCGCCTCAGACCCTCCGCCAGCAGCCCCAGGAGGCGTCTGGATCCCGCGGAGAGGCGCGGAGCCGGCTAGCTCGCCCCTGCGGCGTCAGTCCACTGCGAGGGACACCAGGGGCGCTCGGTGCCCAGTTCAGTCATCTGAGACCGACCTCCGGGGCGGCGGGCTCCATGGGTGGGGGGGGGCCCAGGAGACCCCCCAGGCCGCCGGGGCCCCGCCACGCCCGGGCCTAACGCCCAGGCTCCCGGGGGCTCGCCGCCCCTCCCGTCGCCGCCCCCACCTCTTCCAAGGCAGCTTCCTCCCGGTGCCCCCGCCCCGGTGTCCCCGCCACCGAGCCCCGCCCCGGGCCCCTCCCTCTGCCCCCTCCCCAATCGCCGCAAGCGCCCCGCCCGGCAGCGCGCCCACCTCCGCGGGGCTCCATCCCGGCCTCCCCCGGCCCGCTCTGCAGCGCCCGCGAAGGCTCCCACCCGCAGCCTCTGTTCGCCCGGGGACCCCGGGCCTCCCAGCCCGCGAAGCAACGGTGGTGGCGGCAGCGACCGGAGAAAGCCCGGAGGCGACGGCGAGGGCGGTGCTCGGCGTCGCGGCCCGCGCACGGCTCTCTGGGACCCCGAGTCCCACCGCCCACTCCGGGCCCGGAAGCCTGCTGGCGTTGGACTACAAGTCCCGGCAGGCTGCGCGAGAGGGGGCCGGGGCTCGCATGCGCGCCGCGAGGCTCTCTGGGACCCCTAGTCCTGCTCCCGAAAGGTTTGGACTGCGTCTCCCGGCAGGCCGCGCGCCTGGGCGGGCGGGGCACGTGGTCGTTGTCGCGTCGCGCCCTCCCTGCCTCGCCCTCGCGGGTCTTCTGCGTTTGCTGGCGCCTGCCAGGCGTCGTCTCCGACGTTACGGCGGCCGCGCGGCCCTCTCCCTTGGGCTCTGCCCTGCGCAGCCCTGGTTCGAGCGGGCCAGTGAGGCCCGGCGCCCTCCCCGCCTCGCCACGAGGATCCACCGCGGCCGCCCAGGCTTCTAGCCTTGTCGTCACGGCACGGAGATAAGCCCGCGCTGGCCACATCGCGAAGCCCCTGTTCGTACTGAGACCCCGCCCGGGATCACGCGCACAGGCCAGGGCGCACCAGGCCTTGGAGAAGCTACCGGCACAGCCCATTCCTTGGGCGAGTTGCTTCGCCTCTCCTGCCTCAGTTTCCTTACCTGTCAAGGGGTGGTCATAGGACGTCCTTGGTCACACCGTTGTGGGACCCACCTGGGCTAGAGCGCGGGACGCGCCCAGGACAGTGACTGCTGCTGGAAGCCGTCATGGCACTCCCCAGGGTCCGGGAGGGACTTGCAGATCCCAAGGCTACCTGGTGCGTCCCCGTGCCCCGTGGGCCGCCAGGTCATAGTGCCCCCTGTGTGCATTCCCCTAGTGCACCGCAGGGATCCCCACCTGTCCGGTGAGGAAGATTTGTCCCTCCTGCATACTGTGTCCACCCTTACAGGCCCTCACTCTCCATGATGGCTCAGCACAGGTGACTATCCTGACCTCCTCACATCCCTCCTTCTTCGAGAGGGTTCTGGCGTTTCTCTCTGCTCCCTGGTGCGTGTCTTCTCATGGTGCACTGCCGAGTCCTTTAAGAAGCTATGCTTCCCTGTCATGCGTCCAGGACAGCCCCTTGAACCCCTCCTGGGTCCGCATCTCTCATCACCCCTGCTTCTTTACGTACTGACTTGGCTTTGTTTGTGCTTTGACTCCCCAGGAGAAAGTGGGCTTCCTGCAAGCGGAGCTGTGCCCAGGACCATGCCAGCCCACGGCAGGCGCTCAGTAATGTTTGTTGAATGAATGTGTAAATGCATGAAGATAATATATGTATTTAATGCATGTAAATAGATGCCTGCTGCATCTCTGGCCTTCGTGTGGTCAGTAATCGCTGCACTTTTCCGAAGTGCCTAGAAGAGGCTGGGAGCAGTGGCTCACACCTGTAATCCCAGCACTTTGGGAGGCTGAGGCAGGCAGATCACTTGAGGTTGGGAGTTCGGGGCCAGCCTAGCCAACATGGTGAAACTTCATCTCTACTAAAAATACAAAAATTAGCCAGGCATGGTAGTGCGTGCCTGTAGTCCCAGCTACTAGGGAGGCTGAGTCAGGAGAATCGCTTGAACCTGGGAGTTGGAGGTTGCTGTGAGTCAAGATCATGCCACAGTACTCCAGCCTGGGAGACCGAGCAAGGCTCTGCCTCAAAAAACAAATTAATAAAAGTGCCTAGAAGAGTTTTTCAGCCTTTGCCTGCTTTTGGCCAATTGTTAACCCTTTGCTCCTGGCTGCTGTCTTGCTAAGCTGCCGTCCGGACGTGATCATCACCATGTCTTTTCCTGCATTGACCTTCCAGGCCCTTCATCCCGTTTCTCTTGTTTTCCATTTCTTTTTTGTTGTTGTATACTTCTGTTATTCTTCGGGGTTTTTGTTTGTTTGTGTGTTTGTTTTGAGACGGAGTCTCACTCTGTCTCCCAGGCTGGAGTGCAGTGGTGCGATCTTGGCTCACTGTAACCTCCGCTTCCCAGGTTCAAGCGATTCTCCTGCCTCAGCGTCCTGAGTAGCTGGGATTATAGGCGTGCGCCACCACCCCCGGCTAATTTTTGTATTTTGAGTAGAGACGGGGTTTCATCATGTTGGTCATGTTGGTCAGGCTAGTCTCAAACTCCTGACCTCGTGATCTGCCCACCTCTGCCTCCCAAAGTGCTGGGATTACAGGCATGAGCCACCACGCTCGGCCTTATTCTTCGGTTTTATCTTTCAACTTTCATATAAAAATTTTCTTTTCAGTGATTCTTTCTTTTTTTTTCCCAGATAAGGTCTTACTCTGCCACCCAGGCTGGAATGCAGTGCGGCAATTTTGGCTTACTGCAACCTCGACCTCCCAGGCTCAAGCAGTTCTCCCACCTCAGCTCCCCATGTAGCTGGGTCCACAGGCACATGTCACCACACCCAGCTAATTTTTGTGGAGACGGGGTCTCCCCATGCTGTCCAGGCTGTTCTCAAACTCCTGAGCTCAAGTGATCCTTCCGCCTCAGCCTTCCAAAGTGCTTTCAGAGTACAGGTGTGAGCCACTGAGCCTGGTCTCTATTTTTCACCTCCAAGAAATTTTAGTTTTTTCTCTGGGCACTCACTTTCTTCCTTGGGAATATGGCGCTAATAGTACTTTTCTTGTAGATTGTGAGAATAACACCGTATGTGGCGGGCCTGGCCCTTGGCAGGTGCTCAGAGAGTCACTGTGTTTATTATTGACAAGGCTGACCTTGGGTGGGAGGAGGGAACACTCACAATTGAGCCCCTTGGGCAGCTTACCTTCAGGTCCAGTCACTTGGTGACTGCAACAGCCCTCCGAGGCAGGCAAGGGATAACTAAGAGGTAAAGGGACGTGCCCAAGGCCACAACCAGAATATGGCAAAGACAGGATTGAACCCAGGTCTCCTGAGTCCTGTTTGTATGCTGCTGGGAATTCAGGTAGGAGTGGAGAGAAGCTGGAGTTGGACTTTGTGTCAACCTGGGTCAGGTGTGAGTTGGCCAAGCCACCCTCTGGTTTGACAGACAAGGAAATGAAACCCAGAAAGAGGACAGCATAGCAGCATCTGGATTAGAACTGGGTTCCCCTTCTGATTAAGATAAGAGATCGGGCACTTGAGCTTGTTCTTCTTTCCCTACCAGGGACCTGATAACTTGTCAAAAGGGGCTCAGGAAGGGAGGCTAAACCCTGAAACTGTTCAGAGAAAGGAGTGGGTTCCCAGCAGGTGAGTGCCACAAATGTCCAGAGGTAAAGCTTGGTGACAGTGAAATGGGGGGAAGAAGCCTTCACTTGAGCCCCCTCCATTGGATACAGAGCCCTGGAAAGGTGAGGGGCTGGAGCTGGGGGAGAGGAGGTCGACAGCAGAGACACCATGGAGACAGGTATGTGCATGAGTCAACAGCTTCCCACTCCTCATCCCTCCATCCCCTCACACACACAAATCATACAGCAACAGGGTTTCCTAGCATAAATAATGTGGGGGTATTCCAGAAAAAGACACCCCTGTAAGGTGGGATTTAGGCTGGCCTGAGAGTGGGCTTCCTACACAGTCTCTACAGCAAAGCCCAGCGCTTGACAAGTCCTGCTTTTGAATGCAAACTCCTTGTGAGCTTCCTAACACCTCAGTCTTAGTCTCTTTAAGACTGCTAAGGATATTGGGTATTTGGGAAGACTTTCAACATGAACAATAGAGACCAACGTAAATTAGAAAGATGACGTGAGAAGAAATAGAAACACAGAGAAATGAAGAGCATTCTGGAACCTCGTTAGAACATTCCTAGAACAAACACAGAATGCTTCAAGAAACAGCCCAAGAAAAGGCTATCAGGAGATAAAATGACAATAGATTAAAATTACCGCAGGCTCTTGGATTCTTACTTTTGGAGAAGTCAGCCTAAGAAATCTACCCAGAAACTCATGTGGAAAAGACACACAAAGGTAGATGCAGAGCCAGCCCTGAGCTGTGTGGCCACCCCAATGTCAGACACATGAATGGAAATGGAATTCCAGCCTAGGTGAGCCTTCAGACAGCACCACCCCTAGGTTCTGTCACCACAACTCTTAGGAGGAGCCACTCAGCTGGGCTCAGTGAACCCACAGAACCAAAGACATTGATAACATGTTTTAAGAAAAGTAAAGTTTAGACTGGGCGCGGTGGCTCACGCCTGTAATCCCAGCACTTTGGGAGGCTCAGGCTGGTGGATCACTTGAGGTCAGGAGTTTGAGACCAGCCTGGCCAACATGGTGAAACCCCGTCTCTACTAAAAATACAAAAATTAGCTGGGCATGGTGGCACACGCCTATAGTCCCAGCTACTTGGGAGGCTGAAGCAGAAGAATTGCCTGAACCTGGGAGGTGGAGGTTGCAGTGAGCTGAGATCATGCCATTGCACTCCAGCCTGGGCGACAGAGCAAGACTTTGTCTCAAAAAAAAAAGAAAAAGTTTATAATTTCAGCATGTTGGAAGGTCAAGGTGGGAGAATCACCTGTGTCCAGGAGTTTGAGACCAGCCTGGGCAACATGGCAAAGCACTATGTATGCAAAAAATGCAAAAAAATTAGCTGGATGTGGTAGTGTGTACCTATGGTCCCAGCTAGTTGGGAGGCTCAGGTGGGAGGATTGCTTGAACTCGGGGAAGTGGAGGCTGCAGTGAGCTGCGATCATACCACTGCACTCCAGTCTGGGCAACAGAGTGAGACCCTGTCTCCAAAAAGAGAAAAGAAAAGTTTAGTTGGAAGATAAAATTAAGGAACTCAGGAAGTAAGATAAGCTTAGAAGTTCAAGTCCAGTACCAAACTAATGGGAATTCCAGAGAGGAAGAAAGTGCCAAAAATTCCTTTTTTTTTTTTTTTTTTTTTTTTGAGTCTTGCTCTGTCACCAGGCTGGAGTGCAGTGGCATGATTTCAGCTCACTGCAACCACCGTCTCCCAGGTTCAAGCAATTCTGCCTCAGCCTCCTGAGTAGCTGGGACTACAGGCATGCGCCACCACACCCAGCTAATTTTTGTATTTTTAGTAGAGACAGGGTTTCACCATGTTGGCCAGGATGGTCTTGATCTCTTGACCTCGTGATCCACGGGCCTCCTCCTCCCAGAGTGCTGGGATTACAGGCGTGAGCCACCGTGTCCGGCCAAGAAATCTTCATTTCCCAGAGTTCAAGGATTTTGGTCTCTGGGTAAAAGGAGGCACTGAGCTCCCCCCATGGTGAATAGGAGAGGACCAAACCAAGACACATTGGTATGAAAAACCAAGAGAGCAAGGATCAGCAGAAGACCCTAAAAGTTTCCAAGAGGAAAATACAGAATTCCTTCAAGGGATGGGCTGGGTGCAGGCTCATGCCTGTAATCCCAGCACTTTGGGAGGCCGAGGCGGGTGGATCACGAGGTCAGGAGATCAAGACCATCCTGGCTAACAGCGTGAAACCCCGTCTCTACTAAAAATACAAAAAAAATTAGCTGGGCATGGTGGCGGGCACCTGTAGTCCCAGCTACTCGGGAGGCTGAGGCAGGAGAATGGCGTGAACCTGGGAGGCGGAGCTTGCAGTGAGCCGAGATGGTGCCACTGCACTCCAGCCTGGGCAACAAAGCGAGACTCTGCCTCAAAAAAAAAAAAAAAAAAAAAAAGAATTCCTTCAAGGGATGAAGAATCAGAGGGCATCACTTCTCATCAGCAACATGGGATGCTAGAAGATAGTGGAGAAATACATTCAAAATGTAGAGGTGAAACAGTTGTCAACACAGAATTGGTTACCAAGTATAAGAATGTAATAAAGACATTTTCAGATTTGCACTACTTGGGAAAGCAAAAAGTTTACAAGCAAATGTATCAGGTGTCTGTTGCTGCATGACAACTCCAAAACTCAGCGGCTAAAAACAATACTTTGTTTTGCTCAAGAATCTGCAATTTGGACAGGTCTTGATGGGGCACCTCTTTTCTGCTTCACATGTGCCAGCTGGGGCTGGAGGATCCAAGTTGAAGAAAACTCGCTTATGTGGCCACTCGGTCTGTACTGGTTGAAGGCTGGAGCTCATCCAGGGCTGTGAGCCTGGGGCCTCCATTCTTCTCACTGGCTTCTCGAGCTTTCTCACAGTGTGGTAGGCAGGAGAGGGGATGAGAAGGTTGCATTAGTCTGCTCAGGCTGCTATAACAAAATACCAGCCTATGACTATGACAATAGACATTTATTTCTGACGGTTTTGGAGGCTAGGAAGTCTGAGATTAAGATGCTGGCTGATTCAGTTCCTGGTGAGGCCCTCTTCCTGGCTTGCAAATGGCTGCCTTCTCACTGTGTCCTCACATGGCAGACAGAGAGCTCTCTGGTGTCTCTTTTCATGAGGGCCCGATCCTGTTGGATCAGGGATCCACCCTTATGAACTCATTTAACTTGCATTAACTCCTTGTAAGCTTTATCTCCAAATACATTGACGGTTAGGGCTTCAGCATATGAACTTTGGAGTAGAAGAGACACAAATGAGTCTGCAGCAGGAGATTCCAAAGGCTAGCATTCTGGAAGGAAAAGGTGCCAGTGCATGGCTTCGTAATGACCTGGCACAGTGCATGGCTTCGTAATGACCTGGCAGCTGGTTAGCACCACTTCCACCATCGTCATGGCTCACCCAGATTTAAGGGGGGAAAGCATGTAACTCACATTGTGAGACAAACATAGAGGAGGGAGGTAATGTTGAGGCCATCTTTGGAAAACACAAAGATGAGGGAATTATAGCTGTCACAGGCTCAGCAGTAATGTCTTAGGCTTAATAATGTAATTCCCATATGTTGATTTTTAACATTTATAATTATTCTCTATAGAACGTGAAGGTTTTCCACTTTAACCATGTAGAAGTAGAAGTAAGGAAGAAGATAGAAAAATGGCATCTAGAAGTAGGAGAAGAGAAAGGGAAACTGCACTTCAGTCTTAGTTCAGAAAATGTCAGAATCACTTTTAGTTTCAAGCCACCGAGAGCAAAGACAACAATATGAACTGCTGCCTGGCCACAAAAGCTAAGGTTTTTTTGGTGTGAGAAGAAAGCATAGGACACTTCGGTGGGTAAAGAATGTTTTAAAACTCCAAGTCTACGGGACGTTTACATATGTACCATATAATAATTAAGAGTGAGTACAGCAGGGCAAGGTGGCTCATGCCTGTAATTCCAACACTGGGAGGCCGAGGCGGGCGGATCATTTGAGGTCAGGAGTTTGAAACCAGCCTGACCAACATAGTGAAACCCCATCTCTACTAAAAATACAAAAAATTAGCTGGGTATGGTGGCACACGTCTGTGATGTGAGCTACTCAGGAGGCTGAGGCACAAGAATCACTTGAACCCAGGAGGCGGAGGTTGCAGTGAGCTGAGATTGTGTCATTGCACTCCAAACTGGGTGACAGAGCTAGACTACGTCTCGGGAAAAAAAAAAAAAATTAACTGGGCCTGGTGGCGGGCGCCTGTAGTCCCAGCTACTCCGGAAGCTGAAGCGGGAGAATCTTTTGAACCTGGGAGGTGGAGGTTGCAGTGAGCTGAGACTGTGCCACTGCACTCCAGCCTGGGTGACAGAGTGAGACTCCATCTCAAACAACAAACAAAAAAAGATACGTAGATTAATGAAATCAAATTCATTACCAGAAATAGACTTATGATCAATTGATTTTTTAAAAGTATGCCAAGACAATTCAGTTGGGAAATAATTACTTTATTTTAATTGTTTTGTTTTAGCTCTGTTCCAGCCAGTGAACAAAGGGGAAGAGTAATTTTTTCAACAAATGGTGCTGGGATCTTGCAGATACCTGAACATGTGCAAGCTGCTGGAGGGCAGCATGCCCAGGGAGGGCAGATAAGCTCTGTGCTCACACCCCCACAACACACACACAAACACACCCAACACACACACACACCCAACACACACACCCCCAGCACACACACCCCCAACACACGCACACCCCCAACACACGCACACAACACACACACACCCAACACACACCCCCAACACACACCCAACACACACACCCCAACACACACCCAACACACACACCCCAACACACACACATACCCAACACACACACTGAACACACACACAACACATACCCAACACACACACAACTCCAACACACACATACACATACCCAACACGCAACACACATGCACACCCCCAATACACACTCAACACACCCAACACAACACACCCAATACACACAACACACACCCAACACACACACACGCCCAACACATATACCCAACACACATCCCAACACATACACAACATACACACACACCCAACACAAACACACCCCCAACACACACACACCCCCAACAAACACACCCAACACACACCCCGAACACACACCCAACACACACACCCCAAACACACCCCCAACACACACACAAACACACCCAACACACACACACCCAACACACACCCCCAACACACACACCCCACCACACAACGTGCACACCCAACACACACACCCAACACACACCCCCAACACACACACACCCAACACACACACACCCAACACACACCCCCAACACACACACCCCAACACACACACACACCCAACACACATACACATACCCAACACGCAACACACACATGCACACCCCCAATACACACTCAACACACCCAACACAACACACCCAATACACAAAACACACACCCAACACACACAACACCAACACACACACCCCAACACACACATATACCCAACACACACACCTGACATATACACACACCCAACACACACACAAACATACACAACACACACATATACACCCCCAATACACACAACACACGCCCAACACACAAATACACAGCCCCAATACACACATGCCCAACACACACATATACCCAACACACATCCCAATACATACATAATGTACATACGCAACACCCAACACACACCCCAACACATACAACATACACATACCCAACACACACGAAACACACACAAAACACACACACACCAACACACAACACGTAGATACCTCAACACACACAATACACATACCCAACACACAACACGTAGACACCTCAACACACACACAACACACATACCCAACACACACACTAATACACTAATACACACAACACCCCACACCAACACACAAACATACACAACACATACACGTACACACACCCCAACACACAAACCCCAACACACACATCCAACACACACACACACAACTGGATATCCACATGCAAAAGAATGAAGTTAGACCCAATCAACTAAAAACGGATCATGAATTTGAATGTAAGCGCTAAAACTATAAAATAGCTTATTAGATATGACAAATGCACAAGAGACAAAATTTAAAAATAGATTAATTCAAATTCACCAAATTGAAAACTTGTATGCTTCAAAGGACACCATCAAGAAAGTGAAAAGGCAACCTACCAAATGGGAGAAAGTATCTGCAAATCATCTGTCTGATAAGGGACTTGTATCCAAGATATATATTTTAAAAAGTTCTTACAATGCAATAATAAAAATATAAATAACCCAATTTAAAAATGGGCAGGGCTAGGCATGGTGGCTCACACCTCTAACCCCAGCACTTTGGGAAGCTGAGGTGGAAGGATGGCTTGAGCCCGGAAGTGTGAGACCAGCCTGGGCAGCAGAGCAAGATCTCATCTCTACAAATAATTAAGAAAATTAGCCAGGCGTGGTTGTACATGCCTGTGGTCCCAGTTACTCAGGAGGCTGAGGTTAGAGGATCACTTGAGCTTGGAAGGTAGAGGCAGCAGTGAGCCGTGAGCTTGCTCCACTCCAGCGAGGGGAGTAGAGCAAGACCCTGTCTCAAAAAAAAAAAAAAAAAAAAAAAGCAGGGGATATATTAATATTTATATTAAAACGTTGTTTATCTGAAATTAAAATTCCACTGTGTGTTCTGTATTTTACCTAGCACCCTAAAGGAACAATTACCCATCAACTGAAAACTACTCATTCCTGCATAACAAATATTAGACCAAGACCTGAAAAGATCCAACCGTTTCCAAGTAACTTAATTGCATCAAAGAACAAAGCTCAGGAATATTTATAGGAATACAAAAATATGCAGCACCCAACCAAGTAAATTACATGACAATGATAATCTCATGGAAAGTTAGCAGGCATGCAAACAGCAGGAAAATGTTAGCCTTGGTTGGGTGCAGTGGCTCACGCCTGTAATCCCAGCACTTTGGGAGGCCAAGGCAGGCAGATCACGAGGTCAAGAGATCGAGACCATCCTGGCCAACACGGTGAAACCTCGTCTCTACTAAAAATACAAAAATTAGCTGGGTGTGGTGGTGCGCGCCTGTAGTCCCAGCTACTCAGGGGGCTGAGGCAGGAGAATCTCTTGAACCCGGTAGGCGGAGGTTGCAGTGAGCCAAGTTCACAGCACTGCACTCCATCCTGGCAACAGAGCGAGACTCCATCTCAAAATATATATATATTAGCCTTGAGGAGAAAAATCAACCAATCAAAAACAACTCGTAGTTAACACGAATGTTAGAATTAACAGACAAGTATATTAAAAGTTATTATAACTGTATTTTACATATGAGAAAAGTTAAGTAGAAACATGGACCTTATAAAAACGCCCGAAAGTAATTTTCTAGAGTTGAAACTGCAATGTGTGATATGAAAGATACACAGGACGGGATTCACAGCAGACAAGACACCGCAGAGGAAGAGCCTAGTGAGTGTGGCCCTCGCCTGTAATCCCAGCATTCTGGGAGGCCAAGGCGGGAGGAGCATTTGAGGCCAGCAGTTTGGGACCAACCTGGGCAACATAATGAGACCCCATCTCAATAAAAAAAAATTTTTTTAAAAGTTTAGATAATTTGAAAACATAGTGATAGAAATATGCAAAATGAAACAGAAAGAAGAATTACTTTTTTATTTTTATTTTTTGAGACAGAGTTGCGCTCTGTCACCCAGTCTGGAGTGCAATGGCACCATCTCGGCTCACTGCAACCTCCGCCTCCCAGGTTCAAACAAGTCTCTTGCCTCAGCCTCCTGAGTAGCTAGAATTACAGGCGTGTGCCACCACGCCCGGCTAATTTTTGTATTTTTAATAGAGATGGGGTTTCACTATGTTGGTCAGGCTGGTCTCGAAATCCTGATCTCGTGATCCACCCACCTCAGCCTCCCAAAATGTTGGGATTACAGGCGTGAGGCACTGCGCCCGGCAGAAAGAAGAATTTCTATAAACAAAGAGTGCCATTGAGCCATGCGACGATCTAGGATGTGTTCGCATGGAGTGAGTGAAAAACCGCAGGTAGCTGCACTTACTCAGGACATAAACCCTCCCTGGGGAAAAGCAACACATCTGAGCCTCCAGCAGCCCCTCCTGGCCTCAGGCAGAAGGGAGGCTTCAGCCACAGCTGCCTGGACTCTGAGTTTAACTCACGGAGGTTGGTTGCTCCAGGTTCCCTAGTAGAGTAGAGCTAAAATCCAAGTCCCCAGACTGCTGCCTCCTATTCCCACATACTCACTTCTCCCCAGGAAGACGGATGTGTGCGGTAGCGTCAGGCACACGTCCCTGTGTGGCCTTGGGCAAGTTACTTAACCTTTTTGAATTAAAATTTCTTTATTTCTAAATAGGAGTGATAAACGCTTGTGGAGGCTGTTTATTTGGAGTATATGGGGGTAATAATTCAATGAAAAAATGAAGAAAACTTGCTGAAGAAGGCCCCTGCCGGGCATGGTGGCTCATACCTGTAATCCTGGCTACTCAGGAGGCTGACGCGGGAGGACTGCTTGAGGCCAGGGGTTAAAGACCAGCCCTGGGCAACATAGCAAGACCCAGTCTATACAAAAAATTTAAAAAATTAGCCAGGCATGGGGTATGCCTGTAGTCCCAGCTTCTTAGGTGGCTGAGGTGGGAGGATTGCTTGAACCCACAAAATAAAATAAAATAAAAAGACCGGGTATGGTGGCTCATGCCTATGATCCAGCACTTGGGGAGGTCACAGTAAGAGGACTGTTTGAGCCCAGGAGTTTGAGACCAACCTGGGCAACATAAGGAGACCCTGCCTTTACACAAAATTTACAAATTAGCTGGGCATGGTGGCAGCTGCCTGTGGTCCCATTTACTTGTAAGACTGAGGTGGGGGGGATCACTTGAACCCAGGAGGTCGAGGCTGCAGTGAGCTGTGATTTTGCCACTGCACTCCAGCCTGGATGATGGAGAAAGACCCTATCTCGAAAAAAAAAAGTTAAATCAAAAGAAGGGAGGGGCCTCACCCCACTTCCTCCCACAGTCCTGAACTGTGACTGAGGGCAAGGCTCTGAGGTGAGAAAGTCCACTCAACCCTTGTTTCCTCCAGAAACCTTTCCCAGTTAATTTTTATTTTTTTCCAGCTTTATTCAGGTACAATTCAAAATTTAAAACTGTATGTACTTAGGGCATGCAACATGATGATTTGATGCACATACGTACTTTAAAATGATTACCACAATTGAGCTAACATGTTCCTCACCTCACAGAGTTACGTTTGTGTGTGTGTGTGCGTGTGTGTGTGTGTGCGTGGTTAGGATACAAGATCTCTCTTAGCCAATATCAAGTGTACGAGACGTGATTATTCATCTTATAGCTGACAGTTTGTACCCTTCTACCAACGTTTCCCTGTTTATCCTACCTCCCAGGACCTGGTGACTACCCCTTCTGTTCCTTGTTGCCGTGAGTTCACCCTTTTTGCTTTCCGTAATAAGTGAAATAATGCAGTATTTGTCTGTTGATGCCTGGCTTGTTTCACTGGGCACAGTGTCCTCCAGTTTCATCCATGTTGTCTGTCACAAATGACAGGATCATTTCCTTCTTTTTGAAGACTGAATAATATTTGTGTGTGTGTGTATCACATTTTTTGGTTGGTTGGCTTGTTTAAAACAGGGTCTTGCTCTATGGCTCCGGCTGAAGTACAGCGGCATGATCCTAGCTCACTGCAGCTGCAACCTCCAATGCTCAAGCAATCCTCCCACCTCAGCCTCCTGAGCAGCTGGGACCACGGTGCCACCCACGCCCCACTAATTTTTACATTTTTTGTAGGGATGGGGTCTCCCTATGTTGCTGATCGTCCCACCTCGGCCCCCCACTTCCTCCCGTCGGTCCTGTACTGTGACTGAAGGAAAGGCACGGAGGTGAGAAAGCCCACTCAACTCTTGTTTTCTCCAGAAACCTTTCCCAGTTAATCGGGAAAGTGCTGAGATTACAAGCATGAGCCACCAGGCCTAGCCTCTTCTGTGATTCTAAACAATTTTAGGATTTTTTTTCTATTTCGTTGAAGAATGTCATTGGAATTTGGAGAGGAATTGCATGGAATCTATAGATCAATAGTATGAATTATTTCCTTTTTACTATTATTTTCAACTTCTTTTGAGAAGATAATATATGTAGATGTTATAATAGTTAAAAAGTAAGAGAAAGGCCGGGCACGGTGGCTCACGCCTGTAATTGCAACGCTTTGGGAGGCCGAGGCGAGCGGATCATGAGGTCGGCAGATCGAGACCATCCTGGTTAACATGGTGAAACCCCGTCTCTACTAAAAATACAAAAAAATTAGCCGGGTGTGGTGGTGGGCGCCTGTGGTCCCAGCTACTCGGGAGGCTGAGCCAGGAGAATGGCGTGAACCCGGGAGGCAGAGCTTGCAGTGAGCCGAGATCGCGCCCCTGCACTCCAGCCTGGGCGACAGAGCGAGACTCCGTCTCAAAAAAAAAAAAAAGTAAGAGAAGATACTCGGTGAAAACTGAGTTGCCCTCGCACACTACCTGTCTGCAGCTCTCCTCTCTGAGGGACACCACTGCTGGGCCCTCGGGGCCTTTGTGGAGCATCTGTGTGTGGAGAGGCAGACACACCTACGTGTGTATTCTTCTATTTTTATACAAATGGTAGCCGGCTGTGCCCTTCCCTCTGCACCACAACATAGACCTAACTTCCCACAACAGAACAATAGACATCTATAGGATTCTATTCTAAACAAATTAGCACTCAGCCATAATGGAACGTGTCCCTGTGGATGAATATTTAGGGGTCTCCTGACCTTTGCTGTTACCACGAACCCTGAAGTGGCCTCCCCTATGAGAGCATACAGGCACGATTCCTAGAAGGAGAGTTGCTGAGTCAACAGGGACAAGTGTTGAAAATGCTGACACAGGAGACTGCCCTCCATGGGGCTGCACCCTTCTGACACTTCTCCCCACCCCTGGGGTAAGTAACAAACAGCTCAGATTCACTCGCAGGTTGTAAGTGATTCCGCCTTTCAACTCATTTTGTCCACCCCACACCCTGGGAGAAGGGTCTATGATTGTCCCCATTACAGCTGAGGGAGGCTAGCAGCAGCTCAAGGCCACGTTTGTGAAGGTGAGGGGCTAGGGTTGGAACCCAGGAAGCCTGGCTGCAGTGTCCACACGACTGCCTCCTGCTGCTTTTCCATTAACAAACTTTTTTATCCTTGCTAATCTGATATATTTTTTAAAAATAGTTCTCATTGTGGCTTAAAAAAATCATTTAATCCAGGCCAGGTGCGGTGGCTCATGCCTATAATCCCAGTACTTTGGGAGGCCGAGGCAGGCGGATCGCTAGAGGTCAGGAGTTCAAGACCAGCCTGCCCAGCACAGTGAAACCCCATCTCTACTAACAATACGAAAATTAGCAGGGCGTGGTGGCACATGCCTGTAATCTCAGCTACTTGGGAGGCTGAGGCAGGAGAATCGCTTGTACCTGGAGGTGGAGGTTGCAATGAGCCGATAATGCTACTGCACTCCTGCCTGGGCAACAGGGCGAGACTCTGTCTCAAAAAAATAAAAATAAATAAATAATTAAATAATTATTTAATCCATATATATTTCTGTTTACATCTCTAAAAGATAAGGGCTTTAAGGCCAGGCGCGGTGGCTCACGCCTGTAATCCCAGCACTTTGGGAGGCCGAGGCGGGTGGATCACAAGGTCAGGAGATCGAGACCATCCTGGCTAACATGGTGAAACCCCGTCTCTACTAAAAATACAAAAAAATTAGACGGGCGTGGTGGTGGGTGCCTGTAGTCCCAGCTACTCGGGAGGCTGAGGCAGGAGAATAGCGTGAACCTGGGAGGCGGAGTTTGCAGTGAGCCGAGATCGCGCCACTGCACTCTAGCCTGGGAGACAGAGCGAGACTCCGACTCAAAAAATAAATAAATAAATAAATAAATAAATAAAAGATAAGGGCTTTAAAAATATAACTACAATGCCATTATCACACTATTAAAAATTAACAAGAGGGTTTCAATTCCAGGTAAGATGGAGTAAGCAAGTTCCACCTGCCTCTCCTGTGGAATGCAGCTATAAAATCTGGACGCAACTAATGGAGCAGATACTTGAGGTTTCTGAGCAGGAAATAGCAGCAGGTGGATTAGGAAAGACCAGTGATATGGTTTGGCTGTGTCCCCACCCAAATCTCATCTTGAATTGTAGCTCCCATAATTCCCACGTGTTGTGGGAGGGACCTGGTGGGAGATAATTGAATCACGGGGGCGGTTCCTCCCATACTGTTCTCATGGTAACTAGTAAGTCTCACGAGATCTAACGGTTTTATAAAAGGGGGAAACCACTTTTGCTTGGTTCTCATTTTCTCTCTTGCCTGTCACCATGTAAGACATGTCTTTGCCTTCTGCCACGATTGTGAGGCCTCCCCAGCCATGTGGAACTGTGAGTCCATTAAACCTCTTTTTCTTTATAAATTACCCAGTCTCAGATATGTCTTTATCAGCAGTGTGAAAATGGACTAATACAACCAGAATTCAAAGTACCACTGAATGGCTATGAGTTACCCATTGGTTGTCCCCAGATGTCTCTCGGTCTGGACAAGCTATGACAAGACATAGACAAGCTGATTCTAAAATGCATATGGAAAAGCAAAGACACTATAATACTCTAAACAATTTTCAAACAGAAAAATAAAGTTAAATCGTACTCCCCACTTTTAAGCCTTCCTATAAGCAGTGTAGTTTGGGTAAAGGGATATATACACAGGTCATTTGAACAATAGGATCCAGCAGTAGGCCACACACATACAGCTAACTGATTTCTGACAAGGTGCAAAAACAAGTCAACAGAGAGAAGAATAGTCTTTTCAATGAAGGGCGCTGGAACAATTGGACATTCATATACCAAAAAAAGAGGTAATCTCAACTTAAACCACAAGCTTTATACAAAAATTGATATAAATGGGTCATAGGTCTAAATGTAAAAAATATAACATTATAAAATTTTTAGGTGAAAATATCTAAAATCCTTGTGACCTGGGAAAAGAGTTCTTAGATATAATACCAAAGCACAATCCATAGAACCAAAACCATGCTAAAGCTATAAAACTCCCAGAAGAAAACATCAGAAAAAAATCTTTGTGATCTTGGATTTGGTGATGGTTTCTGAAATGTGACACCAAAAGGACAAGCAGCAAAAGAAAAATTAAATTGAACTGCATCAAAATTAAAACTTGTGTACATCAAAGGACACTCTCAAGAGAGTGAAAAGAGAATCCGTGGAAGAAAATGCTTGCAAATTATATATCTGATAAGAGTTTAATATCCAGAATATATAAGGAACTCCTACAACTCAGCAACATCAAACAACTCAATTGAAGAATAGACAACTTTAATAGACATTTTCCCAAAGAAAACATACAAATGGCCAAGAAGCACACAAAAAGATGCCCGCCATCACTAATCATTAGGGAAACAGATCAAAATCCCACTGAGATACCACTTTACACCCATCAGGATGGTTACTATCAAAGAAACATAAAATAACCAGTGTTGGCACAGCTGTGGGAAAATTGGAACCTGTGCACTGTTGGTGGGATTGTAAAATGGTATAGCTGCTGTGGAAAACAGAATGGTGGTTCCTCAAAAAACTAAAAACAGAATTCCCATACATCATAGCTCACTGTGTGTTGCTATAGCAGAATACCTAAGACAGGTGTTGCGGGAATTCAGGGACCCCGAACGGAGGGACCAGCTGGAGCTGCGATAGAGGAACATAAATTGTGAAGATTTCATGGACATTTATCACTTCCCAAATAATACTCTTATAATTTCTTACACCTGTCTTACTTTAATCTCTTAATCCTGTTATCTTCGTAAACTGGGAAAGTACGTCACCTCAGGACCCTGTGATAATTGTGTTAACTGTACAAATTGATTGTAAAATGTGTGTTTGAACAATATGAAATCAGTGCACCTTGAAAAAACAGAATAACAGCGATTTTAGGGAACAAGGGAAGACAACCATAAGGCCTGACTGCCTGCGGGGTCGGGCAAAAAGAGCCATATTTTTCTTCTTGCAGACAGCCTATAAACAGATGTGCAAGTAGGGAAGATATCGCTAAATTCTTTTCCTAGCAAGGAATATTGATATTAATACTCTGGGAAAAGAATTGCATTCCTGGGGGGAGGTCTATAAACGGCCGCTCTGAGAATGTCTGTCCTATGCGGTTGAGATAAGGACTGAGATACGCCCTGGTCTCCTGCAGTACCCTCAGGTTTACTAGGGTAGAGAAAAACCCCACCCTGGTAAATTTGAGGTCAGACCGGTTCTCTGCTCTCGAACCCTGTTTTCTGTTGTTTAAGACGTTTATCAAGATAATACGTGCACCGCTGAACATGGACCCTTATCAGTAGTTCTGTTTTGCCTTGTCCCGTTTCCTCAGAAGCATGCGATCTTTGTTCTGCCTTTTGCCCTTTGAAGCATGTGATCTTTGTTCCTACTCCCTGTTCATACCCCCCCGCCCCGCCTTTTGAAATCCTTAATAAAACCTGCTGGTTTTGTGGCTCAGGCAGGCATCACGGTCCTACCGATATGTGATGTCACCCCCGGCGGCCCAGCTGTAACATTCCTCTCTTTGTACTCTTTCTCTATTTCTCAGACCAGCCGACACTTATGGAAAATAGAACCTACGTTGAAATATTAGGAGCGGGTTCCCCTGATAACTGGGTAATTGATAAGCAATAGATGTTTATTTGACTCATGGTTCTGGAGGCTGAGAGGTCCAAGGGCAGGGCACCAGCATCTGGTGAGGGCCTTCCTGCGTCGTCTGTAGTGGAAGGTGGAAGGGCAAGAGAGAGAGACAGCGAAAGGGCACGAGAGCAAGAGGGGCCGTATTCACTTATAACAAAGCCACTTGTGAGCTAACTGACACACTCACGCGATAACAGCATGAAACCATTCATGGTGGCAGAGTCCTCGTGCCCTAAATGGCTCTTACTAGGCCCCACCTCCCGACACCACTGCATTTTGAGGATTAGGTTTTCAACACATGAACTTTGCTGCACACATTCAAACCGTAGCCCTGTATGATCCAGGAATCCCACTTCTGGGCATATACTCCCCACAAATTAAAAACAGGAGCTTAAAGAGATATTTGTTTTCTTTTCTTTTTCTTTTTTTTTCTTTTTTTTTTTTGAGACAGAGTCTTGCTCTGTCACCCAGGCTGGAGTGCAGTGGCGCGATCTCTGCTCACTGCAGCCTGTGCCTCCTGGGTTCAAGCAGTTGTCCTGCCTCAGCCTCCTGAATAGCTTGGACTACAGGTGCACACCACCATGCCCAGCTAATTTTTGTATTTTTAGTAGAGACAAGGTTTCACCATATTGGCCAGGATGGTCTTGATCTCCTGACCTCGTGATCCACCCACCTCAGCCGGAGTGCAGTGGCACCATCTCAGCTCACTGCAACGTCCGCCTCCTGGGTTCAAGCGATTCTTCTGCCTCAGCCTCCCGAGTAGCTGGGACTACAGGCGCGAGGCCACCATGCCCAGATAATTTTTGTATTTTTAATAGAGACATGGTGTCAACATACTGACCAGGCTGGTCTCAAACTCCTAGACCTTGTCATCCACCTGCCTCAGCCTCCCAAAGTGATGGGATTACAGGCGTGAGCCACCGTGCCCGGCCTTCTTTTCTTTCTTTCTTTTTTTTTTTTTAAGACGGAGTTTCACTCTTATTGCCCAGGCTGGAGTGCAATGGCACCATCTCGGCTCACTGAAACCTCCGCCTCCTGGGTAAAAGTGATTCTCCTGCCTCAGCCTCCCGAGTAGCTGGGATTACAGGCATGCGC